>NC_000008.11:966855-1269140 GCF_000001405.40 Homo sapiens | reverse complement strand
CGGGCCCACCGATGAAGGGGTGAGCCAATGTACAGTTGCTTAGGAGCCCAGAATATTTAGACTTGATGAATTCACATCTGTATGCCCTATTGGTTCATCAGGGAATTCTGTTCCTTGTCTCTGGTCTCCCTCCAAGATTCATCTCAGACCAAGGACTACGGCTGAGCTACCTGCAGAATCAGCTGCAGATAGAGCTGAGGGTTCCACTGCCGTTGGCTCTGGCCATGTCATTCTGCCACAAAGCCGACTTAGCCTGAAGGTCTAAGTCAAATAAAAGCTTCTTTGTCTTTGAAAATGTCTTAGCACCTGCCAAGTCAGAGTGAGACCCCAGAACAATGCTGACATTTCCCAGTGTGCAACATGAGGTGCATAATTGGGAAATGTTTTTAAATTTTTAAAGAAACAAGTAGTAAGTTGAGATAATGTGGCTTCTGCAGAGACATGTAACTCTCAGGAAATCTAATAACCACCCAACATCTTTGTATTCCTGGAGCTAAGGAAGATGATAAGAATTCTCTTAAGGATACTTGACTCTCAGCAGATCAGCGGAAAGATGTTAAATTGGGGGCATTTTATGCTTCTTGTGAAATGGCACGAATGATGTTCTCATTTTAAAACAAAGTTCCTGCTTTGGAGATGGCGACACTCTAACGCGGAAGACAGCTGTCAGACGCTATCCCACATTAAATTTCTCTCTTTGGCCAATTATTTCAATATTGCAAATGAGTTTATTATGAATTACTGAGAATAATTCTAATATTTCTTTTCCTCAACATGCAATTGCATATATTTCCATCTCCCAAATATGCTTCAAAATTCAACAATTAGGCATGTTTAGCAACAAGAAAATAGGGAGTATTTTCTCCAATCACACTAAACCCACGGCCTGATGTTTAAATTACCCAGTGACCAAAAATATAAAATATTTATGTATTCCTGAGACTATCATGGAGGTAAAATTGTTTCAATGCCAGAATACCTGAACCTCTGATATTGGATATTATTTCTTAAAAAGAAAGAAATTTGCAAACTAGGGTTTATTTGTGAATTTTATATCATTCTGCATAAATGGGTAATTGTCGCAATCTCAGACACCAGATGGTATGTTCAATTCATCCCCGTTTCACTCTATCTTATCATATTGAATAGCTGTGGCTTCACCTCTGATTCTAAATGCAGCACTTATATTGTAATAAGAACAGACATCCATGAAGCCAGCTTTATGTATTTGATTCAAAACTACAGGGCTATGAAATGCAGAGGACTAGGGTGGGTGTGATGGAGGAAAAACCAGTTCCCATGCTCAGAATTCCCATAGAACCAGCACTGAGCTCAGCGTGGGACAAACATTCTGCCCCAACAGACATCTGCAGAGGAGAAAAAGGGAAGGGATGGCAAAGGAAGTCCAACAGAGTTGCTACGGAGGGGGCCAGCGACACGGAGGACGTGGGCGTCTCATCACGGAAATGGTGTCTGAGCTGACCCTGGAGGCCTTTTTGTAGACCTATTTAATATTTATCTTATCTTATCTTATCTTATCTTATCTTATCTTATTTTATTTTATTTTATTTTATTTTATTTTGAGCGGGAATTTTGCTCTGTCTCCCAGGCTGGAGTGCAGTGGCACAATCTCAGCTCACTGCAACCTCCACCTCCTGGGTTCAAGCGATTCTCAGCCTCCCAATTAGCTGGGGTTACAGGCGCCCGCCGCCACACCTGGCTAATTTTTGTATTTTCAGTAGAGATGGGGTTTCACCATGTTGGTCAGACTGGTCTCAAGCTCCTGACCTCAAGTGATCCACCGCCTCGGCCTCCCAAAGTGCTGGAATTACAGGCGTGAGCCACTGCACCCAGACCTTTTTATTTTATTTTATTTTATTTTATTTTATTTTATTTATTTATTTATTTTGAGATGAAGTCTCGCTCTGTTGCCCAGGCTGGAGTGCAGTGGTGCAATCTTGGCTCACTGCAAGCTCCGCCTCCCTGGTTCACGCCATTCTCCTGCCTCAGTCTCAGGGGTAGCTGGGACTACAGGCACCCACCCCCACGCCTGGCTAATTTTGTTTTTGTATTTTTAGTAGAGACAGGATTTCACCATGTTAGCCAGGATGGTTTTGACCTCCTGACCTTGTGATCTGCCCACCTAGACCTCCCAATGTGCTGGGATTATAGGCGTGAGCCACCGCGCCCTTTTTATTTTTAATACAAACTATTACACATCCCCTCTCCCCACTGAGTGTGCATCTTCTGCTGGGATAACGCATTAATGAGCAAGCCATTCATTATCCAAGCAGAAGCTGCACACACAATGGGGAGAGGGCATGTATTCCAAAGTATTCCTCGATAGCTTTCTCTTTGTTCATAAAACACACACACAAACACATATACACACACTGGGTCTGCACTCAACACTCCCCTCCCCCCTCACTGTATCATGCTTTTATTGTAAAGCCTTCAACGTCCCGGGTGCACCCACGGAGGCGTACGTCAGTGCGTGGTGACTGAGAACAGAGGGTGCATATTTCATATGTGGTTAAACAGCATTGGACAGACCAGTAGGGGCAAGATTATGAATGTGGAATTTATCCAACAGAGGAGGAACTGACAGGATTTAAGGAAGCAAATAATATGATCTGACTTATGCTTTGGTAATAGTTATTTATGGCTGGCCATAAAGAGCAGGTTGATGGGGAGAGGGATTCTTGGAGCTTCTGAGGACCCCGGGAAGGGACAGCAGAGATGCTGCTTCCTGCTCCACACCTTGCCCCGTAGACAGAGTATCACCCAGGTGAATCTGCGCTCATCTGGAAACCAGAAGCGTCCTGCAAATATTTCCAATAAAAGCATGGCTGCTTGGGTAAGTGCTTGCTAAAATGCCACATAAGCCAAAAGGGGACTGAAGTCAAGCAAAAAATTAAACTTTGTGAACTTGGCAAGAACCCCCTTTCGCAGATAGTAGACAGCGTCCCTGTTGGGAATGCTGGGGGCCAGGGAAACCTCCCTTTCAGAGCGTCTCTGCTTTTCCTGGGTTACACCCACTCCCTTCAGTGAGGTTCTATGTCCTCAGACAAGGGTGTCCCCTGTCATAATTTTTCATTTGTTGGTTTCTCCTTGTAATCATTTTTTTCTTTGCATATCTTGAATCTATTATAAAGTAGATGGTTCTTATAGCTTCTTGGAGCAGATTCCGTTTATCATTAAACAATGATTTTATCTATAAAAATACCTGAGTCATCCTACCATGTGCTTTGTGTTGTATGAGCCTTTTTCTCTCCCCTCCCCTACCTGTCTACTCTTCTATTCACCTTTATATTAAATATTTTGCATTCTATTCACTCTCTTTATTGTCTCAGAAATTCTTAGACATTATTCCAACATCATCTGGCATCAGTATTGACTACGAAAACTCTCCTGAAAATCAAGTACACTTGTCTGTATTCTCTCTGGCTTTATTGATTCTTTGTCTCCTATTCCGTGGTTTCACTTTAGAAGGCATGGGAGTGTCTGTACTTGTCTGGCTTCAGTCTTAGGAGTCTTTAGATCAAAGAGGCCCAGTATATTTCTTCACTTCTAGGAAAATCTTGGCCTTTACTTCTTTGACTAATGCTGCTTCTCCTTTCTCCCCATTCTTTTTTAATTTCTCATTTAATTCCAGACATGTGTTTGTCTTTCTCAAGCCATCTTCCACGCAACTTGATTCTTCTATTTCCCTTTATATTTTTTATGCAAAGTTCTAGGTGATATCCTAGTATCTACTTCCCAGTTTGGCAACTCTCTTTTCAGCTCTGTCTAATCTACTTTATAATAATATATCCACAGAGTGGTCAATTTAAATGACCCATCTTGTTTCCAGATATTCTGTTTGTTTTTAAGTCTTTCTTTCCTCATAATAGATACTTCTTACATTATGGCTCCTGTTTCTTTTGAAAATCTATTTAATAATTATAAACGTATCCAATATCTAGGCAAGTCTATTACTTCTAGGGCTTTGGTTGTTCATTCTCCTGTTGTATCTTCTTATTCCCTGTACTATTCCATTTTCATAGTGCTATGAAGAAATACTCGAGACTGGGTAATTTATTTTTAAAAAGAGGTTTAATGGACTCAGATTTCCACTTGGCTGGGGAGCCCTCACAATCATGGTGGAAGGCAAAGGAGGAGCAACGGCATGTCTTACATGGCAGCAGGCAAGAGACCATGTGCAGGGGAACTGCCCTTTATGAAACCATCACATCTCATGAGGCTTATTCACTATCACGAGAACAGCACGGGAAAGACTCACCCTCATGATTCAATTACCTCCCACTGGGTCCCTCCCATGGCACGTGGTGATTATGGGAGTGACAATTCAAGATGAGATTTGGGTGGGGACACAGCAAAACCATATCACTTCCTTAAAGTTTCTTTATATGGGTTATGCTCTTTTCTGTATGTTTATCTAAAGTGGGTACTATTTTATAGTGGAGAAGTCCTTTGACCCCTATGTTGTCAAGAATTCTGTGTACATAGTTTGTGATTTTGATTCTGCCAGAGCCCTTAGGTTCTGACAGAATCATAACTGATTCTGGAACAACTTTCCTATGAATGTCATCATGTGGTCCTTCTGCAACATACAGGTAGTATAAATTCAGATCTCAGATCCATACCTGGAGTGTGCATTTCTCATTGGTAACTTTATATCCTATCCATGGCCCTGGATGTGCGATGAGCTTCCTCCACACTTTCTCAGGCATGTTTTTCCAGTTCTTTTCTCACAAACGGGGAAGCTGGGTGAGTGTCTGGGTTTGATTCAAGGGGCTCAATTACAGTGTTTCCACCACCCCTACCTGACAGGGCACAGACCGCAACCCCAGCCCCATCCCAGGCCCCTTTCTGGGATTGCATCTCAGGAGCGACTGCAGCTGGAACTCGTGCTGATCCCCTGGTTGGAATTCCTTCTTAGTTCTTGGGGCTCAGGGGATCCCCTTTCTTTTGTTTTCATCCAAGCTCAACTATGCACTGAAATAAATTGTGTTACATATTGTACAGCATTTTATTTATTCTTAGTGGGCATGGGACAGGGGTCAACTCAGTCTTCCATCTAGACTAAGAGAGGAGCAGCATTCTCCCTCTTACCCTAGAGACTGTTTTCTGATTTCCACCAAAACCCTAACCATGTTCAGGTCCTAGAAGACAGACTGGCTAGAGCTGAGTCTGTTTTCCTTCAAATATTAGTGGAACTTTTTAGTTCTTAAGCAACAATAATCACTAAAAACCACAAATAGCAATCAGAAAAGATCATTTTTATACAAAGCATTCAATTAAAGAGCTGTGGTCTCAGAGAGACAGGGTGGCAGCTGTCTTTGAAACAGTGGTGCCCTCCCTCTCCACAGAGAGCAGAGAACAGGGCTGGGGTTATTTCTAAGCTCTTCAATATGCAATTTCAAGAAGCAATCCTATCATTTTTTCCCCAGAATTGTTAAGAGGTCTTAAAATGTTAAGACAACACATATTCAATTAAGGTTAAAAACAAAAACCCACTAAGGAGACTGCATTGTTTCGAGTCACTTGTGGGGAAAATCTTGAATATCTTGTATTTAAAAAGCAAGAACTTAATGCTACTAACTGCACGAAAACTTTCCCAATATCTTGATTATGAGTTATGAAGGGAGAAGAGGTGGCCTGGGTTCCTCCTAGTTGTGATAAAATATAGGATTCTGTATGTCTTCCCAAAATTCTAAAATATAAGATTCTGTAGGTCTTCCCAAAATTCCAAGGGCAGCATGCAGATTGTGTTTTCCAATAACCAAAGTAAAAACAACAAAAATGAAAACAGATTTAGAAAGAAAATCTCTTACCTTAAACTACTTAGTTTTTTTAAGACTTGAATTTTGCTTTTAGCCTGGAATTTCTAAAACATTACCCAAATAATCCAATATATATTTCTGCCATCACAATCATCTATTGCTTCTTAAAGTTCCAATCTTGAGGCCTCGATTGCTAAAGAATCGTTCATGTCAACGTATCCCAACATTTTTGTAGCATTTTCTAATGCTACATTTATATAATAATATTAATAGCTGATTTTATTTCTTAGATTTAATGGGGGCAAATAACACAGATCGAAGACACTGTTAATACGTCACTGTGGATTTCAAATACATTCTCCCGGCCCCACCAGGCATCATTATCTGTCTTCCCACATCGGAAAATCTATCTGCTGTGGTGACAAATCAAGCCATAAAAATGTAAACCAACAGACAAATCCATGAACTGACATCTGTGGCCCCACCCAATGTCCATAAATTTTCCTGTGTTCTAGTTGAAAAGCGAGTAGTATCATGCATCTGTCAATAAAGCTTAAAAAGAATCAGGTACTCTTAAATTATTTTCCGATATTAAATTGACAGATTATATCGCACACGGATTTTTGCTATGTCAAGATAAACCAGCCTGCCCTCTTATTGCTATATAGTAACTGGTTACTGCCTTTATCTAAAAGGTAACAGGAATCACTAAGAAAATGATATAAATTGAGACCGTCTTAGTATTAAATTGGCAAATTATTATGACAACTGAGATTGTTCTGAGTAAATTTATTATTATTATCAGGAGAGGTCTCTGCAAAGCAGAACCCTGTAGAAACTGCATTCCTGTGAATGGCATCCAGACCCTCGTTAACTAAAATGCCGCTCCATTTTCACGCCACGCTGCATTTCAAGGATTTAGTTGGGCTGTCTGTATCTTCTTGGTAGGAACAAAGGTACCAGTAAATAATAATCAATCTTTTAAACATTTTTATCTCATGAAAACATAGTCTCACAAGTTTCAAAACCTCGTAATACAGAACATGTAAGTAATTTGCATATTGAGATCATGATCTACATTTTATATACAATTAAAATTTTAAGTTCTCTGAAAAACAGGCCACACCATCGTAGAGATTCCCCAACTGTAGAATTCTGAGGTCTCCAGCATCCTGTAAACTTTGTCCCTGGTTGCGTTTGTTTGACAGATATTATCATCTGAGACTGGGCTAATTATTCCATCTGTATCCAAAGAAGTAGCTCTCACAGACAGAACTAACCATTAAAATGCAAATAGGTGTTTCCCACTTCACTGGCTTAGCCAGGGAAGGCTGTTAACAGCTTTCTGACAAGAAAGCGAGATGCTAAATGAGGTGGTGCCTTAACCTTCTGGATGTAATGAGCGCTGCACACCCACATCCGAGCCGCACACGCTGCCACCAGCCTCTGGCTGGTCATTTCTGTGCCATGACATTTATGAGTTAACTCGCAGAAGCTGCTGAAGAAATTACCAAACAAAAAGGCTGATTTCAGATTCCACTCTCTGCGCCCAGCCAGCTCTCACTTAGACTAATTACTTAAATGATTTTAAAAATATATGAATATTCATATGACAGTGCTTTGGGAAAACTAAAGCACAGCTGAGACCTCGCCACAAACCCTTCCTCCTCCCTGATCTGGAGCAACTGCACTCGTACATCTGAAACACGGGGTGGCTTCAGAGAACCGCAGCCCAGTGAGGAGGGGCAGGCCAGAGCAGGGAGCCCCACCCCCCACTGCCCAGCCCCCCCTCCCACCCCCACCCTCGGCTGGAGAGCCCCCCGACTTATGCGGGGCTCCCCACCGGACAGGGGGAGTCTTCTTATTTGGAGTACAGTCTGTCTCGTTTTAAAGATCTGGAAGCTGACCTGCCCTCCCAGTCTGTCTCGTTTTAAAGATCTGGAAGCTGACCTGCCCTCCCAGTCTGTCTCATTTTAAAGATCTGGAAGCTGACCTGCCCTCCCAGTCTGTCTCGCTTTAAATATCTGGAAGCTGACCTGCCCTCCCAGTCTGTCTCATTTTATATATCTGGAATCTGACCTGCCCTCCCATTCTGTCTTGTTTTAAATATCTGGAAGCCGACCTGCCCTTCCAGTCTGTCTCGTTTTAAAGATCTGGAAGCTGACCTGCCCTCCCAGTCTGTCTGGTTTTAAAGATCTGGAAGCTGACCTGCCCTCCCAGTCTGTCTGGTTTTAAAGATCTGGAAGTTGACCAGCCCTCCCGGTCTGTCTCGTTTTAAAGATCTGGAAGCTGACCTGCCTTCTAGAGCAGGAACGAACACGTTTCCTCCCCTCCTCACGCCACTGTCACACATTTGCTGGGAGCCGACAGTATGTGTGATATGGAGGCCAAAGGCAGGTGCCCAGGGGAAGTGACCCTGGGATTGTCCAGGACCACGCACTCTGGCCTGACGTCAGTGGTGCTGGGCCTGAGAGGTCACAGACCTAAGGCTGGAGAGCCCTGATGGGGCCAGATCACCTCCCCATGCTCTGGACGACTACAGTCGCCTCAAGTCAGCCTGCGCCAGCCAAGGTCCCCTCTAGAGTCAATCCCATGACCTAGAATGTCCCCAGAAATCATCCAATATCCATCCCTGAGCCAGGACTCCGGGGAGATTTACCAGCCTTCATTCAGTCCAAACCCTCGCCTCCAAACATCATGGATTCTGATTTACTGGGAAAAAACTCTTCTTTTATGTCCCCAGAAATCATCCAATATCCATCCCTGAGCCAGGACTCCGGGGTGATTTACCAGCCTTCATTCAGTCCAAACCCTCGCCTCCAAACATCATGGATTCAGATTTACTGGGAAAAAACTCTTCTTTTATGACAGCAGTAAGTGGCATGTGACAACAAAACACACCCCACATGGGCCACTGTCCTTGGCAGAGGCAGACATTTGTTATTAGAAACAAGTAGACGAAGAGCAAGATGCAATGTGTTTAAACCACTATTTACAAGGTTTTATATTTCACAATTTCTCTCACACACTGAAAACTCTCGGTGAGGGGTTGGGGGAAAGAGAATGAAAAATGAACTCAAAGCATGATATGCATTCCCTGGTGGGAATGGCAATGGAAGTTATAATAAGAAATAATAAAGCTTTCAAACACCCAACAGACAGGCTGCAGAATTTCATCATCCTCTGCAGCAGCCTTGGGGTCTCCAGGGGAAAGGACCTGTGGCTTTCCCATCACAGGCGGCCTCTGCCACACCCAGACCAGCATCCCAGGCTCCACCCGGGAACAGCCCCCACCCACCTGACTGTAAAACATCACATTACTTTTGACTCTGGAAATGCCAGGTGTCCAAAGTCTGATGTTTTGCATAAAAGTGAAGCTTATGATTTAAAAATGTACAGTGACTGACTTTACCATGGATATATCTGTGCTTTCCATGACTACTAAATGACACAGGAAAAAGTTTTAAAACCTTGTCATACTTCCCTTAACCACCAAATAAGGGAATTAAGTGTTTCATAGAAGTTCCAAGTTAACCCTATACTCACTTTTTCATTTTTGTGTTTTAAATTACGAGTAAGAGCCTTTCCAATGGACACGGTTGAGCTTCTGTGACCCTGAGTATACAGAAGCCTTTAGTATTCGGCTTTTAGAGTCACACGTTGGGATCATCTCTCCCCATCTCTCCCTGTGGAAGCAGAGCTGGGCTGGGCTCTGACCCAAAGGCACATTCCTGGGGTTGGCTGTGTCCCGAGTTCCCCAAGGCTGACTCTTTTTCTAGCCAATTTGCCTCTTGCTGCTGAAAGCAGACCTCGAAATCAAAGCTCCAGTTAATTCAGAGTCCCCGCTAATAGGGGTCAGGTGTTTATCACATTGTCCTTATTCTTTCTAATTAGACCATTGAAAAATATTACACCAATGCTGGCTTTCACTAGTTCCAAACAGTCAACAAATGACAGACTCAGGGGCCCTACTTTGCCGCGTGTTTTAAACACAGGAGACTTGCGTAGAAAGTTAAATAAGCAACACTGATGAACATCACTCACAGCCAGCAAAGGCCCCACACACTCTCAGGCTGAGCCACCGACAGTCGGGAAGGGCTTCCCAGATCCGACTCAGCCTGCGGCTCATTGGCACCTTGGGCGAATGCACTTAAAGCCAACAAGCCTGTATCAGCATCTGTTACCTCACAGAAACTGATGGAAATTTGTCAATCCAGAACAAACAAAAATAAAGAAAATATTGCAATTTGATGGTAAAGCCAATTCTTCTTCAGAGACGAGCTGCTGAGTCCTAACGCTCACCTTGCACTTTGCTTCAATTATTTTACTCACGTTCCTATCAAACAGCACACAGACTGCGTCCTCAATGTTCAAGGTTCTCTCCAACACGTTTCATGGTAGACTGTTGCCAGCCACACACCTGTGAGCCGCGCGGCCCCCGCCCACCCCAGGCAGCATGTCAGGTACTCACCTTCCGGCTCCCCGCAGAGCGTGCACTGCGACTCTGAAAACAGAGACAGAGAGAAGCTGTTACACCCACAGGGTCTCAACCATGCAGTTAAAAAGATTCAACATCAGCAACAACAAAACTACAACTTTAAGATGACGCCGCTTGACCACACCAGAGCCAGTGGACCCTTCCATAAACAAAGCCAGCTCTGGCCTTGCACGCCAGCAACTTTTACTTCAAAAGCTACCCTTGGCAAATGTTTTACAGATGACATTTTTACTTTTGAGAATTAAAAAAAATTTTTTTTAATTTTACTAAGTTCTGGGATACATGTGCAGAACGTGCAGCTTACATAGGTATACAGGTGCCATGGTGGTTTGCTGCAACCATCAATCCATCATCCAGGTTTTAAGCCCCGCATGCAATAGGTATTTGTTCTAATGCTCTCCCTCCCCTCTTCCCCCCCACCCACCGACAGGCCCCAGTGTGTGACATTCCCCTCTATGTCCATGTGTTCTCATTGTTCAACTCCCACTTACGAATGAGATCATGTGGTGTTTGGTAGTAACGACCTGTCACATGCACACAGCGAATATACTTTCTTAATTGTATATAGGTGAACAGAAATTACTTAGATGAAATAACAATGGTCTATTTTATCCCAGTTTCAATATTGAAACCTTGACTTCAGCTACAGCTCTGTTACATCTCCTTTCAGGCACAAAAGTTATGAGCAAATCTGTATTATCTTTCAGGAAAACACTAAAATCCATGGGTATTGAGTCCCCTGTATGTAGGTCCCTGAGTGACTATGAACTTGGCTCTGCCTGCAGAATAGACACAAACACTTTGGGAGCACGGCATTTACAGGTGATCCTCACACAAGGAAGCTGTAGCAAGTGCACAGACACACGAGTGCAAGGTCTTCATGGGAAAGAATTCAGACTTGGGGGCCGGGTAGGCCTGGGTTCAAAGCCAGCTTCCATCCACTTTCCTGAGAACATGAGGGCAGGTGACCTAACCCCCAGCCCTGAACTAGTGTCAAGGACCCTGAGCCCACAAGGGTGGGAGAGGGAATGAGCATGTGCGTCAGATATCAAGACTGCAGGGACAGCACTGGCCTGCACGGGCCCTCGGGAGGACACCGGCTCTTCCACGTCAGCGCTGGCCTGCACGGGCCCTCGGGAGGACACCGGCTCTTCCACGCCAGCACTGGCCTGCACGGGCCCTCAGAAAGACACTGGCTCTTCCACGTCAGCTACAGAGGCACACACTCTGCCATCCAGCGTGACAGCCCGGGGCCCACAGAGGAGACGCCACGTAATGCCATCTGGCCTGAACCTTGAAGGACAAGCAGGATGTTAAATAGTAATCTGGGGAGCGAGCACAGACGTCCCAGGAAAGGCACGGACAAGGTGGACAGGCAGGGGACAGCAGCAGCATCTGCCCAGAAGGATGGGGCGGGGGGGTGGAGGGGCAGGCAGAGAGGTGAGCGGAGGGCGTTCAGGAGGGAGCGGAACATTAAAAAGGGAGTTGAGGTGTTGTTCAAAATAAAAGTTAGGAGGCAACAAGGGATTCTGAGGCAGAGCCTCACAGGCTCTCATGGTTCCTTCGGAAGGTGACCTTGGTGGCTGGGCGGGGCGGGGACGGAGCTCACCTGGGAGCCGTGTGTGTGGCAGGTCGGGCTCTGTGGGTGAGCGGGAGAGGGTTGGTGGAAAGGAAAGAGCATGAATCGTCCTTTAAAACTGTGACTGACAGCTCTACTGAGCTCTCCCGACTTCGGGGAGACAGACCCACACGCCTCGGGGTGGACACATCTGACTGCACCTGCCTTCACGGGCGCCGGTGGAGGGGACGGGAGAGAAGACGTCGGGGCCGCAGGGCAGGACCTGAAGTAGAAGCCATCGGACGCAGGAGCCCTGGGCCCAGGGCCACACTGCTCTGTGTGAAAGGAATGGGGCAGGCCATGGTCCACACACGGGGCCACCTCTATCCCAGCCACCACCATTCACAAGGCCTGTGGAGGGAGGCGGGGCTCCTGTTACCCAGGGGACACGGGGCAGCCAGCTCAGACTCGGGCCATCCCATCGCTGCCATCACTGAAGCAGACCCTCAGGTTTAGTTGACCTGGAAACGCAGGCACCACCCCTTCACAAATTCTGCAGAAAGTGGGGAGAAGGCATCTCACTCGGGAACAGAGGGCCCACAGTCAGTTTCCCCTCAGTTTCCAAGGTGAGACTCCCCACGCGGGCATCTGATTGCAGGAGGCGCGGACATGACTGTGTCCCTGTGCGCACACACAGCACCCGGGCAGGAGAGTACACACGCACAGCACCCGGGCAGGAAAGGACACACACACAGCGCCTGGGCAGGATGAGACGGGCACACACACAGCACCCAGGCAGGAGAGGACACACACACAGCACCCAGGCAGGAGAGGACACGCACAGCACCTGGGCAGGAGAGGACAGACGCACAGCGCCCAAGCAGGATAAGACGGCACACACACAGCACCCAGGCAGGATGAGAGGACACACACACAGCACCCGGGCAGGAGAGGACACACACATGGCACCCAGACAGGATGAGAGGACACACAGACAGCACCCGGGCAGGAGAGGACACACACACAGCACCCAGGCAGGAGAGGACACACACACAGCACCCGGGCAGGAGAGGGCACACACACAGCACCCGGGCATGAGAGGACACACACAGCACCCAGGCAGGATGAGAGGACACACACACAGCACCCAGGCATGAGAGGACACAGAAAGCACCCAGGCAGGAGAGGACACACACACAGCGCCCGGGCAGGAGAAGACACACACATAGCACCCAGGCAGGATGAGAGGACACACACACAGCACCCGGGCAGGAGAGGACACACACACAGCACCCAGGCAGGAGAGGACACACACAGCACCCACGCAGGATGAGAGGGCACACACACAGCACCCAGGCAGGAGAGGACACACACACAGCACCTGGGCAGGAGAAGACACACACATAGCACCCAGGCAGGATGAGAGGACACACACACGGCACCCAGGCAGGAGAGGACACACACACAGCACCTGGGCAGGAGAAGACACACACATAGCACCCAGGCAGGATGAGAGGACACACACACAGCACCCAGGCAGGAGAGGACACACATACAGTGCTCGGGCAGGAGAGGACACACACACAGCTCCCAGGCAGAAGAGGACACACACACAGCTCCCAGGCAGGAGACGACACACACACAGCGCCCGGGCAGGATGAGGACACACACACACAGCACCCAGGCAAGAGAGGACACACATACAGTGCTCAGGCAGGAAAGGACACACACACAGCTCCCAGGCAGGAGAGGACAGACACACAGCTCCCAGGCAGGAGATGACACACACACAGCGCCCGGGCAAGATGAGGACACACACACACAGCACCCAGGCAAGAGAGGACACACATACAGTGCTCGGGCAGGATGAGGACACACACACAGCACCCAGGCAGGAGAGGACACACACACAGCACCCGGGCAGGATGAGAGGGCACACACACAGCACCCAGGCAGGATGAGAGGGCACACACACAGCACCCGGGCAGGATGAGAGGGCACACACACAGCACCCAGGCAGGAGAGGACACACACACAGCACCCGGGCAGGATGAGAGGGCACACACACAGCACCCAGGCAGGATGAGAGGGCACACACACAGCACCCAGGCAGGATGAGAGGGCACACACACAGCACCCGGGCAGGAGAGGACACACACTCAGCGCCCGGGCAGGAGAGGACACACACACAGCACCCAGGCAGGATGAGAGGACACACACACAGCGGCCGGGCAGGATGAGAGGACACACACACAGCGGCTGGGCAGGAGAAGACACACACACAGCGCCCAAGCAGGATGAGAGGACACACACACAGCACCCGGACAGGATGAGAGGACACACACACAGCACCCGGGCAGGAGAGGGCACACACACAGCACCTGGGCAGGAGAGAGCACAGACACAGCACGCGGGCAGGAGAGGCAGGATGAGAGGGCCAGGGAGTGAGGCCCACGGAGGAAAAGTCAGGAGCGGTCTTTGTGGGAGCGCAGTGAACTGCGTGGGCCAGGGAAGCTAAAATCCAAAAGTCAACAACTCTGCACACTCACTCGGCCCCCGAAACCCAAAAGGGATTTTTTCGTCTCATCCTGAGAAGAGCTAAGGCAGGAGGTTCCTGGGAAAGACACCACTGAGTCATACAGACAAAAAACTGCTTTAAATGAGAGCACGAAGCTCTGAAACCCTATTTTGGAATGCAGATGCGAGAAGCCGTCTTAGGCCATAGATCGTGATTTTCCCCAAACAAAAAGTCAGTGCTGCCAATGATCGCGCCCCACGGTAAGTTCATGAGAGCCACTTCCAAACTAGAGGCTCCGAGGAGGCCCACGACATAGAAGCCCATTGCATCTTATTTAATCAAGACGTTCCTAAATGTGACCACTGAGACCTTGGCATGACACTCAGGAAAACGGAGTGAACATGCATGTCAGGAACTGTGGGATCCACTCTGGCCTCCCACGTGGAGGAGACCACGAGGCCTTGATGGACCCATCAGAGGTCACATGATGGGGACAGAGCGGAGTCCTGGATGTGCCCGGGGTTCCCCCAGGGCAGGGGAGACGCCGGCTTCACCATGGTGCCTGTGGGAGGCACTGATTTCAGGGAAGGGAGAGGCAGACTGAGACCTGCAAGGGTGGGATCTGTGACCAGCCCTCAGCGCTGAGCCCACAGGCACACTGGGTTCAACTTGGCCCCCCTGGCCATGGCTGTCCCCACTCAGTGCCCCCAGGAGGGACTGGAAGCCTCACGAGGCGGCTCACTCAGACATGGATCAGAGACTGTGGTTCCGCACCTCTCGTCCAACGCGAACCAAAATATGCGTCAAAACTGACCACAGATTCAGGGCTTTCCCCACAGTTCATCTTCATCACAGGTTACATATGTTTAAAATCACCCAGCAAGCTGAACACACAGCAAGCGTACTCACAGCAGCACGGACCCTTTCAATGAATTCTTCCCCAAGGAACACCCATTAAAAAAGATTCACAATGTAGACAAGACTTAACCTGGATACACTGTGGATTCATCATCATTAGTGCAGAGTCTCACTTAAATTAGGAGAAGACCACACTGATCTGTGCTAATTGACACAGATGGAGAAATCTGTCTGATGGTTTTGTGTACGTGAACCTGAACCCTCACCACACGCAGCCCGCTGAGAACCGGCTCATTCCCCGAGCTCCACACGTGAACAGCAAACGCCCAGCCCAGTGTTTTCTGGCACAAGGTGCCTTATTTTAATCTCCTAGAAAAGAGGAAACTGCAGCATCTCCTGTGTAAATTCATAGAGCATTTTATCTATGGAGGCTACTCTACATTTATGCACATATTTTTGGAGAGGCAGCTTTGAGGTCTGTGAAGCCGAGCGCATGCTATCTCTGGCTTCTGCATGGAGTCGGCCTCCGCAGCACCCGCCCTCCCTCCTGACACCAACCCGGGGAGGGGTGCGCAGTAGCAGCCGATGGAGCCGGGAGATAAAGGGGCCCTGGCAGCTCTCCTGGAGCCCCGGGAAGAAAGGGCACACACAGGAACCACCCAGCGGCTGCAGCCCTGCGTGGTGGACACAGCCCGGGGCCTTGGCTGGAGCTCCTCAGGACGAAGCCAAGCTCAGCGTTGCTGGGGATGGGTACCGCTTTCCTGAGGCTGGTTCCAACCCAGCCATGAATGCAAAGAGCATCTGTGCTCCTTCTACAGGAAGCCACGCGGGGACAGGCCCGGGCGTGGGCGGCATTTGCCGTGGGCCGTGCAGTGCAAGCAGCGGAGGGACAGCGGGATGAGGGCTGGTGCTGGGAGGCCTGTGGGGGTGCCTAGATGCGAGGCCCAGCACTGGGCTGCTGTGACAATTGCACTAATTTGTTGCCTCCCCCGTCCTCTGTCCTCCTCTGCCTCCCTCCAGCTGTGACAGTGACTAAGAGACACAGGGAGAAAAACACCAACGTCTTTCCTCTTCCAAGTCTCCGAGCACACGGCAGGATCCTCTGCTCGTCAGGAAAGGCTCCATGTCAGCAGCCACCTGGAGGCACCACATCCGGCCGCGCTTCAACAGGAGCTCTAGATGACAGCAGGCCTGCCTGGCCGCCATGGCCACTGCCCAGCCATGACACCCGGCGGCCTCGCTAGCACCTCTCACACAGCACAGAGCACGAAACCATGACTCTTTGTCAAGAATATGTGAATAGGCACTCACTCATGCAAGCAATTGATGTAACACAACTGTGGGACACCATGACCCAGGACATGACTGTGAGACAACACAACACACCACGTGACAACACCACCGTGTAACATGGTGATGACGTGACTGTGACACTGTGACCCAGGACAACGCAACACACGCACGTGACAACACCACAGTGTGACAAGTGTGGCATGACATGACTGTGACACCGTCACCCAGGACAACACAACACACCCATGTGACAACACCACAGTGTGGCAAGTGTGACATGACATGACTGTGACACCGTGACCCAGGACAACACAACACACCCACATGACAACACCACATTGTGACAAGTGTGACATGACGTGACTGTGACACCACGACCCAGGACAACACAACACACCCATGTGACAACACCACAGTGTGACAAGTGTGACATGACACGACTGTGACACCGTGACCCAGGACAACACAACACACCCGTGTGACAACACCACAGTGTGGCAAGTGTGACATGACATGACTTTGACACCGTGACCCAGGACAACACAACACACCCACACGACAACACAGTGTGACAAGTGTGACATGACATGACTCTGACATTGTGACTCAGGACAACACAACACACCCACGTGACAACACCACAGTGTGACAAGTGTGACATGACATGACTGTGACACCATGACCCAGGACAACATGACTGTGGGAAAACAGGCCCACGTGATAACACAATACTGTGACGTGGGTACAGGACACATGACCCTAAGACAACATGATGCGAGAATATGCAACACGCCTACAGGACATGGCCGTGCAACAGTGCGATGACGTGACGTGACTGTGGGACACCACAACCCTAGGACAAGATGACAACGTGACTGTACGACAATGACTATATGACAACGTGGCCACATGGCTGTATGACATGATGACCTGACTCCACGATCACATGACTGTATTCCAACATGACCTGACACAGAGGCCAAAAACTCCACTCATCATCAACTGAGTGATGCTTAAATAACTTATACTTCAGCCAGGCACCGTGGCTTGCACGTGTAATCCCAGCACTCTGGGAGGTCGAGGTAGAATCACCAAGGCCTGGGAATTTGAGGCTGCAGTGAGCCAAAATACACCAGTGCACTCCAGCCTGGGGACAGACAGAGACCCTGTCTCAAAAATAAATCAGTAAATACAATTTGTGGATGCTATGGAATCTTATCTGCTCAAATGGAAAACTCCAACATTAAAAAACAGAAAGAGCAAAAGGCAAAACACTCTCTCATTTTTATTTTTGGATGTGTACTCTTTAATACTGACTTAATATTCATAGAAAACCTACCTTGTGTCAGGTACTATGCTAGGAGATAGTCATTGATAATATTCTAATAACACCAGTCATGTATATTTATAAATGCTAAGTAAAAGCCCAGGATGACAGTAAATTTTTAGAAGTTAGTTCTCAGGGAGAAATTGTGGTAATGATATTGCTTGTTGCACGGGTTAGGGAAGGCAGACAAGAATACAAAGTAACGTTCTCGTGAACATGGGTTAATTTCTAATTTGAAAACCAATGTTTAAACTGCAGATAGTTGATGTACACAGAAAAAATACACGTAGCAGAAAGCCAACCCCTAAATATTCACCCAGACTTCACCACTGTGCCACGTACCGAGGTCACACAACTGTGCTTGCATCCCTTAAATTTGTACAAATGAAGACAACACAACAAAGCCGCCTAAGGGCACGTTTCTCAGAGCGTCACCCCGTCGTTACCTGGCGCCTGACTGTAATCAGGAAGCAGGCCGACATAAGTGTGCTCCAATGTTAATTAATAAATCGTGTGTAGGACAGTTCCTTCAATTACATAATTGCATTCAAACTCAAGTCTCATTCCATTTTTTTTAATGAAGTGAAACAACGTGAAGGCAAACCCAGGAGTGACTGGCTTTAATAAAGCAATGAACGGTAGGAACAACCGTGAAAGTCAGATGCACAGACAGGGAGGGAACGCGTCTTCTCTTTGCCTGAAGCTATTGCTTCTGGACCGAGATAATTACCTGCTCAGGATCCTCATGTGAGCGCAACCAAGTTCTCATGGCCAGACGGATGCACGGATGCTCAGCTATCCTCAGAGAAGACATTCATTCACTCCCTTCTTCCTTCAGCGAACATGACTGAACATCTACCACGGTCCTAGTGTTGCTCCACATGCTGGGAGACGGCTGCGATCAACACAGGATGTCTCATTCGGGAGCCCCTGACCCATGCAGCTGTGGCAGGAGGAAGTGCGCGGTGTGCAGACCCAGGCACTGGAGTTGCTCTGGAGACAAACTGTGAGCTCACAGCTCAGCCTCTCTGCTCGCCATTGTCACGTCCTGAAATGCCATATCTGACTTTGGGGTGTTTCTGGGGGCAGATTTATCTTCACAGTGAGCTTAGCCTAAGAAAGACTACTGGGCATGGTGGCTCACGCCTGTAATCCCAGCACTGTGGGAGGCTGAGGCAGGCAGATCACAAGGTCAGGAGATCGAGACCAGCCTGACCAACATGGTGAAACCCCATCTCTACTAAAAATACAAAAATTAGCCGGGTATGGCAGCATGCACCTGTAGTCTCAGCTACTCGGGAGGCTGAGGCAGAACAATCACTTGAACCTGGGAGGCAGAGGTTGCAGTGAGCTGAGATCACGCCACTGCACTCCAGCCTGGGTGACAGAGCAAGACTCTCTCTCAAAAAAAAGAAAATAAAGTTAATTAGCTTATTAAAATCTCTAAGGAAAAACAAGGTCTCAGTATTATTCAACCCAAATATGTGCTCACTGCCTAACGGATGTGCACCGAGGGTTAAGAACTAGCTAAAAAATAAATGGCCCACCCCTGAATAATCAATAGTTTATTTTTATATCCTTTTAATCTATGAAACTCAATGCTGCTCATGACTCCAGTCTCACCAGCTCCATGACAGCTGTGTGTGAATAATCAGCTTGTTTATGTCTTTCATTCAGTTCAGGAAAAAGAAGCCCAAAGAAATGAAGTGATTTGCCTGTGGTCAGCCATTCAGTCGTATAAGGAATTATTCTAGTTTCGTTTTTAACAATTTGCAAAATATTTCATCAAGCAAAAGATTGTTCAGTGCAATCTCTTTCCTAGCTTTTTATGAGAACATGAGAAATAGATAAGAGCAGAGAAACAGAAGAAAGTTGTATTTAGGCCTCAGTAGTTCAGAAACACCTGAAGAGATGACATAAGGAACTAGATGGGAAGCACAGTGACAGTGCACTCCACTCATGGGCAAATGAGGGGCCCTGAGACGCTCATGCAGGCTGAGACCTTCCCACGGGACCCACAGAGAGGCCCAGTGGCCCATTTCTGAGTCTGCCATTCTGCTTCTGAAATGTGCTCCCAATGCTAAGAGTTCTGAGCCTGTGGAGTTCTTGCCATTCTCTTCTCTCCAGCAGTAAAGCAGGCAAGGGTAGAGCAGTGCTTTCTCATTAATCCAGCCACCCTCCCAGGGACAGCATGCAGGACACTCGTGTTGAACTCCATTTCTGGTGTTCTCAGCCTCTGTCCCAGCTTAGTCTCTTCAATGTCACAGCAGCATAAAGGGCCTCTCTCCTAAACATGGGATGTCCCCGGGGTCCTGCTCTTACATTGTGGCTGAGCTCAGCCTTCACAGCCTCTCTGAGAAATTCATCCAATGTCAAGTTTTCACCTTCACTTATTTATGCCAAAGGTGTCCTCAAGCTTCAGAAGCATAGAGCCAAATACCTGGTGACCGTGTGCAGGTCCCATCTCCAACACTCCACTGAAAACATCACTTCCCGCAGTCCGGACCCAGAAGCCTCTTCGATTCACCTTTCTCCGCACAGTGAACCTCACCGTCCACTTCCACCTATGGGGCATCCGCCACTCCCTCTCTCCTATGCCCAGTCCTCTTCCCAGGCGCCCTGAACTCAGCCATTACCCAGGCTGGCACCGCCTCCCACACTGATCTCAAAGGTCTTCCCGGCCACCGACGTGGACCATCACTCCTACACTGATCTCAAAGGTCTTCCGAGCCACCGACGTGGACTATCAGACTCACACACTGATCTCAAAGGTCTTCCCGGCCACAGACATGGACCATCACTCCCACACTGATCTCAAAGGTCTTCCCGGCCACCGACGTGGGCCATCACTCCCACACTGATGTCAAAGGTCTTGCCGGCCACCAACATGGGCCATCACTCCCACACTGATCTCAAAGGTCTTCCCGGCCACCAACATGGACCATCACTCCCACACTGATCTCAAAGGTCTTCCCGGCCACCGACGTGGGCCATTACTCCCACACTGATCTCAAAGGTCTTCCCGGCCACCGACATGGACCATCACTCCCACACTGATCTCAAAGGTCTTCCCGGCCACCGACATGGACCATCACTCCACACTGATCTCAAAGGTCTTCCCGGCCACCGATGTGGACCATCACTCCACACTGATCTCAAATGTCTTCCCAGCCACCGACGTGGGCCATCAGACTCCCACACTGATCTCAAAGGTCTTCCCGGCCACCGACATGGACCATCACTCCACACTGATCTCAAATGTCTTCCCAGCCACCGACGTGGGCCATCAGACTCCCACACTGATCTCAAAGGTCTTCCCGGCCACCAACGTGGACCATCACTCCACACTGATCTCAAATGTCTTCCCAGCCACCGACGTGGGCCATCAGACTCACACACTGATCTCAAAGGTCTTCCTGGCCACCGACGTGGGCCATCACTCCCACACTGATGTCAAAGGTCTTGCTGGCCACCGACGTGGACCATCAGACTCACACACTGATCTCAAAGGTCTTCCCGGCCACCGACGTGGGCCATCACTCCCACACTGATCTCAAAGGTCTTGCCGGCCACCAACATGGGCCATTACTCCCACACTGATCTCAAAGGTCTTCCCGGCCACCAACATGGACCATCACTCCCACACTGATCTCAAAGGTCTTCCCGGCCACCGACGTGGACCATCAGACTCACACACTGATCTCAAAGGTCTTCCCGGCCACCGATGTGGGCCATCACTCCCACACTGATCTCAAAGGTCTTGCCGGCCACCAACATGGGCCATTACTCCCACACTGATCTCAAAGGTCTTCCCGGCCACCAACATGGACCATCACTCCCACACTGATCTCAAAGGTCTTGCCGGCCACCAACATGGGCCATTACTCCCACACTGATCTCAAAGGTCTTCCCGGCCACCAACATGGACCATCACTCCCACACTGATGTCAAAGGTCTTGCTGGCCACCGATGTGGACCATCACTCCCACACTGATCTCAATGGTCTTCCCAGCCACCGATGTGGACCATCTCACTCCCACACTGATCTCAAAGGTCTTCCCGGCCACCGACGTGGACCATCACTCCACACTGATCTCAAAGGTCTTCCCAGCCACCGACGTGGGCCATCACTCCCACACTGATCTCAAAGGTCTTCCCGGCCACCGACGTGGGCCATCACTCCCACTCTGATCTCAAAGGTCTTGCCGGCCACCGACGTGGACCATCACTCCACACACTGATCTCAAAGGTCTTCCCGGCCACCGATGTGGACCATCACTCCACACTGATCTCAAAGGTCTTGCCAGCCACCAACATGGACCATCACTTCCACACTAATCTCAAAGGTGTTCCTGGCCACCGACATGGACCATCACTCCCACACTGATCTCAAAGGTCTTGCTGGACACCAACATGGGCCATTACTCCCACAATGATCTCAAAGGTCTTCCCGGCCACCGACGTGGGCCATCACTCCCACACTGATCTCAAAGGTCTTGCCAGCCACCAATGTGGGCCATCAGACTCACACAAGCATCTGCACGGGTGTCAGGGCATGTCCCTTGCGTGGCGATGCCACACACATCCCCAGTGGTTTATGCTCAACCTCCAGGAGTCCTTCAAGTACAAATCCTTCTAATTCCATCTTCATCGTGTGAAAGCAGGTGCAATTGTCTTCACTAAACTTGGGTGGTAAGTTTAGGATTTCCTAGTAGTATCTTAAGCATTGTGCATCTCAGTAAAAACCCAGTATTTAATTTTTCAACCTGAGGCAGAAGAGCATGATGAATTCCCAAATCCAATGGCTCTGTGCTGCTCCCCTCAGTGAGAGGAGGCTGAGGAGACACACTGAGGAGAAGGTCCCTGTGCTCTCAGCAGCCGCGGATGGCAGGAGGCCCTGGTTGAGGGAAGGATGCCAAGCTGGAGATGGGAAAGCGGTTAGTGCCTCCAAAAGCACCATCGCTTGAAATTCACATTCTTAAACAGAACTGTGAATAGTGGGAAATTTGTTTATATATGTCCAGACTGACTGCAAGTTTCTAGAACTCTACCATTTTGTGGTTGCGTTCTCACCTTAATTTATTACTTTTGTCTGGGCCAATTACCCACATCTTGAATATTAATTTGACCAAGGGCTATGGAGTAATTACAAAGCATTCAGAAGACACCTATGGGAATCCTATTCATGACAAATTTAAGATATTTAGAAACCAAATGGCTTACTCTGTATTAAAATATAGACACTGATAGTACATAAATAGCAGGAACAAATATCAACATGAAATTTGAGTGTAGAAGTAGAAAGAGTTCTTCCTCAATAGATGCATTTCCTAAATGCTGAGGCCTTCCCTGCTTGTCAGGCACAGGAGGCGCCTCTGTCCTCCCCACGGCGGTCATACTGGGACCACCCACCCTTCGTGCTCGACCACACCAGGGTCCCGTGTACCTCGGGGTCTCCATGTGTGCCACTGTGCACAAAGTATGTCTGCCTCTGCCCTTTTTTTCCTGGAAAACTGTTCTTCATTGCTTTTTTAAAAGTGATTTATTCCTAACAGCTTTATTCAGATATCATTCACACACCATATGATTCACCCACTGAAAGTGCACAGCTCAATAGCATACTCACAGAGCTGTGCAGCCATCCCCACAATCAATCACATAACATTTCGTCACTCCAAAAATAAATCCATGCCCTTCGGCAGTTAACCCTCATTTCCATGCCCCCAGCCCCAGGCCACCACTAATGTACTTTCTATATAGATTTGCCTGTTCTGAACACTGCATATAAATGGAATCCTATCTGTGGTTTTCATGACTGGCTTCTTTCACGTAGAAAATGTTTCTGAGGTTCGTCTGTGTCACAGCATGCATCGGTGCTCCATTCCTTTATTGCTAGAGAAGATTCCATTGCATGGATGGACCACAGCATATTTATCCACCCCTCCGTTTCCGGATACTTGACCTGGGTTGTTTCTATCTTTGAGTATCATGAATAATGCCTCTGTAAGCAATCAGGTATGAGTTTTTTTAGTGGACATATGTTTCATTTCTCTTGGGTATGTACCAAGAAATGGGATTTATGGTCACATGGTAACTCTATGTTTAAACTTCTGAGGAAATGCCTCACTTTCCAAAGTGGCTGCATGATTTTCTATTCCCAAAGGTCGTGTATGAAGGTTCCAGTTTCTCCAGGATCTTGCCAGCACTTACGATTGTCTGTCTCTGCCATTATGGCCATCCTAACACGTGGGCAATGGTGTCTCATTGTATTTTGATTTGCATTTCCTGGCTGGTCAAAGATGTCCAGTGTCTTTCCACACCTTCTGTGGGTGAATTGCCTGTTCATGCCCTCTGCCCATCCCTTTCTCGGCTTGTCTTTTTATGTGCTTTAGGAGTTCTTCTAAATAGAAACCTTTTTTACACATATGCTTTGCAAACATTTTACCTCATTACTTGAGTTTCCTTCTTACTTTATTGATGGTAACCTCTGAAACACACAAAAACTTTATTTTGTTAAAGCTCAACTGGTTTACTTTTTTCTTTTGTTGCTTGTGCTTTGCGCTTTGGGTGTCATCTCTAAGAAACCACTGCTTAATCTAAGATCACAAAGATGCACGTCCTTGCGGTTTTATAATTTTATCTCTTGCCTTTAGGTCTTCGACCCATTTTGAGTTAGTGTGGTGTATGGGGCTGGATTTGGGGTGTCTGCCTGTGGGTGTCCAGTTGCCCCAATACCATTTGTAGAAATCCTACTCATTCTTTAGATTTGTTGCAAATATTGACCCTTTGGTGAGGCAGCCTCAAGCCCTCCATCGGGAACTAATTGCCCCTTCCTATGTTTCTATGGCACCTCTTTTACAACACTTTAACCTCATTATAACACAATATTTTGCCTTTCCTCCTCAGGAGCTCATATCCCTATGTTCATACAGCGTTTAACACATGTGCTCAGCCAATAGTGTATGCTTTTGAGAAAAAATGGTCTATGACCTATCAGTCATTCCACAGTTATTTATTAAGCACCTCCACATTGTGACAGAGTCTATGCCGGGCACTAGGGTGCAAAATGAAGCTGTCTAAGGACACAGGTACGTGCACCTACAAATGCACTCTAACCGTATCGCACTCAGAGGCATCGAAGAGCCTCTGGCATGTACAGGAGCCCACACCTGGGAGCATCCGACACTCACCATCCCTACGGTGGAATGCAGAGGCTGAGAGCTGACACCCACCATCCCTACGGTGGAGTGCGGAGGCTGGGAGCTGGCACTCACCATCCCTATGGTGGAGTGCAGAGGCTGGGAGCTGGCACTCACCATCCCTATGGTGGAGTGCGGAGGCTGGGAGCTGGAAGGTAGATGAGGACACACAGCAGGGACTTGATCAGTTTCTTTAATAAGAGAACAGATGCTGAGGCACTGGACTTAATCATGTGGATAGTGAGGTTACTCAGGGGCCTGAAGAAAAGGAGTTATATAAGTAAATGTGGACTGAGGAAGGTTTCAATGGTGGCAGGGTGGGTGGCCCACCTGAGAGAAGAGACAGCAGAGGCGAGATGCTCTGTTGTTTGGGACTTGAGGAGGATCAGGGCATGACTGAGGCAGCGGCATGGGCATCGGCAGGCTCCAGCCCCACCGAGTATGGGACATGGGAACCGTGCCATGAATCCTCTTTAGGGAAGAAGAGGGGTCCAAACAAATTAATGTGAGGAAACCAGAACATAAAGAATTTTGTAATATATCGTGAGCGAGAAGAAAAAATAAGAGGAAACGAGAATAACATGAAATGACAACAGAACATAAATAATGCAATGGCCAAGTCCAGAACATCTCTCTGAGGGGCCAAGTCCAGAACATCTGGCCTCAGATGACAGAGGGTGCAGGCCAGGCAGCTGCGCAGGAGGAATGACCGTCGCTCACCAGTGTCTGGGTTTGTAGGTGTATGCATGTGCACCGGCAGCTTTACTGAGGTGCCAAGACCTCGCAGAGCAGAGCTGCACCAGCTCCCGCCTCACCTCTACAGGGCACCAGCCCCTTCCCTTGAGGAGCTAAGCAAACCCCAGGGCAGGGGCCTGCAGGCTCTCTGAAGGCCAGGCGGGTCCTCACTCCCCTGGTGTGTCCACTTAATGTGAGCTCCATGAGCACGCCCTGCCTTTCCCATGCAGTGCTCAGGGTAACCGCCCACAAAGGACAAATATTCAAGCAGTCAGGAAAAACAAAGTAACGCAACATGGGGACGTGAAAACAAAGGAGGGAGCTGGCAAGTTTGCCTAGGGAAGGTGGTCAGGAATGGCTCCCCAGAGAAGACGATGCTTGGGGTGATATTTGAGTCATCAGAGAAAGTTCTGTCCATCCATCCATCTATCAATCCATCCACTGTCTATCTGTCCATCCATCCGTCAATCCATGGATTCACCTGTCTGTCTGACCATCCACACATCCGTCCATCTGCCCGTCCGTCCACCCATCTATCCATCGGTCCATCTGTCCATCCATCCGTCCATCCATCTATCTGTCCGTCTATCCATCCATCCGTCTGTCTGACCATCCATCCGTCCATCTGTCCATACATACATCCATCCACCCACCTATGCACTCACTCACTGTGGGTCCCTTACCATTAAGGAGGAGAGGGCATGTTAATCAGGGAATCCTAAGAACAAACATACAAGGTCAACGGCAACAAGTGCCACAGAGGAGTGGCGCAGAGGGCTCAGGCGAGGGTGGGCCTCCTTCTGCACTGGGGGAGCTTCCTTGAGGAAATGTACCTCAGCAGGATTGAAGAGGAAGTGGGCGGGGTTGGTGCAACATTCCAGGGATGGGACATTTCATAAGAAACAAGTGAACAAGGTCCGTGGCCAGGAAAGAACAGACGGGCCAAGCCCTTCGCTGCTGACCCCTGGCTGGTGATGTGGGGCCTTGCCCATTCCATGCACTTTCTAGCCATGAGCAGGTAATGGCATAGCTCCTCCAAATCCTCCAGAACCCCGCCCTGCCCCGTCACCTGCATCCTCTCATATGTCTGACAACCAACCCCTTTCCCCCGACCTCCCCTCTTCCACAAACACATCAGGCCTCTCTCAGGCCCTCAGTTCCCAGAGCTCTGCCAGCAAACTGGATAAACTAATTAGTGTCTTCGTGTTAATTAATGTTCTGTTGTTTATATAAGCTATGGGATTTCTGTTCCTGCCATGGTGCCTTTAGGTAGGTTTATCTACAAACAAATTAAATCCCGTTATACCAAATTATACTGGAATATACGCCAATCATCAAAGCAAGTCTACCTGCGTACCATTCCCTGGAGTTCCCTCAGAGACCATCTCGGGCCATAAAGGAATGTTTCAGTAGAGGCAGTGATCATCATTCATGTACCTTGTCATATTAAAACTTCAAGAACATTTATTAGAAAAGTCATTTTAACAGTGTGACAATTACATTTTTCTCTACAATATCAAGTTGTGAAAATTAACTCATAAGATTTAAGAGTGTCCTGCCGCTGAACTTTAAAATTAAACAAGACCAACCTGAAGGTTTCCAGAATTTATTAGTTTTTTTTTTCACCACTTACATATGTTTTGCTGGTTAAAATCTAAATTACACACTTGCCCTGAAAAATTAAAATTATACAGTTAATTCAAGTCATTTCCACTGGTTAAAATGGAGTATTTTACAAATGCCTAAGACCAGTGTGGAGTGAAAAGTCTCTAGAAGCTGACTGGCTCCACCCAGGAGAGAACTGGATCAAAGGCCCCCATGGGAAACATGTTCTGCTTCCTCTGTAGGGCTACTACCCGTATAGGCCTCCGAGAGTAACTGCAGTAACGTCAAGGAAGAAATAAATAACGCGTCAGGGTGTGAGAGAGCTCCAGACACAGCACTATGTGAGAGAACTGGACACAGGGCCATGTGACAGAGAACTAGACACGGCGCCATGTGAGAGAACTAGACACGGCGCCATGTGAGACAACTAGACACAGTGCCATGTGAGAGAACTAGACACGGCTCCATGTGAGAGAATGAGACACGGAGCCATGTGAGAGAACTAGACATGGTTCCATGTGACAGAACTAGACACGGCGCCATGTGAGAGAATTAGACATGGCTCCATGTGAGAGAACGAGACACGGCGCCACGTGAGAGAACTAGACATGGCACCACGTGAGAGAACTAGACACGGCGCCATGCGAGAGAACCAGACACGGCGCCATGTGAGAGAACTAGACACGTCACCATGTGAGAGAACCAGACACGATGCTCTGTGTGAGACAGAACTATACATGACGCTATGTGTGAGAGAGAACTAGACACAGCACCATGTGAGAGAACTAGACACGGCGCCATGTAAGAGAACTAGACACGGCGCCATGTGAGAGAACTAGACACAGTGCCATGTGAGAGAACTAGACACGATACTCTGTGTGAGAGAGAACTAGACATGACACTATGTGTGAGAGAGAACTACACATGGCACCATGTGAGAGGTAACTAGACATGGCGCCATGTGAAAGAACTAGAAACGGCACCATGTGAGACAACTAGACACGGCGCCATGCGAGAGAACCAGACACGGCGCCATGTGAGAGAACTAGACACGTCACCATGTGAGAGAACCAGACATGGCGCCATGTGAGAGAACCAGACACGATGCTCTGTGTGAGAGAGAACTAGACGTGACGCTATGTGCGAGAGAGAACTAGACACGGCACCATGTGAGAGAACTAGACACGGCGCCATGTAAGAGAACTAGACACAGCGCCATGTGAGAGAACTAGACACGGTGCCATGTGAGAGAACTAGACACGGCGCCATGTGAGAGAAAACTAGACATGGTGCCATGTGAGAGAACTAGACATGGCGCCATGTGACAGAACTAGACACGGTGCCATGTGAGAGAACTAGACATGGTGCCATGTGAGAGAACCAGACACGATGCTCTGTGTGAGACAGAACTAGACATGACGTTATGTGTGAGAGAGAACTAGACACAGCACCATGTGAGAGAACTAGACACGGCGCCATGTAACAGAACTAGACACGGCGCCATGTAAGAGAACTAGACACGGCGCCATGTGAGAGAACTAGACACAGTGCCATGTGAGAGAACTAGACACGATACTCTGTGTGAGAGAGAACTAGACATGACACTATGTATGAGAGAGAACTACACATGGCACCATGTGAGAGGTAACTAGACATGGCGCCATGTGAGAGAACTAGAAACGGCACCATGTGAGATAACTAGACACGGCGCCATGTGAGAGAACTAGACACGGCGCCATGTGAGAGAACTAGACACGATGCTCTGTGTGAGAGAGAACTAGACAAGACGCTATGTGTGAGAGAGAACTAGACACGGCAACATGTGAGAGAACTAGACACGGTGCCATGTGAGAGAACTAGACATGGCACCATGTGAGAGAACTAGACACGGTGCCATGTGAGAGAGAACTAGACATGACGCTATGTGCGAGAGAGAACTAGACACGGCACCCTGTGAGACGTAACTAGACACGGCGCCATGTGAGAGAACTAGACACGGTGCCATGTGAGAGAACTAGACACGGCGCCATGTGAGAGAACTAGACACGATGCTCTGTGTGAGAAACAACTAGACATGACGCTATGTGTGAGAGAGAACTAGACACAGCACCATGTGAGAGGTAACTAGACACGGCGCCATGTGAGAGAACTAGACACGGCACCATGTGATAGGTAACTAGACACGGCGCCATGTGAGAGAACCAGACACGGCGCCATGTGAGAGAACTAGACACGGCACCATGTGAGAGAACTAGACACGATGCTCTGTGTGAGACAGAACTAGACATGACGCTATGTGTGAGAGAGATCTAGACATAGCACCATGTGAGAGAGAACTAGACATGGCGCCATGTGAGAGAACTAGACACGGCACCACGTGAGAGAACTAGACACGGCGCCATGTGAGAGAACTAGACACGGCCCCATGTGAGACAGAACTAGGCACGGTGCCATGTGAGAGAACTAGACACGGCGCCATGTGACAGAACTAGACATGGTGCCATGTGAGAGAACTAGACACGATGCTCTGTGTGAGACAAAACTAGACATGATGCTATGTGTGAGAGAGAACTAGACACAGCACCATGTGAGAGAACTAGACACGGCGCCATGTGAGAGAACTAGACACGGCACCATGTGAGAGAACTAAACATGGCGCCATGTTAGAGAACTAGACACGATGCACTGTGTGAGACAGAACTAGACATGACGCTATGTGTGAGAGAGAACTAGACAAGGCACCATGTGAGAGGTAACTAGACACGGCGCCATGTGAGAGAACTAGACACGGCGCCATGTGAGAGAACTAGACACGGCGCCATGTGGCAGAGAACTAGACACGGTGCCATGTGAGAGAACTAGACACGGCGCCATGTGACAGAACTAGACACGGTGCCATGTTAGAGAACTAGACACGATGCACTGTGTGAGACAGAACTAGACATGACGCTATGTGTGAGAGAGAACTAGACACGGCACCATGTGAGAGAACTAGACACGGCGCCACGTGAGAGAACTAGACATGGCGCCATGTGAGAGAACTAGACATGATGCTCTGTGTGAGAGAGAACTAGACATGACGCTATGTGTGAGAGAGAACTAGACACGGCACCATGTGAGAGGTAACTAGACATGGCGCCATGTGAGAGAACTAGACACGGCACCATGTGATAGGTAACTAGACACGGCGCCATGGGAGAGAACTAGACACGGCACCATGTGAGAGAACCAGACACGGCGCCATGTGAGAGAACTAGACACGGCGCCATGTGAGAGAAGCAGACATGGTGCCATGTGAGAGAACTAGACACGGCGCCATGTGAGAGAACTAGAAACGGCACCATGTGAGATAACTAGACATGGCGCCATGTGAGAGAATTAGACACGGCGCCACGTGAGAGAACTAGACACGATGCTCTGTGTGAGAGAGAACTAGACAAGACGCTATATGTGAGAGAGAACTAGACACGGCAACATGTGAGAGAACTAGACACGGTACCATGTGAGAGAACTAGACATGGCACCATGTGAGAGAACTAGACACGGTGCCATGTGAGAGAGAACTAGACATGATGCTCTGTGTGAGAGAGAACTAGACATGACGCTATGTGTGAGAGAGAACTAGACACAGCACCGTGTAAGACGTAACTAGACACGGCGCCATGTGAGAGAACTAGACACGGCGCCATGTGAGAGAACTAGACACGGCGCCATGTGGCAGAGAACTAGACACGGCGCCATGTGAGAGAACCAGACACGGAGCCATGTGACAGAACTGGACACGGCGCCATGTGAGAGAACTAGACACGATGCTCTGTGTGAGACAGAACTAGACATGACGCTATGCGTGAGAGAGAACTAGATACGGCACCATGTGAGAGAACTAGACACGGCGCCATGTGAGAGAACTAGACATGGCGCCATGTGAGAGAACTAGACACGATGCTCTGTGTGAGAGAGAACTAGACAAGACGCTATGTGTGAGAGAGAAGTAGACACGGCAACATGTGAGAGAACTAGACACGGTGCCATGTGAGAGAACTAGACATGGCACCATGTGAGAGAACTAGACACGGTGCCATGTGAGAGAGAACTAGACATGACGCTATGTGTGAGAGAGAACTAGACACGGCACCATGTGAGACGTAACTAGACACGGCGCCATGTGAGAGAACTAGACACGGTGCCATGTGAGAGAACTAGACACGGCGCCATGTGAGAGAACTAGACACGATGCTCTGTGTGAGAAACAACTAGACATGACGCTATGTGTGAGAGAGAACTAGACACGGCACCATGTGAGAGGTAACTAGACACGGCGCCATGTGAGAGAACTAGACACGGCACCATGTGATAGGTAACTAGACACGGCGCCATGTGAGAGAAACAGACACGGCGCCATGTGAGAGAACTAGACACGGCACCATGTGAGAGAACTAGACACGATGCTCTGTGTGAGACAGAACTAGACATGACGCTATGTGTGAGAGAGATCTAGACATAGCACCATGTGAGAGAGAACTAGACACGGCGCCATGTGAGAGAACTAGACACGGCACCACGTGAGAGAACTACACACGGCGCCATGTGAGAGAACTAGACACGGCGCCATGTGAGAGAACTAGACACGGCCCCATGTGAGACAGAACTAGGCACGGTGCCATGTGAGAGAACTAGACACGGCGCCATGTGACAGAACTAGACATGGTGCCATGTGAGAGAACTAGACACGATGCTCTGTGTGAGACAGAACTAGACATGACGCTATGTGTGAGAGAGAACTAGACACGGCACCATGTGAGAGAACTAGACACGGCGCCATGTGAGAGAACTAGACACGGCACCATGTGAGAGAACTAAACATGGCGCCATGTTAGAGAACTAGACACGATGCACTGTGTGAGACAGAACTAGACATGACGCTATGTGTGAGAGAGAACTAGACAAGGCACCATGTGAGAGGTAACTAGACACGGCGCCATGTGAGAGAACTAGACACGGCGCCATGTGAGAGAACTAGACACGGCGCCATGTGGCAGAGAACTAGACACGGTGCCATGTGAGAGAACTAGACACGGCGCCATGTGACAGAACTAGACACGGTGCCATGTTAGAGAACTAGACACGATGCACTGTGTGAGACAGAACTAGACATGACGCTATGTGTGAGAGAGAACTAGACACGGCACCATGTGAGAGAACTAGACACGGCGCCACGTGAGAGAACTAGACATGGCGCCATGTGAGAGAACTAGACATGATGCTCTGTGTGAGAGAGAACTAGACATGACGCTATGTGTGAGAGAGAACTAGACACTGCACCATGTGAGAGGTAACTAGACATGGCGCCATGTGAGAGAACTAGACACGGCACCATGTGATAGGTAACTAGACACGGCGCCATGGGAGAGAACTAGACACGGCGCCATGTGAGAGAACCAGACACGGCGCCATGTGAGAGAACTAGACACGGCGCCATGTGAGAGAACTAGAAACGGCACCATGTGAGATAACTAGACATGGTGCCATGTGAGAGAACTAGACACGGCGCCATGTGAGAGAACTAGACACGATGCTCTGTGTGAGAGAGAACTAGACAAGACGCTATGTGTGAGAGAGAACTAGACACGGCAACATGTGAGAGAACTAGACATGGTACCATGTGAGAGAACTAGACATGGCACCATGTGAGAGAACTAGACACGGTGCCATGTGAGAGAGAACTAGACATGATGCTCTGTGTGAGAGAGAACTAGACATGACGCTATGTGTGAGAGAGAACTAGACACGGCACCATGTAAGACGTAACTAGACACGGCGCCATGTGAGAGAACTAGACACGGCGCCATGTGAGAGAACTAGACACGGCGCCATGTGGCAGAGAACTAGACACGGCGCCATGTGAGAGAACCAGACACGGAGCCATGTGACAGAACTGGACACGGCGCCATGTGAGAGAACTAGACACGATGCTCTGTGTGAGACAGAACTAGACATGATGCTATGCGTGAGAGAGAACTAGATATGGCACCATGTGAGAGAACTAGATACGGCGCCATGTGAGAGAACTAGACATGGCGCCATGTGAGAGAACTAGACATGATGCTCTGTGTGAGAGAGAACTAGACATGATGCTATGTGTGAGAAAGAAGTAGACACGGCACCATGTGAGAGAACTAGACATGGTGCCATGTGAGAGAACTAGACATGGCGCCATGTGAGAGAACTAGACATGATGCTCTGTGTGAGAGAGAACTAGACATGACGCTATGTGTGATAGAGAACTAGACACGGCAACATGTGAGAGGGAACTAGACACGACGCCATGTGTGAGGGAACTAGACACGATGCCACGTGAGAGAGAACGAGACACAACGCCATGTGTGAGGGAACTAGACACGACGCCACGTGTGAGATAACTAGACACGGCGCCATGTGAGAGAGAACTAGACACGATGCCATGTGTGAGGGAACTAGACACGACGCCATGTGAGAGAGAACTAGACACGACGCCATGTGTGAGAGAACTAGACATGCCATGTGTGAGAGAACTAGACATGACGCCATGTGTGAGGGAAGCAGACACGGCGCCATGTGTGAGAGAACTAGACACGACGCCACGTGTGAGGGAAGCAGACACGACGCCATGTGTGAGAGAACTAGACACGACGCCATGTGAGAGGGAACTAGACACGATGCCATGTGAGAGAACTAGACATGGCGCCATGTGAGAGAGAATTAGACACAACGCTATGTGTGAGAGAACTAGACACGATGCTATGCGTGAGAGAACTAGACACAGTGGCATGTGAGAGAGAAGCAGACACAATGCTTTGTGTGCGAGAGAACTAGATATGGCGCCACGTGAGAGGGAGCTCCTAGACACAGCGCTGTGACAGTTAAGTGTTGAACAGTCCGGGTATCACTCCTGACGTGACGCCGTGAACTCACTCACTTGAGGGCACATGAAAGGCCCCAGTTGCGCAAGGCAGAGGCAGCTTGATCCTAACCACCTATGAGTTCCCAGAAAGGGTGTGACGTGCAACAGAATCACTGTCAGTCCAAAGTCAAGCTCGTGGGACATAATTTTAAGCCTCGTTCTCGATCTGTTCCAGAGACGGGATTATTTTAGAGCTGAAACCATCTAGAACAGCCTGTGCCTCCACAAAATTCAAATGTGAAGTCCTCACCTGCAGGACCTCAGAATGTGACCTTAGTTTAGAAATAGGGTCATTGTTGCTGTAAATGGTTAAGGAGAGGTCACCCTAATCCTGGGGAGACAGGCCCTGATTCAGTATTACTAGTGTCCTTATGAAAAGCTGACACTGGAATCAGACCCACAGGGAGTGTCATGTGAGGATCGGGGTGATGCCACCACAGCCAAGGAATGGCCAGGAATTAGGAGAGATGCCTAGAACACGTACTTCCCTCACAGGCTCAGAAGAAAGCAGCCTGCAGACACCCTGATTTCAGACCCGTGGCCTCCAGAGCGGTGAGACGTGCATTCCTGTGCTGGTTCCACTCAGGGTTGTGCCACTGGTTACAGAAGTCCCAGCAGACAGGTGCACCACCTACGACAACAGCCGCACAGGACTTTCCGCTTTCGAGGGAGGACAGGAGAAGCCTTTGAAACTTAATTCCTCTTTATAGCAACAGGCTACAATGCTGAAGAACTTCTCTTTGGCACTTTATCTCTTTAAAAATGTTAGGTATTCACCTGGGCCTTTCAATAGTGCCATTAGCAGTCACCAACAGATCAGTCACCATGAAGCCCTCCCAGTGCAGGCCTATTGACCACCTGGTCAAACCCCGTCCTAGGACACCTTAAGTCCTTTTGTGTCATTAATACCATTACAATTATTATCCTCCATATACATCCGTGTGACACTATCATGTGTAGAGGACAGTGGTTTAGCTTACGGATTAAAATAACTCTTTCCAAGACTTCTATATTTAGGTACATTTTATATTTTCAAGTAGGGAGTACAGCTCCCAGTGAGACCCTGATGTCCTAAATACTTACAGCCCTGCGTGTTTCCCAGAAAGTCAACTGACATGTGCTCAACACACTCTTAGGCACTGAGATCATCTATCAGTAACTAAAAACACAAACGAAGCTTAGCAAGTCTTGCCCATTGGACCCAGAGCTGGGCAGCTCCGAGACTGAGTTCCATCTTCGCCCCTTGCATCAGGTCCCCTTGAGTGGCCTCTGAAATCCTTCCAGGCCTCTCACATCACAGGGCTCCAGCTGCGGTCTGCATCCCAACCTTCCCTGCGCTCTGCGATTAGCCCCGTTAGCCAACCATTCAGGCCCGTGGTAGGCAGGACGTTTGCAATAATTACTAAGACAGGCACGCCCTTGCTCCCAGGAGGTTACAGCTGAGTCTTCTGCTATTGAATTAAAGGCTTCTTAGAGCACAGGCCAGGCCTGACTCATCTCTGTAAATATATCACGTGGCAAATATTCAGTGAAAGGTAGGGGAATGCATCCAGGATGCTCACACAAATGTTCACAGCAGCCTCTCATTCATCATAGCCAAGAGGCAGAAACAACTCAAATGTCCAATGAGTGACAAACAGATAAATACAATGGGGTATATCCAAACAATGGAATGTCATTTGCTCATTAAAAGCATGGAGGGAGTGTCTATTAGGCGCTGGCACTGCTACCACATGGATGAAACTTGAACACGTGGTGCTAAGTGGAAGAAACCAGGCACAAAATTCCGCCAATGCCAGATGGTTCTATTCCTATGAAATGTTCAGCATAGCAAGTTCATAGAGACAGGAAGTAGACTGGGGACTTCCTAGGGCTGGGCAGGGGGTGGGCCTAGAATGGGAGTGGTTACTAATGATGATAAAATATTCTAAAATTAGATTATGGCGATGGCTGCACAACCGTGCAAACACACTAAAAGCCACTGGCTCGCACACTTCAAAAAGCTAAACCTTGCGATACGTTTACTACACTTCAATAAAGTTACTCAAAAAAGTTAGTGGAAGAAATGAATGTGTGAATGAGTGAGTGGCCTCAGACAAGTCACTGAACATGCACCTTGTCTTGTGTTGAGAGGGAGGGTGCCTACTTTACAGAGATTTTGCAAGGAGAAATGAAATGCCTACATGAAAGCATCTTGTGGATTCCACACTCAACAAATACAAACATCAGCCAATGTAAAGGATAAGTCGTTCCCAAACAGCCACAGCCCCCATCACCACATTGAGCCTCAGCCCAGCACAGTGATGCAAGAGGAAAGGAGTTGACGTGAGGTTCGAGACGGAGGAGGCATCCTCCCCTCATCACAGCCTGCACCTGACCCTGGTAGTCACTACCATGAGGGTGCTGGAGAAAGGGATGGGGCAGAGACCTGGAATGATGAGGACAGAGGACTGCTCATGTTGGCCCCAAAAAGTGGGCTCTTCACAGCCTGTGGGGCCAGAGGAAGACACCCCCACTCAGGTCCAAACAGCAAAGCCAAGCCGGGAAAACCCACTCCTCAGCACGGGGTCCTTTTGCGTTGTGGGCCAGCTTCTGCTGGCTGATGACCCCGGCAAGTGTGCAAAGTGACAGTTTGTTCTCCAGCTGCCCCAAAGGCTCAGCACCACCCAGTCGTGAAGGGGACAGTGCTGGATGAGAGCTCCTCAAATAACCATCCCAGGCCCTTCTTCAAATTAAAGTTAAAAAGGAATTCAAAATATTGGTTCACTACTTGTGTGGTACTTTCAGATTCCCACAGCAATTTTTCTTTTGGCTACTGGCATTTATTATTTTATTTTGAAGATTTACATTTTTTAATTTTTTCAACTTTGATTTTACATTCAGGGGTACATGTGCAGGTTTGTTACCTGGGTCTATTGTAGGATGCTGAGATTTGGGGGTATGACTGAACTTGTCACCCAGCTACAGAGTATAGTACCCAGTAGTTTTCCAACACTTCCTCCCGCCCTTCCTTCCTCCTCTAGCGGCCCCCAGGGTCTACTGTTGCCATCATTATATCCATACTTCCAAATGAGAACATTCACTATTTGATTTTCTGTTCCTGTGTTAGTTCTTTTAGTATAATGACCTTCTGCATCCACATTGCTGCAAAGAACACGATTTCATTCTTTTTATGGCTATGCAGTATCCCACGGTGTACACAGCCATTTTCTTTATCCAGTCCACCTGTGTTGCATGCCTAGGCTGATTTCCTCTCTTTGCTATCGTGAGTAGTGCTGCAATGAATAGGTGAGTGCATGTGTCTTTTCAATAGCACAATTTTGTTTTCTTTTGGATACATAGCCAGTAATGGGATTGCTGCGTCAAACAGTAGTTCTAAATTCTTTGAGAAATCTCCAAACTGCTTTCCACTATGGCTGAACTAATTTACATTCCCACAAACAGGATATAAGCATTCCCTTTTCTCTGCACCCTCACCAGCATCTGTTGTTTTTCGACTTTTTAATAATAGTCATTCTGACTGGCGTGAGATGGTATCTCATTGTGGTTTGATTTACATTTCTATAACAATTAGAGATATGGAGCATTTTTTCGTGGGTTTTTTGACTACATGTATGTCTTTAGAGAAATGTCTGTTTATGTCTTTTGTCCAATTTTAATGGGGCTATTTGTTTTTTGCTTGTTCAACTGTTAAGTTTCTTATAGATTCTGTGTATTAGACCATAGCTTGCAAATATTTTCTCCCATTCTGTAGGCTGTTTACTCTGTTGATAGTTTCTCTTGCTATGCAGAAGCTCTTTAACTTAATTAGGTCCCACTTGTCAATTTATGTTTTTGTTGCAGTTGCTTTCAAGGACTTAAGTCATAAATCCTTTCCCAAGGCTGATGTCCAGAATGGTGTTTCCTATTTTTTTTCTTAGGATTCTTGAAGTTTGAGGTCTTACATTTAAATTTGTAATTCATCTTGAGTTAATTTTTGCATATGCTGAAAGGCAGGAATCCAGTTTCATTCTTTGCATAAGGCTAGCCAGTTATGCTAATAACATTTATTGAATAAGAAGCCCTTTCCCCATTGCTTATTTTTGTCAACTTTGTCAAAGATTAGATGACTTTAGCTGTATGGGTTCATTTCTGGGTTGTATATTCTGTTCTGTTGGTTTATGTGTCTGTTTTTGTACCAGTGCCATGCTATTTGGTTACTGTAGGTTTATAGTACAGTTTGAAGTCAGGTAACATGATGCCTCTGGCTTTGTTCTTTTTGCATAGGATTGCTTTGGCTATTCGAGCTTTTTGGTTCTACATGAATTTTAGAATAGTTTTTTTCTAGTTCTGTGAAAAATGACTTTGGTAGTTTGATAGGAATAGCATTGAATCTGTAGATCGCTTTGGGCAGTACAGCCATTTTAACAATATTGATTCCTCCAGTCCATCATCATGGAATGTTTTTGGTTGCTTGTGCCATCTATGATTTATTGTAGCAGTGTTTTATAGTTCTCCGTGTAGATATCTTTCACTTCGAGTTAGATGTATTACTAGGTATTTTATTCTTTTTGTAGCTATTAAGAATAGGATAGCGTTCTTGATTTGGCTCTCAGTTTGAACTTCACTGGTTTCTAGAAATGCTACTGATTTTTGTACATTGATTTTGTATGCTGAAATTTTACTGAAATTTTCTTTATCAGTTCCAGGAGCCCTTTGGCAGAGTCTTTGGGGTTTTGCAGGTATAGAATCATATCATCTGTGAAGACAAATAGTTTGACTTCCTGTTTTATTATTTGGATGTCTTTTACTACGTTTTCTTGCCTGATTGTTCTGGCCAGCACTATGTTGAATAGGAGTGGTGAGAGTGGGCATCCTTGTCTTGTTCCAGTTCTCAAGGGGAATGCTTCCAGCTTGTGTCTATTCAGTATTAATGTTGGCTGTGGGTTTGTCATAGGTGGCACTTATTATTTTGAGGTATGTTCCTTTGATGCCTAGTTTCTGGAGGGTTTTTATCATGAAAGGGTGTTGGATTTTATCTAAAGCTTTCCCCAAATGTACTCAGATGAACGTATGGTTTTTGTTTGTAATTCTGTTTATGTGGTGAACTGCATTTATTGATTTGTGTGCACTGAACCAACCTTGCATCCCAAGAATGAAGCCTACTTGATTGTGGTGAATTAACTTGTTGATGTGCTGTTGGTTTTATTAGTATTTTGTTAAGAATGTTTGCATCTGTGTTCATCAATAAGCACAATCAGAAATGACAAAGGTCACATTACACCTAATCCCACAGAAAAACAAAAGATCCTCAGAGACTATTATGAAACCTCTACACACACAAACTAGAAAATCTAGAGGAAGTAGATAAATCCCTGGAAATACATAATCTTGCCAGATTGAATCAGCAAGAAATACAAACCCTAAACAGATCATTATCAAGTTCCAAAACTGAATTGGTAATAAAAATCCAACTTAAAAAAGCTTCAGAACAGATGGATTCATACTTGAATTCCACCAGACGTACAAAAAGGAGCTGATTCCGATTCTAAAACTATTCCAAAAAAAAAAAAATCAAGGTAGAAGAACTCCTCTTTCTATGAAACCAGCATCACCTTGATACTAAAACCTTCTTTAATTTTCTCAATATTTCAATATTTTATAGTTTTCAGAGTATAAGTTTTATAACATCTTGGTCATTTTTGTATTGTACATTGGCAGTATACATGCATGCAATTGAGTTTCGTATGCTGATTTTGTATCCTACAATCTTGCTGAATTCAGTTATTATTTCTAATAATTTGTTAGGAAATTTCTAAATATTTTCTATACAACTTTATGTTACTTGCAAATAGATATTGTTTTGCTTCTTCCTTTCCAATAGGAATGCTTTTTCTTTTTTCTCATCTGCTTTTCCTGCCTAGAACCTCCAGTACAATGTTGAATAGAAGTAGTGACAGCCAAGATCTTTGTCTTGCTCCCGGTCACTGAGGCAAAATTTTCAGTCCTTAACCATTACGTATGGTGTTAACTATAGGTTGTTCGTATATGTTATTTTAAGATGGAGGATTTCTCTTCTATTTCCAGTTTGTTGAGTGTTATGAAGAGGTGTTGAATTTTGTCAAATACTTCTTCTGCACCTATTGAGTTGATGTCATTTTCCCCTTTTTATTCTATTAATATGTTGCATTGCATTAATTGATTTGCAGATGTCAAAACAAACTTGAAATCCTGGAAAAAATCTAGTTGGGTATGTTCTATGTTGCTGGATTCAATTTGCTAGTTATTTTGTGGAGGATTTTTATATCTATATTCATAAGAGGCACTGGTTTGTAGTTTCTTATGATGTCATTGTATGGTTTTAGTATCAGACAAATATCGGCTTCACAGAATGAGTTGGGGACTCCCTCCAACTTCTGATTTTGAAAGAGCATATGTAAGATTGTTATTAATTTATCCTTTAAATGTTTGGCAGAATTCACCAGTGAGACCATCTGAACCTGGATTTCCTTTGGCATAGTTAGCTTGATTATTAATTCAATCTCTTTCCATGTTATAGATCTTTTCAGATTTCCTTTTTTTAAAGTTTTATTTATGTATTTTTTTATTTTTATTTTATTATACTTTAAGTTCTAGGGTACATGTGCACAACGTGCAGGTTTGTTACATATGTATACATGTGCCATGTTGGTGTGCTGCACCCATTAACTCATCATTTACATTAGGTATATCTCCTAGTGCTATCCCTCCCCCATTCCCCCACCCCACAACAGGCCCCAGTGTGTGATGTTCCCCTTCCTGTGTCCAAGTGTTATTGTGTATATTTAAGGTATATAACATGTCATAACATGCATATAAATAGTAAAACGGTTACTATAGTAAAGCAAAATAACATATCCATCATCTCACATAGTTACCCATTTTGTGTGTGTATAGCAAGAGCAGCTAAGACGTACTAATTTAGCAATAAATAATTCCAAATACAGTTCAATTTTATTAGCTATAATTCTCCTGTTGTATGATAGATCTCCAGACTTGTTCATCTTATCTGCTCCTTTGTACCCTCTCACCTACATTTCTCCTTTTCCTCTCTCTACCCCATCCCTGATAACTAGTTTTATCTCTTTATATAATTCCACATATAAGTGACATCATGTAATATTTTTCTTCCTGTGTCTGCCTTATTTCATTTAGCATAACGGCCTCCAGGTCCATCCGCATTGTCACAGATGGCAATGCTTGAGAATTGCTTGAACCTGGGAGGTGGAGTTTGCAGTGAGCCAGGATTGTGCCACTGCACTCCAGTCTGGGCGACAGAGCAGAACTCCATCAAAAAAAAAAAAGAAAAGAAAAGAAGCAAATCTCAACTGTAGGCTGCCTGCAAGAGATTCATCTCACATGTGAAGACAGCCACAGGCTCAAAGTAAATGTACGGAGAAAGATCTATCAATCAAATGGAAAACAAACAAGTGGAAGAGTTGCTATTCTTATTTCAGAAAAAAAAAATAAAAACAGACTTTAAACCAACAATGATCGAAAAGGAGAAAAAGAAAGGCATTACATAAGGATCTTATTTTTATAAGGCTGAATAATATCCCATTCTGTGTGTGTGTATAAAACAAATATATATATAACACTCTTAAAAATGAATGGATAATATATATCTATACTATATATATATATATATATATCTCACAGTTTCCTTACCCATTCATTTGTTGAAGGACACTCAGGTCATTTCTGTATCTCGGCTATTGTGAAATACGCTGCAATGAACAGGTGAACAGGGAGTGCAGATATATTTCCGAGGTGGTGATTTTGTTCCCTTTGGGTACAATCAGAAGACAGGTTGCAGGGTCATAGGGTAATTCTATTTTTACTTTCCTTAGGAACGTCGATACTGTTTTCCATAATTGTTGCACAAATCTACTTTCCTGCTGAAGTGTGGGGGTTCCCTTTTCTCTGCACTAACATTTGTTATCTCCTCTCTCTTTTCATAGCTATGCTATTTGGTGGGCATGAGGTGGTATCTCAGTGATTTTGATTTGCATTTCCCTGAGGATTACTGATGTTTACTGAGGATTACACAAACGTTCAACAGTTGTGTGAAAAGCGCTCAACATCACTAATCCTCAGGGAAATGCAAATCAAAACCATGTTGGTCATTTTTATATCATCTTCTGAGAATATCTACTCAGGTCCTTTGCCCATATTTCATTTATTTTTTCAGTTCCAGGATACATGTACACGACATTCAGGTTTGTTACATAGGGAAATGTGTGCCATGGTGGTTTGCTGCACCCATCAACCTTGGTATTAAGCCCCACATGCATTAGCTATTTATCCTGATGCTCTCCCTCCCCCTTGCCCCCTGACAGGCCCCTGTGTGTGTTGTTCTCCTCCCTCCTGTGTCCATACCTTCTCATTGTTCAGCTCCCACTTATAAGTGAGAACATGTAGTGTTTTGTTTTCTTTTCCTGTGTTAGTTTGCTGAGGATAATGGCTTCCAGCTTCATCTATGCGCCTGCAAAGGACATGGTCCCATTCCTTTTCATGGCTGCATAGTATTCCATGGTGCACCGCATTTTTTTTATCCAGTCTATCATTGATGGACATTTGCGTTGATTCTGTGTCTTTGCTCTTGTGAACAGTGCTTCACTGAACATACGTGCGCATGCATCTTTATAACAGAATGCCCATGGTTTAAACTGAGCTATTTATTTTTCTGCTATTTAATTATATAAGTTCTTTATAAATTTTGGATATTACCCCCTTATTAGATATATGACTCAGCAATTCCTCTTCCATATATACCATATATATGCATATATACCTATGAGAAATGAAATCACCACCTTGTAAAAATATCTTTCTAAAATATTAAAAATGAAAAGGAAAAATTATATATATATTTACAGCATACAGCATGATGTTTTGATATATGCATACATTACGGAATGGCTAAATCAACCTGCTTAAACTTTTTTGTGGTGTGAACTGAAAATTTACTCCTTAGCAATTTTGATTTATACAATATATTATAAACTGCATTCACCACAATACACAATAGATGTCTTGAACTTAGTCCTTCAGTCTAACTGAGATGTTCTGTCCTTGGACCAAGAGCTCCCCAGTATTTCTTCTTATTTTTGGTAGTATGTACCTAGTAGAAATTTGTTCATTTCACCTAAGATACCAAATTTATTGGCTTAAAAGTGTTCATGATACTTGCATATGATTTTAATTTTTAAAGCTGAGGTATAATTAAAAACATAAAATTAACCATTTTGACGGGATCCATGTAGTGGCATTTAATACATTCACGTGTTGTTCAACCAGCTCTGTCCAGTTTCAAGACGTTTTTCATCAGTCCAAAAGGAAACCCCACCCTAGTAAGTGACCGTTCCCCATTCTCCTCTCTGTTCTGCCGCTGGCAATTACCTCGGTGTTCTGTATCTGTGGATTTACCAGTTATGGATATTTCATTGATGTGAAATCACAGAATATGTGACATTTTTTGTCTGGCTTCTTTCACTGAGCATAAGGTTTCTGAGGTCCTTCCTCCGCTGTAACATCTACCAATCCCTCACTCGTGTTCATAACTGAGAAATGTTCCGTTGTCTGTACATATGGCATGTGCTTATCCATCCACCCCTGTGGACATCCAGGTGGTTCCCCTTCGGCTATCATGCAAGCACTGCTGTGAGCATGGACGCTCCCGCACTGGTTTGGGCACCTATTTCCAGCTCTTTTGGGCACACAGGCAGGATGGCATTCTTTTCCATTTTAAGTTTTTGTGGATAGTGAAAACTTAAACTCTTTTCCACAATGGCTAAATAACTTTACATTTCCAACAGCAACATATGAGGATTTCAGTTTGTCCATATCCTTGCTAACTCTTGTCACTTTGCTTCCGATTAATTTTGTCACCAACAGCCATCCTAGCAGATGTGGGGGAGCAGTTCACTGCGGTTTTGACTCGCATCTCCCCAGGGACTCATAGTTTTAAGCATCTTATCACGTGCTTGTTGACCATTTGTATATCTTCCTTGGAGAATGTCCATCCAGTCCCCTTGCTCATTTTAAAATTAGGCTTTTGTGTTGTTGAATTTTAACAGTTCTTCAACTATTATAGACACTATAATTCATTTTATTCTTGTAAGGTTAGTAGTAATCTCTCTTTTCATTCTGGATTTTAGTAATTTCAGTCATCTCTTTTTTTCTCCTTATGAGTTAATAAAAGGCTTAACAATTTTGTTGAGTTTTTCAAATAATAAAGTTACAGTTTCATTGATTTTTTTCTATCATTTTTTGTATTCTATATTTTATTAATTTCTGGTCTACTCTTTCACACAATAGTTTTGAGATGAAATAAACACCTGAATGTGAAAGTACCTTTAAAAATGAACTTGTACATAAATATGTATTAATTCAATAATTATTTAAGATGCTTTCTATCTGCCAAGCAGGCTCTGTTCTTGGTGCTTGGGATATGACAGTGAAAATTTTTCCTACTTGACGGTAGTTACAAATACGCATGTCAATTATGTCTCTTATATGAGAGAACTGTGCCTTACTCATCCTGATATTCCCTCTTCCTGACCCACATTAAATGTGCCACGAATGCCAGGTAAATGCTAAAATAAGAGATATTTTCATTATCTGTCATTTTCTTGCAATTCCTCTTAGACAATGGCTCCTTTGAGAGGAGAAAACCTATCTTAATCATCCATGTGGTTTAAATTCTGTCTGCCACGATGCCACAAACATATCGTACGCTCAAAGAATATCGTTTTGATTCATTGCTTAACTTGAATCTGCCTTCATATTAATCCACATCAAGGGGAAACAATGAGAAGTCAAAATTAATAAGGTAAAATAATTAAGGTTGAGAAAATATCCTTATTGTTTTTAACAACAAGGAGTATGTCTTCTGTTTTTCTCCATCTCACACATTGTTTGCTAGAGAACAGAACATATAGATGCTCAATAAATATACACATATAGAGCATATGGGTGCTTAATAAATCTCTGCCTACTATTCAATTGTTTTTATCCTTGAGATTCCGACAGGTTGATTATCCCACTTCCCTTAGGGAAAACCAAACAGTCATCACAGAACCCTCCATAATGGCTGCAGGGGCCCACAGTGGCAGACAAGTCTTGCTCTTCCCTTTCAGAAATCTTGCTGTGGGAACACAAATCAGTGCGTATGTCTCTAGTGTTTAAGGCACTTACAATTCTTAATGTCATATTTTTAAAAAAGAGAAAGTGAAGATCAACAACCCTGGTCAAACCATTCTTTCAAGCAGCCCTTCTTATACAATGATATTTTTCTTTAATATTTTAAACTTTTAGTCATCTTGTAGAAGAAAGAGAAATGTCATCCACCCACTAATTGTTTCAAAGTACTTCTTCTCCCCACCCTGAACAGTAGTCACTCTTTAAAAAATGCAGCACCGCGGAGAAGAGCCAAGATGGCTGGCTCCATGCACACGGGAAGCGCTTCTCACAGAGACCAGCCCATGGCATAGACCTGCACACTGTGAACAGATCCTTGGAAAAAAGGCTTTCAAAGTGGACAGTGAGGACACAGATCCCTGGCTGAAAGGGGAGGAAGGTGGGAACCCTGGACAGGGTTGCTGGGCACCAGGACTTGTTATTGGCCTTGAGTGACTCCTAGGGGAGGACTAAGGGAAACAGGCATGGAGTGGCCCACTCTTCACATGGATCTCCCCGATCCCACCTATGGGAGACTCAATGACCCCCACAGACCTCTGAGCTGGCAGGGAGAAGTGCCCAAGGAGTTGGCAGACAGAACTCCAGAAGATTTGGTGTGGGAACGGCTGCAGTGGAGCTCAGCCATGGGCACCCGTCCCCCAAGGCTTGCCACACTCCTCTAGGTGGCTTTAGGCTTTGTTAGCTGTGGGACCAGGAGAGAGCACGGCTGGCCGGCTCCTGGGATGCAGCCAGTCTGATCTGAACGCCCCTCTGACTGCTGGCCTCTCCTGGGCTCCCCGCCTGGATGCACCCACTTGCAGCACAGCAACAGCTGCCAAGGCTCTCATCAGTGGCCACAGCCCCAGCCCTCTCACCAGCAGAGCCCGTCTGACCATCAGAGCACTTCTGCAGATAAACCCCACCAGTGCACACCCACCCACAGCTTTCCCCTGCCAGCATGCACCCACCAGCAGCCTCCCCCCACCGTGTACACCCACCTGCAGCCTTCCCCCGCCAGCATGCACCTACCTGTAGACTCCCCCTGCTATCTTGCCAGCACATACATGCATGTGCACTTACGTACTTACCATCACTCTGCAAGAGCACTTTGGCTAGCAGCCCCCACTGGAGTGTCGTTACCAGTGGACTGAGAACACCTTGGCCCCTCCAGCACAGCAGGTACTTAAACTTGAGGGGCCAGAGAACAAAGCCATGGGACTGGTCCTAGCCCCCCAGGGTTAGAGCATGCAGCCCCTGGGTGCTGAGCTGAGCCTTTATCCCTTGAAATCTTCCAGAAATAAAGTGAACTGACTGAGCCCAGCTTATACCACAGTCAAACTCGCAAGGGCATCAAAGAATATAAAATCAAAAAGCCCCATCCAAAAGATAGCGATGTCAAAGATTAAAGTAACATCAGCCCACACAGATGAGAAAGAACCAGCACAACAACTCTGGTAACTCTAAAAGCCAGTGTGTCTTCTTACAACCAAATGACTGCTCTAGCTCCCCGGCAATGTTTCTTCACCAGATTGAAATGGCTGAAACAACAGACATGGAATTCAGAATCTGGATGGCACAGAAGCTCAAGATTCAGAATGAGGTTGAAACCTAATCCAAGGAAAACAGTAAAATGGTCCAACAGTTGAACGACAACAATTTTCAGACAGAACCAAACAGAACTGGAAATAAAAAATTCACCACAGGAATTTCGGAATGCAATTAGAAGCATTAATAACAGAATAGACCAAGCTGAGGAAAGAATCTCTGAGCTCAAAGACCACTCCTTCAATTCAATACAGGCACACAAAAATAAAGGAAGAAAAGCACTTAAAAATGAAGAAAACCTCTGAGAAATATGTGAGAATGTAAAGAGAGCAAACCTATGACTCGCTAACATTGCTGAAAGAGGTGGAGTGACAGCAAGCAACTCGGAAAATATATTTGAGAATGCTGTCCATGAAAATTTCCTCAACATTGCCAGAGAGGTTGATATGAAAATTCAGGAAATTCAGAGAACCCCTGAGAGATAATATACAAGACGACAATCCCCAGGACACATAGTCATCAGGTTCTCCAAAGTCAGCATGAAAAAAAAATGCTAAATGCAGCTAGAGAGGAGGCAGGTCATGTACCAAGGGAACCCCATCAGGCTAACAGTGGACCTTTCAGCAGACATCTTACAAGCCAGAAGAGATTAAGAAACTATATTCAGCATCCGTAAAGAAAAGAAATTCCAACCAAGAATTTTACATGCAGCCAAACTATGCTTCATAAGTAAAGGAGAAAAATAAATCCTTTTCAGACAAACAAATGCTAAGATAATTCATTAGCACCAGACCTGCCTTCGAAGAGGTCCTAAAGGGACTGGTAGACATGGACATGAAAGACCCTTATCTGCCACCACAAAAACACACATAAGTACATAGTCCACTGACACTAAAAAACAACTATATAACCGAGTATACATAACGATCAGCTAAGAACATGACATAATTGAATCTTCACATACCAATATTAACCTTCAATATAAACAGGCTAAACACCCCCAGTTAAAAGGCAAAGAGTGGAAAGCTGAAGAAACAAGCAAGACTCAACTGTACGCTGTCTTCAAGAGACTCATCTCACATGTGAAGACACCCATAGGCTCAAAGTAAATGTATGGAGAAAGATCTATCAAGCAAATGGAAAACAAACAAGAGGAAGAGCTGCTATTCTTATTTCAGAAAAAAAGACTTTAAACCAACAATGATCAAAAAGGACAAAAAAGGCATTACATAATGATAAAAGGTTCAATTCAACAAGAAGGCTTAACAAAACTAAATATATAGGCACCCAATGCTAGAGTACCCAGATTCATAAAAGAATTTCTCAGAGGCCTATGAAAAGACTTTGATAACCACACAGTAATAGTGGGAGATTTTAACATCTCACTGACAGTGTTACACAGATAATTGAGGTAGAAAACTAACAAAGATATTTGGGACCTAAACTTCACACTTGACCAAATAGACCTAATAGATATCTACAGAATACTCTCCCCAACAACAACAGAATATATAGTCTCATCTCCACACGGCACATATTCCAAGATTGATAACATCCTTGGCCATACAGCCATTCTCAACAAATTGAAATAAACCCAAATCATACCAAGCACACTCTTGGACCACAGCACAATAAAAACAGAGATCAACACCAAGAACATTGCTCAAAATCATACAATATCATGGAAATTAAACAGCTTCCTCTTGAATTACTTTTGGGTAAAGAATGAAGGTAGAAATCCAAACATTATTTGAAACTAATGAAAACAAATATACAACATGCCACAATCTTTGGGTCACAGGTAAAGCAGTGTTAAGAGGAAAGTTTCTAGCACTAAATGATTACATCAAGAAGTTAGAAAGATTTCAAATTAATAAGCTAACACCACACCTAAAGAAACTAGAAAACCAAGAGCAAACCTAACCCAAAGGTAGAAGAAAACAAATTGCCTAAATCAGAACTGAACTGAACAAAATTCAGACACAAAAATCCATTCAAAACATCAACAAAACCATAAGTTGGTTTTTTTGAAAGAAGAAATAATACTGATAGACCACTAGCTAGATTAAGTTTAAACAGAGAGAAGATCCAAATAAACACAATCAGAAATGACAAAGGGGATATTACTGTTGATTCCACAGAAATACAAAAAGCTCCCAGAGACTATTACTAACACCACTATGCACACAAACTAAAAAACCTAGAAAAAAAAAGAATAAATTCCAGGAAGCATACCATCTCCCAAGATTGAACCAGGAAGAAACTGAAATCCTGAACAGACCAATAATGAGTTCTAAAATTGATTCTGTAATAAGCTACCAACAAGAAAAAGCCCTGGGACATACGGATTCACAGCCAAATTCTACCAGACATAAAAGAAAGAGCTGGTACAAAACCAACAAAACTATTCCAAAAAATCAAGGAGGAGGGACTTCTCCCTAACTCATTCTATGAGGTCAGCATCATTCTGATACCAAAACCTGGCAGAGATACAAAGAAAAAAGAAAACTTGTGCTAAGTATCCTGATAAACATAGACACAAAAATCCTCAGCAAAATACTAACAAATCAAATCCAGCAGCACATTAAGATGCTAATCCACCACGGTCAGGCAGGCAATATTGATTCCTGGATGCAAGTTTGGTTTAACAAACATAAATAAATGTGATTCATCACATAATCATAACTAAAAATAAAAACTACATGATCATCTTAATAGATGCAGAAAAGGCTTTCGATAGAATTCAACATCCTTTCATGTTAAAAACCCTCACAAACTAGTCATCAGAGGAACTTATCTCAAAATAAGAGCCATCTATGACAAAACCACAGCCAACATCATATTGAATGGGTAAAAGCTGGAGGCATTTCCCTTGAGAACCAGAACAAAACAAGAATGCCCTCTCACACTACTTCTATTCAACATAGTACTGGAAGTCCTTGCCAGAGCAGTCAGGCAAGAGAAACAAATAGAAAGCATTCAGATAGAAAGAGAAGAAGTCAAACTACCTGTCTTTAGACTATATGATTCTATACCTAGAAAACCCCGCAGTTTCTGCCCAAAGGCTCCTAAAACTGATAAACTTCAGTAAAGTCTCAGGATATAAACTCAGTGTACAAAAATTAATAGCATTTCTATTCACCAATAACATCCAAGCTGAGAACCCAATCCAGACCACAACCCCATTCACAATAGTCACAAAATGAATAAAATTCCTAGGAATACAGCTAACCAGGTGGTGAAAGATCTCTACAATGAGAATTACAAAATTCTGAAAGATATTAGAGATGAAACAAGTCAATGGAAAAACATTCCAAGCTCATAGTTATGAAGAATCAATATTGTAAAATGGCCATACTAATCAAAGCAATTTACAGATTCAATGCTATTCCTATCAAACTACCAACATGATTTTCCATATAATTAGAACTATTCTAAAATATATATTAAAACAAAAAAGAGCCTGAATAGCCACAAAAGTCCAAAGCAAAAAGAGCAAAGGTGGAGGCATCACATTACTCAACTTCAAACTATACTATAAAACTACAGTAACCAAAACAACATGGTACTGGTAAAAAAACAAAACTAAACAGAATAAAACAACAACAACAACAACAACAAAACCCAGACACATAGACCAATGGAACGGGATAGAGAACCCCCAAATAAAGCGGCACACCTACAACCAACTGATCTTTGACAAAGTTGACAATAACAAGCAACTGGAGAATGGATTTGCTATTCAATAAACGGTGCTGGAATAGCTGGCTACCCATATGCAGAAGATTGAAACTGGGCCACTTCCTTTTACCATATACAATAATTAACTCAAGATGGATCAAAGCCTTAAAGGCAAAACCTAAAACTATAAAAAATCTGGAAGAGAACCTAGAAAATACCATTCTGAACATAGTGTTGGCAAACATTGTATGATGCCTCTGAAAGCAATTTCTACAAAAACAAAAATTGACAAGTGGGACCTAATTAAAGAGCTTCTGCATAGAAAAAGAAACTATCAACAGAGCAAACAGACAACTTATAGAATGGGAGAAAATATCTGCAAATCTACCCTTCTGACAAAGGTCTAATACCTAGCATCAACAAAGAACTTAAATCAACAAGCAAAAAACAACCCCATTAAAAAATGGGCAAAGGACATGGACACTTCTCAAAAGAAGACATACATGCAAGCAACAAGCATATTTTAAAAATCCTAAACATCACTACTCATTATAGAAATGCATATCAAAATCACAATGAGATACCCTCTCACACCAGTCAGAATGGCTATTATTAATAGCAGATGTTGTCAAGGTTGCAGAGAAAAGATAACGCTTAATTTATATTCCCACTACTGGTGGGAATATAAATTAGTTCAGCCACTGTGAACTAATTTAAAATTCCTTGGAATATAGCTAACCAGGGAGGTTAAAATTCCTAGGAATACAGCTAACCAGGGAGGTGAAAGGTCTCTACAATGAGAATTACAAAACTGCTAAAGGAAATCAGAGATGAAACAAGCAAATGGGAAAACAGTCCAAGCAGTTTACAGATTTCTCAAAGAACTAAAACTAGAACTACCATTTGATCCAGTAATCCAATTACTGGGTATATACCCAATAGAATATAAATCATTCTACCAAAAGACACATGCACTCCCCTGTGTTCATCACAGAACTATTCACAATAGCAAAGACATGGAATCAACATAGTGGCCAGCAATGATGAACTAGGTACAGAAAATGTGGTGCATATGCATGATGGAATACTGTGCAGCCATAAAAAAACAAGATCATATCCTTTGCAGGAACATGGAGGCAGCTAGAGGCCATTATCCTAAGCAAACTAACACAGAGACAGAAAACTAAATACTCCATGTTCTCCCTGATAATTGAGAGCTAAACACTGAGAATTCATGAGCACAAAGAGGGGAGCAACAGATACTGGGGTCTATTTGAGGGTGAAGGGTGGCAGGAGGGAGAGTGTTGAAAAACCACCTATCGGGTACTATGCTCACTACCTGGGTGATGAAATTTTTTGTACACCAAACCCCAGCTAGGCAATTTATCCATGTAACAAACCTGTCCATGCACCCCAAACCTAAGGTAAAAGTTGAAGAAAAAACCAAGCAGCAACATCATCCTTGCCAGGTCTCACTGTAAATGAGAAACAGTACCTGTGTGGGGATTAAACACCTCATATTTACCTTGATTTGTAAATTACTTTCCCCCAACTAAGACAGAAAAGAACTCATTCCCTGATTAGGTTACTACTGTTCACTTCATAACAGATTCAGAAAAATCTGAGATTTTTGGTGGGGGAAGAGAGGATGATGTATGAACAGTTATGAGAGAGAAAGGGAGGGCTAGGTAATATGAGATCGTATAGTGCAGTTTAAGGCAAAAACTAGATAAATACTTATTGGCGGTTAAAAATCAATTGAGGGCAGGATGTGGTAGCTCATGCCTGTAATCTCAGCACTTTGAGGGGCTGAGGTGGGAGGATTGCTTGAGCTCAGGAGGTTCAAGTCCAGCCTGGGCAACATAGTGAGACAATCTGTAAAAAAATTGAAAAAAAAAATTAGCCAGGCATGGTGGCACATACGTGGGAGGTTGAAGAGGGAGGATCTCCTGAGCCCAGGAGTTCAAGGCTAGAGTGAGCCAAGATTGAGCCACTGCACTCCAGCCTGGGCAACAGAGTGAGACCCTGCCCCTTACAAAAAAACAATTAGGACAGAGCCTGAGTCCCTGAAGTACGGACATGCCTTCCTGGATATCAGAGCCCCTGTATGAAGTTGACTGAGCTGTCTGTAGTTACCACTCAATGTCTAGAGTAATTGAGACCTCAGTTCACGTGAGACCTGAAGACCCCAATGTGACATGGTTAAGCGCAGCTATTAGTCCCCTGCAGATGTGTGCAAACATGCGAACACACACTCCCCTGTCTAGACACACCCTTTACAACTGAGAAAACAGAACCTCCTTTCACAAATTAGAAGTAATTCAAACTTGGAGCCAACCAATGCACAGATGCACCAGAAAGCTCCTCCCAAGCACTGCATGAGCCTAGACGTCTCCAGGTGATGTGCCTAATGAACCCATCGAGGTACCTGGACGTCTCCAGGTGATGCACCCAAATGAACCCATCCAGGTACCTGGACGTCTCCAGGTAATGCACCCAAATGAACCCATGGAGGTACCTGGACGTCTCCAGGTGATGCACCCAAATGAACCCATCCAGGTACCTGGACGTCTCCAGGTGATGCACCGAAATGAACCCATATAGGTACCTGGACGTCTCCAGGTGATGCACCCAAATGAACCCATCCAGGTACCTGGACGTCTCCAGGTGATGCACCCAAATGAACCCATCCAGGTACCTGGACGTCTCCAGGTGATGCACCCAAATGAACCCATCCAGGTACCTGGACGTCTCCAGGTGATGCACCCAAATGAACCCATCCAGGTACCTGGACGTCTCCAGGTGATGCACCCAAATGAACCCATCCAGGTACCTGGACGTCTCCAGGTGATGCACCCAAATGAACCCATCCAGGTACCTGGACGTCTCCAGGTGATGCACCCAAATGAACCCATCCAGGTACCTGGACGTCTCCAGGTGATGCACCCAAATGAACCCATCCAGGTACCTGGACGTCTCCAGGTGATGCACCCTAATGAACCCATCAGGGTACCACTCTCAACCTGCACGATTAGCTTTAGATCTCAGCTCTCAACCAGCCTCAGCTATCAGCCTCGCATGATCATGCTCAGAAGGTGCTGACATGTCAAGAAGACAATTAGTAACACATTATTTTAATTTGACTTTCTCTTCTCCTACTCACAAATTCTTTATCTTCATTCCCAATTTGATATTTGGGATTTCGTTTACCTTTCCAAAAATGAGACACTCCATTAATGACTTTTGTCAATTCTCCCCCTTTTGTACCATATTTTTGTTAGTGCCCCAAAGTTCCTCACTTGACGACCTTTACTGTTTCCTGCATGGATGACGTTGATTTTCCCTTTTGTGTTCTTATACTATTTCCATGAGACTTAGACACAGAAGTGGGCAGTGAGATACAAGAGCACAGAGTGCTCTCCCGAAACGAGATTGCACTGCATTTTTAAACGCATGTTCTAGTGTGTTTCAGCCAGAGGAGGGAAGCAACTGCCCCAATTAACTTCAGGTTATGGCCACAAATGTGGAAAACACAACAACAGCAACAGATGGCTTGGCTTTAATTCATTAAAGAATGTTATGTGGAAGTCAAGGCTAATTAGAAAATCTTGATAGTAACAATAGAAAATATTTATGCATTCATTCACTCTACATAGACTTAAGGCACACCTGCTGTGTCTGTGCGAAGAACTAGGTGCAGTGCACAGAATGAAAGGCGCCGTCCTTGTTAAAAAGGACCTCAGAGCCTAACTGAAAACAGACAATAGGGAAGAAGCAGACACATGATCAATTAATTGAAAGAGGCCACAGGATAAATGAGGAGGAGGCCGTGTGAGAAGGTTACTCCACTCCTGGGATCTGACTTCCGGGTTAGGGTATTACCTTGGCCACTGCCCTCTGTTTCAGCATCTCCTACGTAAAGTGGTGGTAATACTCATAGCTGATATTTAAAACCACCAAACAGCCCTGCTTGCTACCTGCAGTCCCAATCTACGAGATGCCCTTCTGTCATCAGCAATGGCACCTCTTCCCCCTGGAAAGCACCCTGGGCTGCTCACGGAAAAACGATCACCTGAGTGGCGGGGCCGCAGGTAGTGAGCTTTTGTCCTGGAGCTGTGGTGTCCTACTCCCAGTTCCACCTGGGTTGGTTGGGAGAGGACTTGCTGAGGAGGGGCATTTAAAATGAGACTTGAAGAATAAAAGACACCTGCTGGGTGGCAGTTCTGGGAGGCCTGGCAGGGAATGAGGTGTGGAGGGAAGGGGGCTGGGAGAAAGTGTGGTAAGACGCAAGGCCCCCTGGGGAGGGTTCCAGGCCTGGGAGGAGCCTGGCAACCACATGGAGGTGAGGACAGGCGGCTGTGGACAAGGGAGGCACAGAGACCACAGCCGGGTCTCTGAATGGATGCTAGGGCAGAGGCGGCCTCTGAAGGCTGGAGATGGGGAAATTACACCGTCAACCTCAGCTCACTGTGGAAAAGGAACTGGGCCAGCAAAAGGAGTGAGGACCCGAGTGATGGGGCGGAGTCTGCCATGTGCTCATCTTCTAGGCAAGCAGGGATCACCCAGACCAGGTCAGGAGGCAGCGGTGGCTGAGCACAATGGCCATGGGAGCCACTGGAAAGATGGATGCTGGTGTCCAGAAAGCACTTCATGGAAAGCCCTTGGTCCCCGACATCCTGATGGGAGAGGGCCCTTGGATATTAGAGAAGATGTGATTCCTGCACCATTTAACCTGGATCAGAGCCCAGAGAAAGACGGGAAGCTCCCTAAGGAATGCATGAACGCTGCTTACCCCTGCTATCCATATCTGAGGAAGATGCCGCAGAAAACCTACCCAGCAATCTTAGGAATACAGGTGGAAATCCCTCACTAAAACACGGGTGATATAAAGTCAGGAATATTTAACATTATAATGTGAGCAATATGGTGAGTACTCTGGGACATTAAGGACATTAAGGATGATGTAATATTAGGAAATCAATATTTATTGCCATAAATTAATAGAGACATACTGGATTATCATTGCAATACACAGTGGAAAGGCATTTGATGAAATTTAATTTCAAAACTCGATCAAAACTTTTAGTAAAATCAAACAAATGTGGGCCTCCTCAGTTTCTTAAACGATCAACATCCTGAAGCCTGTTGTTGACTTGCAGATTTAATCCCAGGAAAGCCACAGACAAGACTGTGAGTATGACACCCGCAAAACAGCTAATAACATCCCGCACACAGCAAGGAAATCATGACGTGACTTGAGGATGATGTGATTCTCTTTCTAGGAAAACCTGGAGATCTTTGAGACAGTGAACAGTTTGCTAAGATGCTGGATACTCACCGTTCTGTGGCCTCCCAAATTCTCATCATGAGACAAATTACAGAATTTAACAAGAAAATCTCTGCCGTAAGAGCAACAATGGCATATAATAAATAGAATAAACCTCATAAGAAATGTTTCTGATCTATATGAAGAGCACTAAAATTTTCCAACGTTTATAAATGAAGAGTTGTATAAACTAAGAGATATGTGATGTTTTTGAGAAGATGAGTACATATACATGTCATTCTTATTCAGAAACATGAATTTAAGAACATTAATCCAATTAAAATGCTAATCATGGGGGGTGGGCGGGGGGGAAGAGAGAGAGAGAGAGGTCTTGGCAAAAAGGTACTGGAAAAATAAAGATATAAGAAGGTTTCTTAATCACTCCCAGGGTGAGGTCATTTGCTGGCAACAGTCCTCCAAAACCCAGATATAAGTCACTTCCTCCAGGCAGCCTTCCTTGATGACCACGTCTGCCTCCTCATTCTAGACTGCAGTTTGTTAATACGTCTCTCTCTCCACTACACTGCCAAGTGTGTGGACACTGAGATTTCATCTATCTCATCTCTTTATGGACAGTGCTCCATGGCTCATAAATGTCTGGTTCATACTAACTAGACATCAAATAGATCTCTACCAAATGAACGGTTTTTAAAAGCTCAAAGGATGGCATCATCTGTGCCATAACCTGGAGTTCTCTTAATGCTCCATGGGTCTCAGCCTGAGAGGAAGGAGGACCTCTGGAGACGGAGCAAACCTTCCTAATGTTTTCTTCCCTTAGAACTGAAAGCAGCTCCAAGTCCAATCCCTTCTTTCCCTGGTGAGATTCCAGGTATCCGAAGGATGAGACAACCTGCGTGTCTTTGAAAGATTGAAAGATCATGAACATGAGGCTCTTGGGAATGTGGGGATTTTGCCCTTTTCTTGTGATTTCATTTCTTTTTCTGCACATTCGATATTCTCTGAGTCACTGCACATCCCCAGGTTTAAATGTTTTCATTTGTTCATAAAATAATTGTGTGCCCACTCTGCTCTAGGCTTTAGCGCTGTGAATCAGGTGAAGGACCAAGAACCAAGAGCCTTGTGTTTCCACAGCGCCAGTCAGACCTGCATCCTGACAATGGTGGCCTGGAGCACGAGGAGCACTGAAAGCGATGGAAGCAAATTATTATTTTTATTTTTTTATTTTATTTTATTTTTTGAGACGAAGTCTCGCTCTGTCATCCAGGCTGGAGTGCAATGGCACGATATCGGCTCACTGCAACCTCCACCTCCCGGGTTCAAGCAATTCTCCTGCCTCAGCCTCCTGAGTAGCTGGGATTACAGGCATGGGCTACCACGCCTGGCTAATTTTGTATTTTTAGTAGAGACAGGGTTTCTCCATGTTGGTCAGGCTGGTCTCGAACTCCCGACCTCAGGTGATCCACCCACCTTGGCCTCCCAAAGTGCTGGGATTACAGGCGTGTGCCACTGTGCCTGGACACAAATCAGTATTGATTAATGGATACGGTGATGTGGTGGCAACACCTCACATAAGCTGTTTACATGTTTACAAACAGAAAATTTAAATACAATGAGAGTACTTTATATCATTGTTGGGAAATTTTTAATGAATTCTGGATTTAATTGAAACTCCAACAGCTCCACGTTAAAAAGCGAAATCCTTTTTGCTGCACCCAAAGTTGTTTTTCTGTGCATCTATCTGATGGAAAAACAAGATCGTTGGCTGGTGGTGTTCATTACCCCTGCAAAAGCCCTCACAGGCTCCACTGATTAGACCCACTTTTAACAACGTCCCCACGGCCACCCTGTGTTTGCCATCAAGGAAGGTGGATTTTACTTGGGAAATGAACAGAAGTGATGGGGAGGATCCGCAGGTCGGTGGCCCCTGAGAATGTTGTGCTGAACGCAGCCTGTTCACATGAGATCATGTTGCAAAACCACGGAACATTGTTCAAAATAAGCTTGGAAACGTCCTCAAACCACAGCTCATCCTCACTTGATCTCCACATGCCCAAGGCTGGCGGAAGAGCCGAGCCTGCCAGGTCCTCCCTGGTGTGGGCTGTCTGTCCTTTAAAGACAGCCGCAGCCTCGCTGGACGTTGGGGAGGATCTGTCCTTGAACCTAATGGAAAATGGCATTGATTGCTGGGCAGAAGGGCAGCGTCCTGGGAGGGACATTGCTGCCCAGACTGGCAGAGGATCTGGGAGGGAGGGGGAACTACAGGGGAGTGACCTTACAAAGTGTCCCACATGGGAAAACCGACCACATGGGGCCCAGGGGAGCTGTGGAAGGGACCCAGGATCCACGTGCCCTGCAGGGGTGCTGCCATTGGAACCAGGGCCGGGGGTGGGGGGTCAGTTATGCCAGTTTCCCTTCTTTGGCCTCAAGTGGCCCCAGACTCACTTCTAAAATATTCCCAAGGCAGTAGCCATGGCAAGAGGGAACTAGGCCCCAGAGGGAGCCCCTCCATGCCATACCCCACCTGCCAGAGAAACTTCTCTGTACACTCCCCACTCAGTGGGCCTGTGCTGTGCTTGCTGGGGGCATTCTACGTTTCAGCAGAGCTGAGCTGCCTGCCCGCCTCAGGGCTTGAGCCCCTCTCCTTCCCCCCACACACTCCTGCTGCTCTTGAATGAACATGGAAACTCTTTAACAGGGTCAGCCCTCAAGACATCTCAAGTTCCCCTGCTGCAGGCTGCATCCAGTTTCTTAAAACACTGCACTGGTTTCATCTGGCCCTGGACACATGCCCTTCCAGACAACCAAACCTCCCTGTCATCAGCTGAATCCCTGCCATGCTTCCAACATCACCCTGCCCTAAGCCAGCCTCTCCAGGAAGGTCACCTGAGCCCTGGACGGATGGGACCCTTGTCACATGCCCAGCAGAGCCCACTCCACAGAGCCTGGCCTGGAACCTGGGGGGTGACGTGTAAATCTGGCCACCACTAAACACCAATCAAGGCCCAGCACCCACCCTACCTGGGATTAAGTCAATCACAGGCTCTTAGGCTCAGGGGTTGTAAGACACTGGGGCGAGGTGGATGACTGAGCACCATGACTGACACTGAATCCTGGAGATTATGAAACTGGCAAATTATTTGAGTTGCTAAAAAGATAAAATTTCTCCAGTTGAAAGTGGTCAAGCACCGCTGATGACACGCCGTTTCTCAGGGAGGGAGGTGGGATTACGAGGGGGTAGGACATGCCTGGGCGTTCTGAGTGGCTTCTGTGGAAGAGTCCTAATATCTCAGTGAGCTGTGACAACTTAGGATACAGACAAGTCAGACCATCACAGTTGTGCAAAATAAGCTCACTTATGACTAATTCCTGGAAAAACACCTTTAAATGTTTTCCTTTGATTATAAAAATTACTCATTAATAACACGTTCAGACATTCTAAGAGTGCTTGGAATAGGAGGTTACTCTCATGACATCACCTAAGACTAATTACCTCCCTAAAACCCCATCTCCAAATACCATCACATTGGGAGTTTGGGCTTCAACATAGGAATTTATTAGAGTAGTATAGAAACGGATTAATTGTATTTATGAAAATGATTCACTCAAGAAACATTGACAGAACAGCTGATGCCCACCATGGGACCAGCACAGATCTAGGACTACATATGCAATGATATATCACAAATCTGATTGTCTTTTTGGAATTTAAAATGTAGGGAAGGAAAAAGCTAATAAACAAATAAACGAACCCATAAAGAAAAATTACACTCTATTTCTGGGTCCTCTATTCTGTTCCATTGCTCTACATGCCTATTTTTATGCCAGTACCATGCTGTTTTGGTGATTATAGCCTTATAGTATAGTTTGAAGTTGGGTAATGTGATGCCTCCAGATTCGTTCTTTTTGCTTAGTCTTGCTTTGGCTATGCAGGCTCTTTTTTGGTTCCATATGAATTTTAGGATTGTTTTTTCTACTTCTGTGAAGAATGATGATGGTATTTTGATAGGAATGATATTGAATTTATCCATTGTGTTTGGCAGTATGGTCATTTTAACAATATTAATTCTACCCATCCATGAGCATGAGATGTGTTACCATTTGTTTGTGTCATCTATGATTTCTTTCATCAGTGTTTTACAGTTTTCCTTGTAGAGGTGTAGAGGTTTTTCACATCCTTGGTTAGGTATATTCCTAAGCATTTTATTTATTTATTTATTTATTTATTTATTTATTTATTTATTTATTTTTGCAGCTATTATTGTAAAGGGGTGGAGTTCTTGATCTGATTCTCAGCTCCGTCACTATTGTTCTATAGGAGTGCTACTAATTTGTGTACATTGATTTTGTGTCCTGAAACTTTACTGAATTCATTTATCAGATCTAGGTTTTCTAAGTATAAAATCATATCATCAGTGAACTGCAACAGTTTGACTTCCTTTTTACCAATTTGGATGCCCTTAATTTCTTTCTCTTGTCTGATTGCTCTGGCTAGGACTTCTAGTACTATGTTGAACAGAAGTGGTAAAAGTGGGCATCCTTGTCTTGTTCCAGTTCTCAGGAAAAATGCTTTCAACTTTTCCCTGTTCAGTATAATGTTGGCTGTTAGTGTGTCATAGATGACTTTTATAAACTTAAAGTATGTCCCTTCTATGCCAATTCTGCTGAGGGTTTTAATCATAAAGTGATGCTGGATTTTCTCAAATGCTTTTTCTGCAACTGTTGAGATGATCATGTGATTTTACAGCCAACTGATCTTTAACAAACCAAACAAAAACATAAGCGGGGAAAGGACACCCTATTCAACAAATGGTCCTGGGATAATCGGCAAGCCACATATAGAAGAATGAAACTGGATCCTCATCTCTCACCTTATACAAGAATCAACCCAAGATGGATCAAAGACTTACAGCTAAGACCTGAAACCCTAAATATTCTAGAAGATGGCATTGGAAAAACCCTTCTAGACATTGGCTTAGGCAAATACTTCATGAGCAAGAACCCAAAAGCAAATTCAACAAAAGCAAAGATAAACAGAAGAGACTTAAACTAAAAAGCTTCTGCACAGCAAAAGAAATAATCAGCAGAGTAAACAGACAACCCACCGAGTGGGAGAAAATCTTCAAAAACTATGCATGTGACAAAGGACTCATATCCAGAATCTTCAAGGAACTCAAACCAGCAAGAAATAAAAACAAATAATCCCATCAAAAAGTGGGCCAGGGACAGGAATAGGCAAATCTCAAAAGAAGATACAAAAATGGCCAACAAACATATGGAAAAAATGCTCAACATCATTAATTATCAAGGACGTGCAAATAAAAAAACCACAGTGTGACACCACCTCACTCCTGCAACAATGATCATAATTAAAAAATAAAAAAATAGATGTTGGCATGAATGTGGTAAACAGGGAACACTTCTACACTGCTGGTGGGAATGTAAACTAGTACAACCACTACGGAAAACAGTGTGGAGACTCCTTAAAGAACTAAAAGTAGATCTACTGTTTGACCCAGCAATCCCACTCGTGAGTATCTGCCCAGAAGAAAAGGCTCATTATACGAAAAAGATCCTTGCACATGCATGTGTATTCACAATTGCAAAAACACAGAACCAGCCCAAATGCCTATCAACTAATGAGTAAAAAAAGAAAATGTGGTATATATATACCATGGAATACTACTCAGCCAAAAAAAGGAACAAAATAATGGCATTTGCGGCAGCCTGGATGGAGTTGGAGACCATTATTCAAAGTGAAGTAACACAAGAATGGAAAACCAAACATTGTATGTGCTCACTTACAAGTGGGAGCTAAGCTATGTGGATGCAACGGCGTAAGAATGACACAATGGACTTTGGGGACTCGGGGAAGGATGGGAAGGGGTGGAGGATAAAAGACTACACGTTGGGTACAGTGTACATGGCTTGCGTGCACTAAAATCTCAGAAATCACCACTCAGTCACTTATCCATATAACCAAACACCACCTGTTCCCCAAAAATCTATTGAAATAAAAAAGGAAGAATTGCAGATTTAGGTAACACTGTGAAGGACACATCTAGGAATGGAGAGGGTGAAACCTGGGTGAGCTCTGTGTGTGGTGGGGACAGGAGGAGCCTCTCTGGGAGGGTGGGCAGGAAGTTTCACCGAGACGGTGTCCACTCAGCACTGAGATGGATGACAAGGAACACTTGTGGATGGAGACGGGGCCGGGGGCAGACCGGGGACAGGGATGGATCGTGAGAAGGCTGACATAGGAAAACCTTGCTGTGTCAGCGACAGAAGAGGGGCCCGTGGAGCCTTAGCCTGCAGGTGCAGACAAAGAATGGTAGCAGCGATGGCAGAGAGGTAGGCAGGGCCCGGAAGACCAGTTCTCCAGGACGCAGCTAAGGACTGTGCCAGGCGCTCGGGAGACCAGGAGGGTGTGGAGATTAATCACTCACAGTCTACCCCAGTCCACGGATGGCTGGAGATTAACCGCTCACAGTCTACCCCAGTCCACGGATGGCTGGAGATTAACTGCTCACAGTCTACCCCCGCCCACGGATGGCTGGAGATTAACCGCTCACAGTCTACCCCAGTCCACGGATGGCTGGAGATTAACCGCTCACAGTCTACCCCCGCCCACGGATGGCTGGAGATTAACCACTCACAGTCTACCCCAGTCCACGGATGGCTGGAGATTAACCGCTCACAGTCTACCCCAGTCCACGGATGGCTGGAGATTAACCGCTCACAGTCTACCCCAGTCCACGGATGGCTGGAGATTAACCATTCACAGTCTACCCCAGTCCACGGATGCCTGGAGATTAACCGCTCACAGTCTACCCCAGCCCATGGATGGCTGGAGCTGCAGGAGTGCCCAGTGGTGCGTGGCCAAGAGACTGTGGTGCTCAAACACCCCAACATCAAGCAGCCTGGCACTTGTACCTACCCTTCTCACAGCGCCTTCCCTTCAAACTCCTTTGTGATCCACCGAGCAGCTCACAGTAACATCACCTTGGGTGCAGAGGGGTTAACATGATTTCTAAATGCTCAGAGATATCCCGACTGAGATGGCTCCCTGAACTTCCTGCTTGATTTGCTGATGAAATCCCCAAGGTCACTCTTCACTTTTGTTTCCTTGAGATGAGGTCTTTCTACATTGCCCAGGCTGTAGTCACTCTCCTGGGCTCAAGTGATCCTCCTGCCTCAGCATCCCAGGTAGCTGCGATCACAGACAGGTGCCACTGCACTTGGCTGCCCTTTATTTTTGAAGGGAAAAATATCTACTCCAGATTTGATGTATTCTCACTCAGGCGGACTGAAGTCCTCCTAGGACTCCATGAATTTCCAGTCACGGCACAGCCATGTCTCCCGCCCCCATCACAAGGACTCCATTTGGAAATGGAGACGCTGAGAACCTGTCCGAATCCCAGTGCTCCGGTCACCTCTACCTGTCCAGCCTTCCCACCTGTGCCTTTCCCGAGGCGAGCTGAGCAGAGGCTGGTTCACGCACCACGTCCCAGCGGCAGCTCTTGGTGCCTCTGTGTTGCAGTAAAAGCTCCCAGGGTGCTTCCTAAGAGCAGACGCCACCAGCCATCTGGGAATTAATCGGTGGCCACAGAGGGTCCCCCTGTCAATTGCCTGGACTCTCTCCCAAGCTTTTGAGGCTGTGACGTCACGTGTTTCTAGAGCCTTTTCAGGAAGAGCCGGCTGAGACGTCATGTGATTCTAGAGCCTTTTCAGGAAGAGCCTGCACTTCTGGACCCTTCCTTTTCTCAAATAGCCAAGACCCTGAGGAACAGGCTGCCCGTCGCCTCAGGGGCTATCCCCGACCCCTCCTGGTTGGACACACCTCCTCGACATCAGCTATAAAACTATCACTTTACTGAGGCAGAGCATTGACTTCTTAACCTACAGTTACAAAAAATAAAAACAAAACTGGTTTTCTCTTAGGAGAGGAAAAAACGCGATGGACCTTTCCAGGACAAGGGACGTGAGATGCAGAAATTCCCACCTGGCCCCTCCTTGACGGACAGGAAACACAGGAAACCCAACCACATTCCGGTTCCCCATGATGCAGAGACCAGCCCTAATGACTGCAATTACGGCTCCGTTTAACAGACAACTGACTGGATGTTACAATGGAGCTGTCAGCCCCACTGAATTAATCCTGCTGGAGGACCATTTTCATCTGTTGCTCCTGTTCCAGGCAAACAGCCCTGGTCAGCTCTGGGACCAAGTCCAGGCTCTGGAGAGGGCCGGTGTTCAAGGCCATCTGTAATTTAGTTCAGCCTCATAAATCTAAGCTTCTCTCTCTTTGCACTCTACTGCCCCTAAGAACCTCTTATTCAGATTTTTTCTTCCCTCTTCCTTGCTTTCTCCTCTCCTACTGCCTCATCCATCTCCATCCCTCCCTCATTTCCAGGCAGATGTCAAGGATCTCACAAGAAGGATGGGGAAATGGGCTGGGTTCTTTGGCGAATCAGCCAACATGCAGTTCCCAGCCTGTCTCTCCTGTCCTTCAGGCCTCAAAATTACCCAAACTATCACATCATAGGTGTATATAGACATATACACACACACACAAGTGTTCTTTGTCCAGTTTCACCAGGTGTGAAAACTAAGATCGAATAGATGAAGGTATGCAGTAAGTTGCTCAAGACCACACACGGTCATTACACGGTCAGCCTGGCTTCCAGCCGGGGTCCACCGTCACTCACACCTGTGAGTATCACTTCACTCCAAAATCCATCTTTCTTTAAATCCCAGAATCCCCGGGTTCTTCCACACCATGGCCTGTAATTGTTCTCTCGTGAGAACTTCCGATCTCAGAAGATGATGAGATTGTCTCATCCTGTTTAGTTTCAATCTCTCGCGGAATCTAACACAGCGCAGGGCACACAGTAGGAGCAGATAAAAACCCGCTGATATTCTGTGATGGGTGTGACTTACCCCCTCACTACTCAAACTCTGGTCTGTGGACCGGCATTGCTGCCATGTATGGCAACCTTTTCAGAGATGCAGAATTCAGGTCCCGCTCCAGACCCATGAGTCAGAATCTGCATTCTCCTGAGATCCTCAGGTGGTTCGTAAGCACATTGAAGTTTCAAGAGCACTACTTTACCCTACATGCTTAGTTCAAAAGAACGCCTTTTTGGAAGTGACCTATTTTTTGACACTTGACATGCACACACCCAGGGGCAGGCTCACAGGTGGTCAGGCTGAGTCCTGATACAGGCACTTCCTACTCCTCCCTAAATGAGAACGAGCCTGCCTTCATCCAGCCCCCTGACTGCTGCACCATCCACTCACCAGAACACAGAGGACAACCTTTAGGTGACATTGGCTGCATTAGAATAACAGTGATATTTCATCACTGTAAAGTGAGAGTGGAGAAATCATTTGTGTGTGTGGTTGGGTATAGAGCGAGAATAAGGGGATTTCTATAAACTCAGTTCTTCGCACCGTCATCCATTCCTTGATATAAAGACATCTCTTCTTATCTGTAGGAAGTACATTCAAACGAGAAGCTGAAACTTAAAGGGAAGAGTAGAGAATCTGCTAGATAAAAGAGAACCTTTAGCATCTGTTCCACAGAGATCGCTGAGAAGGGTATCCCTACTCAGGACACGCAAAATGCACACGCAGAAAAGGCACTTTGGGGAGGCCTCCTTTCTGTGAAGCTTCAACTCTCAGGGTCATCAGTCTCATGGGTTCTAACACCGAAGGGTGGGCGGCCTCGTCACCGAAGGACACGCCAGTCTCATGGATTCTAACACCGAGGGGTGGGTGGCCTCGTCACCGAAGGACACGCCAGTCTCATGGATTCTAACACCGAGGGGTGGGCGGCCTCATCACCGAAGGACACACTAGTCTCATGGATTCTAACACTGAGGGGTGGGTGCTGCAGGACACACACGTCTATAATCCCCTCGTGCAGGACACACACATCGTGTTAATAGGAATAACAGACCTCAAAACAAACAAACGAACAAACAAACGAACTAACAAACAAACAAAAACCCTAAGAGAAACACCCAAGCAGCCCATTTGGGAGAGCCGGAGAGCAGCTTACGGAACCGGCGTGGATGTGGGTGCCCGGCAGATGGATGGGGTGGTGGCGAGGAGAACTCTGCAATCACCGGAGTACACGGAAACCGTGATGTCGCTCAGCTTCTCGGGAGCGCATGTGCTCACCCCATCTGTGAAAAATGCGTGCGCCTTGAAGAGGCGTGGCTGGTCGGTGGGCAGCGGCTGATTAACAGCTCAGACAAGACATGGCTGCTTTTTCCTCGAGCTGCATCTGATCAGGCGTGTTCAGTGGCTTGGGTGATTGTCATTTGGGTGGATTCAAGGTGAATGCCTGAGGCCTCTGGATCTCACACAGGTGCACAGGAGACTGAGGAGGAAGCGTTGGGCAGTAGGGATCCTGGGGCCCCACTTGCTGCCTTGACTGGGACAGGTGAAGGAGGCATTGCCTGGCCCCCCATCCCCAGAGCCTCTGCCTGTGACTGTCCCGTGTTACGGCCTCTGTGGTGTCTCCACACCTCCCATCTCCTGGGGAATTCCTCTGCATTAGAAAATGGACTTGGAATACATTCCTTAAAACATGTTTTTGTATGTCTGACATCTCCTTCTTCCTACAGAAAGGGTAATGATTCCCCATTATAAGAAACCCAAACTGAAACCACACATCCTCACAGTCCTGAGGGCTCACACACGCCCCACAACAGCATGGACGTCCACTGCACAGCACAACAGGTGCCAAGAGGAGCCGTGCCTGCCCCTGGCCCAGGCCTCACCCCCAGTACATACACACACACACACACATATACTACATACATGCACCACAGACACACACACACACACACACACACACACACACTGCATCTATACATACAGAATACATGCATACACATACACCAACAGATACATCACACCACACGCACACAGATACACAGATACTGTACACACCACATGTGTATACACACACAACAGACACACAGATACACAGATGCTGTACACATGTGCACACTTGCACACACCACAGGCGTACACATACACACACATCACACAGATAGATACTGCACATGTGCACACATGTACATAGACACATGTGTATACACACACACCACATATACACAGATACACAGATACTGTACACACCACATGTGTACACATACACACATCACACACAGAGCTAGATACCACACATGTGCACACATGTACATACACACCACATGCTTACACACACACCACAGATAGATACCGTACACATACACACATGTGTACACACAAGCACCTACACCGCACACACGTACACAGAGGCACCGCTGTGTGTCTGCGGATGCTGCCTGGTGATGAGGGAGGGCACAGCACACAAGCCCCTCACAGGGAAATGTGCTCTGGGTCAAGCTCCATTCACTGGATCCCACGGCCTGGACCACGTCACAGGCATCTGACAAACAGGCACTGAACCAGGAGCTCTGAGTGTGTAAATCCCTGTGTGAGCTGCACCTGTGTCTACCCCTGCCGTGCCGGTGACCACACACTGGGTGTCTAAAGCGATCTATATCCGTCCGGAGATGCGATGTCCAAAACGGACTCCCTGGGCTGAAGCACACTGTCCCCAGGACCTGGCTTCCTTCTGGAGGCTCTGGAGAATCTTCCTCCCCTTCCAGGTCCTCTCGGCGTCTTCATCCAATCCTTGAAGCCCTGCAGGGAACAGAAGGCCGTCCCTTCCCGAGGAAGGGGGAGCCCCCTGCCCCACGGCCCCTGAGCGGGAGCAGAGCTCCTGCTGGTTCCAGGGTCGCTGAGGGCCTCACACCTGCGCGGGGATGCTGGGGACTTCGGCTCTGTGGTTGGGACCTGCCAGCCTCCACAATCACACGCGTGCATGCACCCCTGGTTCTGCGTCTCTCGAGAACCCTGATGGACAAGGGGCTCCCTACGCAGCGGCTTCAGCCTCCACAGGGCTCCGTGGCATCCTCCTCTTCCTCCCACGGCTCCAGGCCTCGGGGACGGGGAGCAGCCTCCCCAGTGCTGGTCTCTGGGCATCTCGGCACCCGCCTGGCCGCTCACGCCACACTCACCTCTAGGTGTGGGTCCCTAACGGTGGGGTCCGGGGAGACAGCCGCGCCTTCTTTCCCTAAGGCCGAGCGCAGCGCCCCGCCGTGCACAACACGCTCCTGGAGCTGAATCGCGCACCGCCCGGAGGCGGCGTGGAGAAACCGAGCACGGGAGCCAGCAGCGGACGCATCGTTCGATGCCAAACCGATATGTGGGAACGGAAAACAAAGCGAAAGCTGCCACTCTCCATTCTCTCAGAGTCTTCTGGAAGCTTCCGTCCAGCAAGTCAGGAACCCGTGTTATTACAGCTCTGTAAGTCCGAATCCAGGCTGATTTCAACGTGTCTCTAAATAAGATCCAACCTTTGAAGGTCAAGGGCTGTGCGCTCCCCTGAGGCTTTGTCAAACCAACATCTGCAGTTTGCCGTCCAGCGCAAGTGACGCTTTGGTGACGCTAATGGACGTGGCAGTGGGACGTGCAGGCGGGAGGCTCTTTCCGGAGGTCCGAGGAGCTGGCGGGTCAGACCAGAGAACAATCAGCATCCAGGCCCTTCAGCCCCCGAGGAGCACGAGGCCAGATGGATGGTTTATGAGGAACAAGCATCGCAGTGTGAACGGAAACACCATGAATCATTTCAGAACAACTGCTAGTGACTGTCCTTGAGGAAATACATCGGAAAGCACAGTTTTAACAAGCTCTGAAGATGAATTAGGAGCCGGGGCCACGGGACTGAGCTCAGTGAGAAAAGAACACGCAGGACCCCGGAGCAAGAGGCTGGAGACGGCGCATGAAGCCTCGATGGGGAAAGAGGCAGTGAGGAAAAGACACGAAGCTGTCCCAGGAGGAAGGTGACACCCGGTGCTGCACGGTGGGGAGGAGAGCACGGGGGCCAGGGAAACCCAGCCTCTCCTGTGGGCCTGTGCAGGGATCCGCTCCCGGCCCCCACGCCCCCGACCCTTCAGCCTACATCCATCCCAGCTTCCCTGTACGGAGTCGTCCTCATCCTCCTGTTCTCGGGGTCACCCCCAGCCTCCCCACACTTTTCCACAGGATGGGACCCCCGGGGATGCACAGACTGACCCCTGCTGAGACCCGGCCTCTGCGGGGGGTTGTGGGGGGGAATCCTTCCACCTCGTGGCTGTCATCACCAGGGGAGGGGGCGGTGTAGAGATCACACTCTCCACCCAGTGACACAGCCGATGATTCCAGTGTTTCTAAGAGTTATTTTTTTTCCCTCTTCACTGATCTGAAAATAATCATCGTTTAAGTGTTTCCATACACACCTTCCATCATGCAAGAGCTCTCATGCTAAAGTGTCCTAGATACAAACATTCAGCCCGAGTGAGAGCCACCGAGTGCAAATACCCATAAGACTCTCCATCAGAAAGTGGGATTTTTCACTAAAAGGACAGCATTCACTTTCTAGCGCCCATCTGGCTGGCATGAGTTTGGCTCATGAAGATGGTGTTTCCCGAGGTCATTACTTTTCTGAAGCCAACTGCTGAGTCTCCTGACCTAGAAGAGGTAGCTGTGCTGTGATCCAGACACACAGGCAGCCTTCACTGGACTGCCTGTGCCTTTACTGTGTCCTCCTACCCTACTTTTATCCAACATTTTAACATGTCCACTAATTTGTAATAAGCGCTCACTTCTCTTCTGTAATCCTGGAATCTATTTTTCTACTAAGTATGCAAAAAAGAAACTGCTACATAGATTAATAGCCAAAAGAGATCACCAGGGAGAAGCTCAACCTGCTCAAATATTGCAAGATATCTGTTGAGTGAAGCAGAGTCTTCAACGATATCTATTCAGCCATGCTTTCAATTATCCACACTGAGTGAAGATATTAAAATCTCATTTCTACACTATTCATCAATACCCCAGAATTCTCTTCAGTAATTCAGACGACTGTTGCTGCGGTTGTTGTTGTGTGTATGTGTGTTTAAGTACTCTTTAATTATTTCAGATGACTTAGATCCTTTCTAAACTGAGCAGTCTGGAAGTCTGGAACTTCACCTTTATTCAACCACGCGACCTCTGCTGCATTTTAAGGAGCAGCTGAAACTCAGCTCTGAGGATTCATCCACAACTGGTATAGCCCTTGCCAAGCACAGTCTGCCTGTATCCAGGTCCCGGGCACACACGCCCGCTGCCACCCTTCCCTGTGCACCTGCATAGGCAGGCGTGGGGGTGCAGCTCCTAACCCCCAGCCAAGACCAATGCCTAGCCCAGGAGGGAGGTGCCCATCCCCCTGCTGTAGGGCTCACTCCCGAGGGAAAGGGGAAGCATCGTTCAGGTGTGGTCTTGCCAAAGGACACCTTCCCGCACACCCAGGCACACGTGTCTCTTCAGGACATGAGGGGCCTGCCTGACCCATGGACATGGGGTGGAGCTGGGCCTGAGCGGCTCGGCCTTTCTCCCCTTGCCTTTTGGGGTCTGCCAGTCTGCAGAGCACACACTCTCATCTGCAAACCATACCTGCCACCTGGGACCTGGCCCTCCTGAGTCATGAGTGCCCTCCTCGCAGCCCCTTCCCCCGAGCTCTGGGGGATGCTCATCCTTCTGGACCACAGGCCCTGGCTCCACCTGCACTTATAGAGGTGGGTGGGAGGCAGCTGCCACCTGCGCTCCCTCTGCACACCCAGGACACAAGGTCCAGGCAGCTCTCTGTGGAAAGCAGTGGTGCAACATGCGTGACGCCCCACGACGAAGCTGTTGTTGTCATTTCAAAACAATAGGGAGGTTTTTCTGGGCTGCTTTCTGGTCACAAACTTGAAGCTTACAAAAGTCCCTTTCCTCCTTAGAGGGATGTGCAGCTTGTTAATGGGGGTGAGGAGCTGGAATCCTCAAGGAAATTGCTCCTTTTCGCCGCAGCATAGCCCAGCACCACACCGGAGGGCCTGTGTGGGAGTCTACGTCCACACACCCACACGCACACACGCACACACGTACACACACACACACAGAACCACACAGGTAACAGTCCACAGAATTGGCCTCTGTTCCTCATCCACGGCCATGGCTCATTTCCAGTGGGTCCCTGAATGACCCAGGCTACTCCTCAAAGGTCACTCATAGGACAGACATGGGTGTGCAAGGGTGAGGACAGATGCACATGTGGGCCAGTTCTGGGAGGATGCACCCTGATTCCACTCATTCCCCATGAGAGGAAACACTGCAGGGGGCCCAGGAGACGAGAAACCTGATTCCACTCATCCCCCATGGGAGGGAACGCTGCAGGAGGCCCAGGAGATGAAAAAGGTAGTGCGGTTCATGTGGACATCTGGTGGCCCAGACCCTCAACATTGGCGTGGCTCAGGTTTATATGGACAGCTGGTGGCCCAGATGCTCCACATTGACGTGGCTCAGGTTTATATGGACAGCTGGTGGCCCAGATGCTCCACATTGGCGTGGCTCAGGTTTATATGGACAGCTGGTGGCCCAGATGCTCCACATTGGCTTCGCTCAGGTTTAGGTGGACAGCTGGTGGCCTGGATGCTACATGTTGGTGTAGCTCAGGTTTATGTAGACAGCTGGTGGCCCAGCTGCTCCGCATCCATGTGGCTTAGCTTTATGGAACATAAACAGTGCTTGACCCTGGGCTATGAAGTAGCCCTTTTTCTACAGCATTTTCTATCCAGGGCCTTTGTCTTGGTTTGGGTTCCCCGGAAAGAAAAGGCTCAGGTATTGAGACAAGGGCTCAGGTACTGAGCAGAAGAGGAGGGAGGGTGTCGTGGTGAATTCTGTGTCAGCATGGACAGGGATAAGTGATAGCCAGGTAACTGGTGAAACATGACTTCCGGGTGTGTCTGTGATGGCATTTCCAGAAGAGACCTGAAGTGGACTCTGCAATGTGGGAACATGACTTCCGTGTGTGTCTGTGACGGCGTTTCCAGAAGAGACCTGCACTGGACTCTGCAATGCGGGTGTGCATCCTCCAATCCACTGAGGGCCCAGGAAGAACAAAAAGGTGGAGAAAGGAGAATTTGTTCCTTCTTCTTGGGCGAGGCCTCCATCTCCTCCTGACCACAGACATTGCCCACCCCGATTTTCAGGCCTTCAAACGCAGACTTAATCACACCTCTGGCTTCCCTGGGTCTCCAGCTTGTGGATGGACAATAGTGGGACCTCTCAGCCCCCATAATCACAGCGACCAATTCCCATAATAAATCCCCTCTTGCCTGTCTGTATATATCCTGTCAGTCTCACTTTTCGGGAGAACCCTGGTGTATGTGTGATGAGCAGTTACCGCCCCTGGCTCATCACTGCTGCAGCTGACATGCAGCCGTCCAAGCCAGGAGGCACAGGCTCCTACTGCAGCTACTGGAGCCCCACTGACAACGTGCGGCTGCTTGGGAAATCATGGCAGATGGCACTACCTTTCCTGACATATGTGGTTTTCAAATTACTCTTTTCATCTCAGAGATACCCCCCTCGACCTGCAGATGCCTCTGCACAAGTGCTGTTGGTGATGACAGCCACTTTTTTGTCATTATTCTTTTGCTTATCAGCTGAGAAACTCCATGCTATGAAAATCACAGACGACTTGTTCCAGCTCAGGCTTGAAACGTGAGGAAAGCACGAATATTTCCTTCGGGGGCACAGGATCACTGTCTCGTTCACTCACTCAGCATTAACATCACACACCTATCTGGCTTCTCCCCTGTGTTAGCCCCTGTGCTGACACCTGGGGATGGGGGAAAGACAGGTACACTCCAAACAGGAGAATTTCATGGTGCTTGGGAAATAGTTGTCACTGCAGTGTGTGGACACAAATGCTTTACTCTATGCAGATGCATTTACACACACACAGTGAAACGTGGCCTACTTCTAAAAGAATTGAAGGATATTTTACCAAACAAAACACATAACATGAAAGTAGGGTCTTTAACAGGTGAGCACTACTACAACAAGCAGTTAAGTGGATCAGGAAAAAATGTGACGGGGCCCTGGATATCGGTGATGCCTAAGTTATGACACAGCTTTCCAGGTTGTGGCCTCAGTTTCATTTTTCTCTACGTCATGGCTATTTGAGAGAAGCTTAACTCTGCTCACGAACGTGAGCATCCCCACAGCTGCCCAGTGTGACAATCCAAACATGGAGGTAACTATTAATTAAGTTGAAACAAAATATTCTTGCACTTTGTGGGAGAATTAGAAATGCTAAAAACTTCGGTTAAGAAAAATGACCCTCATTTGGAAGCGTTTTCGCAGAACGTATCTACCGCTGCAAGGCCTCGGAGCAGGTCACGCACTCCGGGGAACGCGCCACACGGTCAGCTCCTGGGTGAGCAACGATGGTGATGCGATTATCTGTGTAACTAAAATTAAACAAACGTTCTGACATACAACACACGCCCCTAATGCCTGATAAGACGTCCATAAACAAAAAAGAAGAGAATCCTTTGGAAGATAATTTTTTAATAATTACAGAAATTTTTACATAAGAATTAGATGTTTTATGAGTGAATTAAGAATTATATGTTTTTAAAAGACTATTTTTAGGAAGGTACCAAGTAATTGGATAGGCAGCAAGCATTTTTCCAAGTGGGGAAACAATTGTTTTCTCAGTAGTGCTTTCTGAAAACAGTTTTCTGTCCTGGTTCACTGTGCAGCCTGTTTCCCATTTAAAAACACTTCACCATGTTTTTCATTAATAACACATATATCCTCCGTCTCTGACCTGTCGGTGGCTGCGTGCATCTGGCCAGGCCTCCATGCCTGGTAGACAGCCCTGACTTCAGGCTCTGCTCCTGAGGGTGCAGGGAAGCCAGTTCTAACTGGGTGCTTGGCCAGCGGGAGGCAGAACTGGGAGGCCTGTCCTGGACACCAGCAGCCCCAGTCCCAGCTGGGATGACCATGGGGCACCTTCCTGACACCCTCGTCTCTTCAGATGTTCACTGTTCTGACGCCTTTGCGACCAGGGGCAGTCTAATCTCCACCTGCTGCAGCCATGAGGATGCCGGGGGCCTGGAAAGAGCTTGAGCACTCATGCTGGGGCGGACGCCTCTGAAACGAACAAAGTGTGCCCAAGCTTCTCAGGAGAGCAGGGCACGAGGAATGAAGGCCGGGAGAGCGGAGGGGGTGCAGCCCTATGCTGGGACAGCCCTGACTGTCCGTTGGTAGTTGACAACTGAACGCCCAGGTGGTCTCAGCAGCAAAGCGTGAGCACCAAGCACAGACACAGCCCTAGAGTCTGAGACTGAGCGAAGAACCCTGGCCACACACGTCACAGTGGTGGCCTCAAGCCAGAGAGGACGATAAGAGACTTCTGTAGGGAACAGAGGGTTCCAAACTTCAGGTCTAATGAAGCTCATCGGGCCCAGGGACTCTCCACAGCCGCCCAGGACACCTGAAGCAGCTCCGGGACGACCCTGTGGTCAGGTGAGTTTCCCAAAGCAGCAGCCCCAACACGTTCCTATAGCAAGGACTCGGCTTCCAGAATCTTCCCTGCTGAACAGGCAGGCGTGGGTGCTTGAGGGCTTCCTGACTGGTCCTGAACTCTGCATGTGATGGAGAATTTCTTCACATCACAAGGAGTGACCCAGAGGGACCCCTGGGGATGACCTGGAAAGTGGGACTGAGGGAAGCTCTGCCGTCCTCCCCACCTGGAGGCCGCCCTGGGCAGGAGGAGCCTCCAGCTCTGCCTAGACACGGTGAGCATGGTGCCCTTATGTGGGCCGGCCGCCAACCGACCACTGACTGTCTGCCAGGCATCCGGGCTCCCTCCACCAGCCGGGACGCGGCACTGCCAACGTCTGCTTGTCTCTTGCAGGTTCACTCTCAAAATCGCAGAGCCTGTGTTTCCAACTTGCCAGCAGCTGAGCTCCTCCTGAGTCGGGCTGAGAACAAGGCGTGGCCTCCCACAGGCGGCAGTTTCTTCTTTAAAATTCCCCCGCCCCTCAAGGGTAGGGACTGTGTCTTACTCACTTTATCTAATTTTCCACAGCGTCAAAACTGGACTTGGTATACTGCGGCATCCCAGTTCACACCTGTCACGTTGACTTGAATGTCACAGTACGTGGATTTGGTCCCGGTAATGCCAAGGAGAAATTTCACCTGAGGCTTCAGATACTACGACTTCCTTCCCGTCAAGCTCTCAGCAAAGACCTTAAATTACTGAGAACGAAAACGTCCCTCCAGCGGCTCCTCCTGGCTGGGGACAGGAGGCGGGGGCGGCGCGGTGCGGAGGCTCTAGAGGCCGACGCTGGGATCTGCCCCACCCGGATGCTGTCTGGGGGTCTCAGGTGCTGGCTGCAGGGGGCATGGTGCGGAGGCTCTAGAGGCCGAGACTGGGATCTGCTCCACAGGACCCCCAACCCGGATGCTGTCCGGGAGTCTCAGGTGCAGAGAGGGCCAGCCACGCGAGACTCAGGTGGCTTCAATGGGATCGTTCACAGAAACAGCCGTGCCAGGGAAGCAACCTAAGTATCCACCAGCGGACACACAGATAATGGGGTGGTGTGTGGACACAGCAGCGTATATCCAGCTTTAAACAAGAAGCAAACCCTGCCATCTGTGGATTTCAGCGTGAATGAGCCCTGAACGCATGGTGCTAAGTGACAGAAACCAGACACTTCTCAAAAGAAGACATTTATGTAGCCAAAAGACACATGAAAAAATGCTCATCATCACTGGCCATCAGACAAATGCAAATCAAAACCACAATGAGATACCATCTCAGACCAGTTAGAATGGCGATCATTAAAAAGCCAGGAAACAACAGGTGCTGGAGAGGATGTGGAGAAATGGGAACACTTTTACACTGTTGGTGGGACAGTAAACTGGTTCAACCATTGTGGAAGACGGTGTGGCGATTCCTCAAGGATCTAGAACTAGAAATACCATTTGACCCAGCAATCCCATTACCGGTTATATACCCAAAGGATTATAAATCATGCTGCTATAAAGACACATGCACACGTATGTTTATAGCGGCACTATTCACCATAGCAAAGACTTGGAAGCAACCCAAATGTCCAACAATGATAGACTGGATTAAGAAAATGTGGCACATATACACCATGGAATACTATGCAGCCATAAAAATTGATAAGTTCATGTCCTTTGTAAGGACATGGATGAAGCTGGAAACCATCATTCTCAGCAAACTATCACAAGGACAAAAAACCAAACACCGCATGTTCTCACTCATAGGTGGGAAGTGAACAATGAAATCACTTGGACACAGGAAGGGGAGCATCACACACCAGGGCCTGTTGTGGGGTGGGGGGAGTGGGGAGGGATAGCTTTAGGAGATATACCTAATGTTAAATGAGGAGTTAATGGGTGCAGCACACCAACATGGCACATGTTTCCATATGTAACTAACCTGCACATTGTGCACACGTACCCTAAAACTTAAAGTATAATAATAATTAAAAAAAAAAAAAAGAAACCAGATACATAAAGCCAAGCACCCCAGAGCTCACTCACTGACATGATGCATCCAAGACACTCAGACTCGTGGGAGTGGAGAGGGAGGGCGGGGCTGGGGACAGACTTGAGAGAGGCTGGACAAAGGGCATGAGATTTCAGACAGACGGAGGAGCAGGTTTAAGAGCTCTATTGCTCATCACGGTGACTGCAGTTCATAGCAACACATCATATTCTAGAAAATCACTGACAGTGGATTTCATTGTTCTCACCGCAAAAAAGTGAGGTGATCCATCTGTTAATCAGCTTGATCGAGCTATTCCGCAAGGTATTCACAATGCAAAGCATCATATTCTACACCATAAATATATACTTTTGTCACTTAAAATTAATAAGCGTAAATAAGTACTTGAAAACAAGGGCTAAACCCATTGCCCAGCTCAGCTGGCACCTGCTTCATGGCCCTGGCTGTGGTTGATCATAGCAACAGAAGCATCTGGACAGCCCCACCCACAGCTCCAAGCCCAGCCCATCACGGCAGCCAGTTTCATCACGTACGAGAGGAGAAAGCCATCTAGAAAGTGCAGGGGCCACGCACACCTCAAATCCATCTCAGAGAGCCCTGGGAGGCTGGCAGCGGCTACGAATGTCCAGTCATACAAGGTAACCGGAACTCACAGCCCCATGCTGTGATTTTGAGATGTTAAGTTTTGAAGTCATTGCTACACATGCACATGAGAAAACAATGGCCGTAGTTGAGGGATCAGTGAGCTTCATGCTCAGAGGGGCCAACTGCACCAAGAATAAAGGCGCTTCCTATTGACTGTAATGTGAACACGTAATATCAGCTTAAAGGCATATCTTATATAATACGGTTTATTTCTATACAATTGAATTTCAAGGTAAAGGACCCCTGGAAGAAGGAAAATACATAAAAATAGGAGGGTAAAGTGTGATCAGAGGTGGAAATTAAAGAGTTAGTTGCAATGAGCTCAAGTTCCTTCTTGATTTCTAATGTTTTGAAGCTTTGTCTGCTCATTGCAACAGAGAACGGACCCAGATACGGCGCGTTGTGGCTGCCTGTCTTGTTCTATGTAAGAAGTGCAGAGGGCGGATTTTCAGAATTAATTTCAAGAGATAACACTTTCTACTTCTTGTTTTACTTAGTACTTTAGACAGGATTGTAGAATTTTCTTATAGATAAAACGTATCGGCTGGGCGCGGTGGCTCACGCCTATAATCCCCGCACTTTGGGAGGCTGAGGCGGGCAGATCACAAGGTCAGGAGATCAAGACCATCCTGGCTAACACGGTGAAATCCCGTCTCTACCAAAAATACAAAAAATTAGCCGGGCGTGGTGGCGGGTGCCTGTAGTCCCAGCTACTCGGGAGGCTGAGGCAGGAGAATGGCCTGAACCCGGGAGGTGGAGCTGCAGTGAGCCGAGATCGCGCCACTGTACTCCAGCCTGGGTGACAGAGTGAGATTCCGTCTCAAAAAAAAAAAAAAAATGTATCTACTTATATTGAAACACTTAGTTACAAGAAATTTATTCACAAAATGTATTGCAAGACATCCCACGTAAATAAATCAAACACTTCAAAGCTTCAGAACCCAGCCTCTCCCCGTGGGATGTGGCAGGGTCATCCTGGACCTGCTGGACTCAGGTCCCTTAGCTCCCCTGACCATGAGGAATTGGTCCAAGCCTCACCCACCCCCCTCGCTGCGCTGCTGGGGATGTCGCACCATGGGACGGCTTCCATAGGAGAAGCATGGTGCATAAACACGCCCCGTGCACTGAACGGCCACAGACCCCACGCTTGCTGCTGCGTGCGCCTGGAGCCTGGGCTCTGGTCTTGGGTCTGCCCCCTACAGACCCCACGCCTTGCTGCTGCGTGCACCTGGAACCTGGGCTCTAGTCATGGGTCTGCCCCTGGTGTAAGGACCTTCATTGAGGCAGGTGACCTCTGGCCCTGGCTTTCTTCTTCTCTACGTAAGACACGGGGTTGGGAGGATGAGGATAAGCCTCCCAGCCAACCACACACTCACAACCTCGCACAGTCACCAAACAGCTGTTTTGGCTCTCAATGCTGATTGCGACAGGCGGCTCGCAGTGCCCTGTGAGATGAGAAGCAAGGACGGGGCGGCCAGAGGCGTCGAACGGGACGGGTGCCTCCTGCATGAGATGCTGCCGGGAAAGATTGCCCGGCACCAAGTGTCAGTGTCACAGGGGAGCGACTCCAACAGCAGATGCCCCAACAGCAGATGCCCCAACAGCAGATGCCCCGACCCTGACTCTCGCCACTCCAAGCACATAACTGCCAACTAACACAGGCCTCAGCATCACATTTCTATTTCACCGAGCCACGTGAAAGGCAACAGAGGAGATGGAGGGCACGTTGGTGCCATAAACCACAGCAAGTGGGGAGTGCCGTGGACTTGGAGGACTCTCTGTGAGACCACCAGAATCTGGAAGAGGTCTGGGTCTGAGCATTAGGGCAACATGGAATCTATTTATCTAAAGTGCAATCCATAACTCAACTCAGGCCCTACAAAGTGCAGTTGTTTATTATTAGCAGTAAGAGTCCAGAGGGCACTTCCCTCAAGGAGCAGAAAACCAGAGCCCGTAATTAGCCTGCCAACTCTCAGTGAATAAAGGAGGGCCTTTAAACTCCAGAAAACGGGGGTTCTCCTTTTAATGGTGTTAAGAATTTGCTGCAATCTCATTCACCCTACTTGGCTTTTCCTAGGATTTTCACCTCCTTTCCTGGCACCCAAAGCCGTGAGTTACCCTCCCCCATCACCTCTGTGATTTTCCTTAATCTCCGCCTCCTGCCTGCTGGAGCAGCCCCTTCTTGCCCTCAGGGGGACCCCTCCTGCAGCCCTCCCGCTTATGGAAGTGGCCCAGGCAGGCGGCTGTATCTGCCGTGTCCTGAACACAAATGCCTATTGGATAACTCGAGCTCGCTTCATATTACAAACTGTAAACTTCCTGAGGGGAAAACTCGGCCCTGTCATTGATCCATCCCGTTTCCAGGCATGGGGATGTCACACGTCAACTGCTAAACGTGCTTGAATGACAAAAAATACTGTTTCTACACAATAAAAGGTAGAGTTTAAGCTGGTCTTTCCCTAACCAAATGCTGTGAATTCATAATCCTTAAAGTGTAAACTTGAGTTACTCTACACTAGTTGCTTGAGTGGATAAAAGAAGGTCTGGTTTAAACGTCTCTTGGTGGTGACCACTCCTCTTCCAAATGCTTCTGACATGGTAACTGCACTCCAGATGGTTCAGTGTCTTAATGTTATTTAGGGACCAGGTTGACCTATCTTCCTGCTGGATGTGTGACTCCTACGATGGGCTCCTGGGTCTCCCGCCCTTGCAGTTGGCCTTGACACTGAGCGACAGTGACTCCCGCTGGGGCCCGAACCCTGTGTATGCTCAACCCCAACCGCGGAACCGGCCTGGGGCCCAAATCCTGTGTAAGGTCAACCCCAACCGCGGAATCGGCCTGGGGCCCGAACCCTGTGTATGCTCAACCCCAACAGCGGAACCGCCATGGGGCCCGAACCCTGTGTAAGGTCAACCCCAACCGCGGAACCGGCCTGGGGCCCGAACCCTGTGTATGCTCAACCCCAACAGCGGAACCGCCATGGGGCCCGAACCCTGTGTAAGGTCAACCCCAACCGCGGAACCGGCCTGGGGCCCGAACCCTGTGTACGGTCAACCCCAACCGCGGAACCGGCCTGGAAGCCGCACCACAAGGCAACCTGTGTGAGGAGAAGATGTGGCATCATATATATTTGGAGGTGCTTTTTTAACTTTTTGGAGTGACAAGTCATTGTTTCCTAAAAAAAGGCACATCCTGAGGACGCAGCAGGTGGTCACCCCAAAGCTTTTGTTCAGCGTGTAACAGGAAATGTCTTTCCAGACGCTGACATCTCAGACTCTGTACTCATGATTACTGTTCATCTGCTTGCCAAAAAGAGAAGCAACATCTCTTCCTGCCCCCGGAGTGCTGGGCGGATGAGTCGCTGTTCTATTGGGAGGAGCTGTGAGATTCCGTGAGGCAAATGTCACGGACGTCCCGGGTGTGTGAGATTCCGTGAGGGAAACATCACGGAGATCCCGGGCGTCTGAGATTCCGTGAGGGAAACGTCACAGAGGTCCCGGGCGTGTGAGATTCCGTGAGGGAAACGTCACGGAAGTCCCGGGCGTGCGAGATTCCGTGAGGGAAACGTCACGGAGGTCCCGGGCGTGCGCGATTCTGTGAGGCAAATGTCATGGAGGTCCCGGGTGTGTGAGATTCCGTGAGGCAAACGTCACGGAGGTCCCGGGTGTGTGAGATTCCGTGAGGGAAACGTCACGGAAGTCCCGGGCGTGTGAGATTCTGTGAGGCAAACGTCACAGAGGTCCCGGGCGTGTGAGATTCCGTGAGGGAAACGTCACGGAAGTCCCGGGCGTGTGAGATTCCGTGAGGGAAACGTCACAGAGGTCCCGGGCGTGTGAGATTCCGTGAGGGAAACGTCACGGAAGTCCCGGGCGTGCGAGATTCCGTGAGGCAAATGTCACGGAGGTCCCGGGTGTGTGAGATTCCATGAGGCAAACGTCACGGAGGTCCCGGGTGTGTGAGATTCCGTGAGGGAAACATCACGGAAGTCCCGGGCGTGTGAGATTCCGTGAGGCAAACGTCACAGAGGTCCCAGGCGTTTGAGATTCCGTGAGGGAAACGTCACGGAAGTCCCGGGCGTGCAAGATTCCGTGAGGCAAATGTCACGGAGGTCCCGGGCGTGTGAGATTCCGTGAGGCAAACGTCACGGGGGTCCCGGGTGTGTGAGATTCCGTGAGGGAAACATCACGGAAGTCCCGGGCGTGTGAGATTCCATGAGGCAAACGTCACAGAGGTCCCGGGCGTGTGAGATTCCGTGAGGGAAACGTCACGGAAGTCTCGGGCGTGTGAGATTCCGTGAGGGAAACGTCACAGAGGTCCTGGGCGTGTGAGGGAAATGTCACAGAGGTCCCGGGCACGTGAGATTCCATGAGACAAACGTCACGGAGGTCCTGGGTGTGTGAGATTCCGTGAGGGAAACGTCACGGAGGTCCCGGGCGTGCGAGATTCCGTGAGGCAAACGTCACGGAGGTCCCGGGTGTGTGAGATTCCGTGAAGCAAACGTCACGGAGGTCCCGGGTGTGTGAGATTCCGTGAGGCAAATGTCACGGAGGTCCCGGGTGTGTGAGATTCCGTGAGGCAAACGTCACGGAGGTCCCGGGCGTGTGACATTCCGTGAGGGAAACGTCACGGAGGTCCCGGGCGTGTGAGATTCCGTGAGGGAAACGTCACAGAGGTCCTGGGCGTGTGAGGGAAATGTCACAGAGGTCCCGGGCATGTGAGATTCCATGAGACAAACGTCACAGAGGTCCCGTGTGTGTGAGATTCCATGAGGCAAACGTCACGGAGGTCCCGTGTGAAATTCCGTGAGGGAAATGTCACAGAGGTCCCAGGTGTTGTGACTATTGCCCCCATTGTTAAATTGCAGTCAATATGTAGCCAGTGCTATTTTGGCAACTGACAATCATCTTTGAACGTATTGATGCATCTCCAAGCAGCTGCTCAGAACAGCCCTTCCATGGGATTCTGGGGCCTGGGAAAGGCCCACGACCGCCACCTGCACTGAGGCCGGGCTTAGATTGTTCAATTAACGGGTGTGATGGAAACATGTGGAAAACAAGGCTCCTGGATTTTCCTTCTGCCCCACACAATTTCCCAAATACCTGTTTAAGGGATATGGGGTGGATGCGGTAGGGCAGACGTGGGGGCATGTGAAGGTGAGTGAGAAGAGCAGGAAGAAGACAAAAAGGCAAAGCCAAGCCAGGCACTCCTGCAGGTGGCTTCCATGAACCTCCAGACACGTCCAAGCTCCTTAGAGCCAGGGGAGGCGACGACGTGAAATTATCCCACAGATATTCACAACAGAATATCAGCTCAGAAAGGCCCCCCAGTCCCAACCTCCATGACAAAAAGGGAATGGTCATATCCCACAGATACTCACAACGGAGTGGAGTATCAGCTCAGAAGACACCGCACCCCCCACCTCCATGACAAAAAGGGAATGGCCGTAATAACATCTCTCAGGGTTATCAGGACGCTTAGAGAGGATAAGGCGCCTGGAAGTCACTGCAGTCACTGACAGCCTTGTTGATGGGTACTCGCTGGCTTAGGGCGTGAAGCAACTGAACTCGCTGCACAGCGGGCTGGAGAGGAGGCCTGGGAACTGTCCCCCACCCGTTTCTCTGCCTGGTCACAGTTTTGCTGCTGGCAGATTCTATGTCGATGCTGGTTAGAATAAGGAGGAAATAATTTTATGAACTGCCTTAATGGTGAGTACGCTGGATCTGCCCCCAAGGTTCGCAGATGCTCGGCCCTCTAGTAACTCCAGCATAGCTGCTGCTAGGGCACCTACCACAGACTGCAGCGCTGCCCTCGGTGCCACCGACCCATCGCAATCCTGGCACCAATGTTCACAAAACCTTCTGCCCGCAGACAAGGGCGCAAAGCGAGAAGCACCTTGGCGAGGCCACCGAGTGGGGAGGTGGCCCGGGCAGGATTCGACCCTGGGGCTGTCTCCAGAGCCCGCATTGCCACACTCCAAACCTGACTCACTCATGAACACAGGGACAGGGCAAGGAAGCTGGCCTGGTTAATACTTCCTGGAGGGAGGTGACAGGAGGCCCCGAGATCATGGAACTCCGAGGCGAGAAGTCCTTGGCAGAAGGGAACCTGCTTCTCAGTTCCGGAGTGTTCTCTGTGGGGCAAGTTGGGCGTCACTGCTGATTGGATCTCCTGAATGTGTGTTTGTGTTTAAAGCTAGATTACATTGTTCTTCCACCAGCCTTGGTTCCTACTGCACTGCTGACTGGATCTCCTGAATGTGTGTGAGTGTGTGTGTGTGAGTGTGAGTGTGTGTGTGTGTGTGAGTGTGAGTGTGTGTGTTTACAGCTAGTTTACATTGTTCTTCCACTAGCCTTGGTTTCTACTGCTTTTGGAATTGTGTGGTCCTTTTTACATTTTCTTTTTTACCATTTTGCATGATGGAATTAGCGAGTCAATAAATGACTAGTGGATGTTAGGATGTTTTGTGGAATGATGGTATGACGGTTCCTAGGAGCTTGATCAAACAACCCCACATCCAAAAATTCCTCCTTTTAGTCAATTTCAGCATCCTACTTGCATCTTAAACCATTCTATCTCATCCCAGAGGCAAAGCTGACCGGCCTTAGGGGTCACCTTGTACCTGCAGATGGCCCTGAAAGTGCCCTGGAGACAACACCTGATTCCAGGATGACGTCAGCAGAATGATGGTGTCACTCAGCCCGAGGCTTATGTCCATTGCACCACAGCCCTGAAGTTTGACAAAGAAACTCTCAGAGCCCCCATTATATCGGGCTAGAAAATACAGGAAAACCACCTTTCTGTGGAGCCCTGGAGAGGAACAAATGGAATAAAAATGAACAGCATTCGCCCGGCACGTGTTCAACAGTTATGCCGTCGCCACCAGTGCCAGGGTGCTCCTCTGCCCCAACACCCCAAGAGAGGCCGCAAGACGCAGAACCCTCGCCCGACCTTTCCTGGGAAACGAGTCACTTCACCATCCCCCGTCCCCCGGGTCAGACCCTTCAACAGCTCCCCACACTCCTGCTCTAAAGTCTGAGCTCCCTAGCAAACCTGGGTCTGAAATCTGCCTCTTCTGCACCAGGTTATATGATTTGGGGCAAGTGAGTCACCTTTGCAACACAGTGAGCTCCCTCCAACCTGGAGATCCTTAACTGGCATGGAGATTATAAGGCCAAGGCGTGCAACGTGCGCAGAGCACTTAGCCCAGGCCTGGAGAGGGCCAGATTCACCAACCAGTCATCGTCACCAGCATGCTTGCCTCCCGGTGGCCTCACCCTCCTCCCAGGCTACAGCTGCCCTGAGCCTCCTCCTGCTCCCTAACCACACCCCACTGTTTCCCGCAAACTCCGAGGGTGCTGCCTGCTGAAAACGACCTTGCACTCCAGCCCCAGGCTCGGCATCTGCCTGGGAAATCTCTACTAGTTTAAGATGCAGGTCGACCACCCGTTCTGTGGTCACTAGAATTCGCAGTGATGATTTCCCTCCAACTGCCCTGAGAACAGCGCGTGCACCCCGGGTACCCACTGGCTCCCAGAGAAGAATGGCCTCAGCCTCTTCTGCCCGTCTCCTTCACACGGGATGCTTCCAGCATTAAACTGTTACCAAGAGAAGAAAGGAAGACATGAGCTTGCGGACAGCCGCTCCCCAGAAGCGCCCACACTCCAGTCTGCGTTTCGGACGCATCTCCCACTACTGAGCACCTGTGTACACTTTCACCAAGTTTCATGTCTTGAAATAATAAATCACAAATGCTTCATATTTTAGTATATGTTCTCTTTAGTGCAACTTAAATTTTAACCTTTTAAATGGCTTGCTCTCTATGGTTTTAGAATGAGGCATGACGGTTGCATAAAAGAGACCGCTGTGCAACTTGGAGACATCAAGTGGCTTTAAACACAATGCAAACACGCTGCTTCCCCAAACACAACGCAAACACACTGCTTCCCCAAAGCCTTTCAGCTGTCTGAGTTCTATGACCATCATATAATATTAACAGTGATCATGGTGAAAAGCTACAGAAATGTTTTTATTGGCCAAATATCATTTTTACATATATTACTTTAATGTAATAATCACGCAATGATTAAATGCTATTATTCCTATTTGATAAATAGACAAAGGCTCAGAGACCTTAAATAATTTACCCAGGGTGCACACCTGCTGAATGGAGGCAGTACGTTCTCTGCCTGAAGGCTTGCAAAGGGTGTTCCGTACTCTGCAGCTTCGTTTAGAATTATGATTCAAAAAGAGCAGACATTCATTAATAAAGATGCCTCGGACCAGGAGGCGGTGATAACAGAAATGAGGACTGGGGTGGAAGCAGCCTTCTCTGCCCTGTCTCCTGGGCTCCACCGCCTGCCCTGTGGACTTACTCAAGCCAGGAGCGGTGCCTCCCTCGCAAACCTCCGCCTCTGTGGCCCCGGGCAGCATGTGCAACATGGTGAGGATACTAACAGCAGCTACCTCATAGGCTGCTGTGATTAACAAATCAGTAAGGATATTTCCAGGGCTTGGAACCCTTCCTGACAAGTAAACATTTGCAATGACTCTTAGCAGTGCATTCTATAGATCAGTAATGTCAACTAACTAGATCAAATATCAATATCAGAAAACACACTTGCACACACCAAGCACTGCCACATCTATAATCTAAAAGTAAATAATTGCTAGGCTAATTACAAATTGGCTGTTTTCCCATGTAGTTATTTTATTTATTGTGTGAACTGATATTATTCTGGAGTCTCCCCTTCCGTGAACCTCCATGTCTGTCACATTCTCCTCCCCTCCACGCCAGGACCCCGCTCCGAGACGCCCTCTCGGCTCCATCCTAGATCCTGGCTGCTGTGTCCTTACCTAGCTCCTTGTTTCCCTGCCCCACCCACAAGGCATCTCGAGGGAATCGAACGTGAATGCATTTGTGTCATCCCAGCTCTTACCGAAAGCACTCCAGTAGGTCCCGCTGCTGGGTGAGTAAATCTCACGTTCCCCGCACTGGCAGTGACACACTTCCAGGAACTGGCCCCAGCTCGCTCGAATGTCTACCTTCCACCGGCTCCATGGTGCGCGTCTCCCACCCATGCCACCGCAGGGCTGTGCGCTCACTGCATCCTGAGTGCCCCTGAGCCCCGCTCCACCTCACTGGATGCTGCCGATCCCACAGGCTGCGGAGTCCGTCCCCCACGCGCCACTGCCCAGAGTTGCCGACCCGTGGACTCTCCCTTCCTGCCTCTCACATGCGCGCTGGACTCGATAGTGTGAGCTCTGCAGAATGTGCTGGAGCTCCGTGTCTCAGGGCAGCGCAGACGTGATGGCAGGGCAGACTCAGTGACCTACGGCAGCTCAATGCCCAACTCACCACGCAGAGGTCACAGAAGGACAGGCAACAACTGCCAAAAGCACTCATTTCCTAGTGACACAATTCTGTTAGGGCCACAAGTGCCAACTCTAAATCCAGCCACCCAGCATCTCACATAGACATCACACGTGTGAGCATTAAATGCACGCTCATTTCCTAGTGACACAATTCTGTTAGGGCTACGAGAATTCAGCAACCCACATCTCATGCAGACATCACACGTGTGAGCATTAAATGCACGCTCAGGTCCTACTGATACAATTCTGTTGGGGTCACAAGGGCCAACTCTCAGTCCAGCCACCTGGCATCCCACACGGATGTTGTGTGTGTGAGCACTGCCACAGTCAAGGGACCTCAGGTGAACACAGCTTTGCCCTTTTCTCCATTTGTCCAAAACAGGAACATGGCAGTCGCCCCCAAGCCCCTGTTGGGAACGCACAGTGGTTTCTGCCCTGCTTAGAGCACCGTGACTGAGATGCCCCGTGCAAACGAAGTGGCAGCCACACATGACTCGCCACCTCAGGAACAGAACACGGAGGAGACGCTGTTGTGAGCTGAAGATCAGCTCCTTAGCAAGACCCATCTATCAGGCACATGGCTCTTACGCACTGCAGCACAGAGGCTGCAACCTCCCACGTCAGCTTCTGGAAACCACAGCTCCACTTCACCTTCTGCCTCAACTATCTGCTGTATCTATGTTCACCTAAAATGTTATTGTCTATCAACGGTTCACAGACAAGGAACAGGAGAAATGCGTCCTGGGATTGCAGGGACGATGGCAAAGTCCTCTCCAGGGGGTGCCGTGCAGGGAGGAAGGTGGTACCTGTCACTCATAGCCTTCTGCGTGGGTGCCTCCTCCCGGGGTCTCCATCCATCAATCCCTAGCCCAGCCTGGGGAGCACGGGGCTGCTTTTGCTTCAGTATTGCAAATTTACATTCTTCCCATCGTTTGTTCATTTCTTATTTAACTTTAAAGTTCAGGGGTAAATGGGCAGGTTTGTTTTAGAAGTAAACTTGGGTCGTGGGGGCTTATTGTATAGATTATTTCACCCCCCAGGTATTAAGCCTAGTACCCATTAGTTAATTCCTGATCCTCTCCCTTCTCCCACCCTCAACCCGGCCCCACTGTGTATGTTGTCCCTCTCGGTGCCTGTCAGTTCTCCTCATTCAGCTCCACTTAGAGGTGAGAATACTATGCAGCCACTAAAAAGAATGAGATCACGTGCCCTGCAGGAACATGGATGGAGCTGGAGGCCATTATCCTTAGCAATCTAACACAGGGACAGAAAACACTCTTCCCATTGTTAAAGATCAAACAGTGCACTCAAGCTTTAATTTTTCTACAGACCACGAAACACGTTAAGTGTACTGCCCTTGCACACGATGTGTGCCACCCACACTCGACAGTAAGTGTACTGCCCTTGCACAGCCACCCACACTCGACAGTAAGTGTACTGCCCTTGCACAGCCACCCACACTCGACAGTAAGTGTACTGCCCTTGCACAGCCACCCACACTCGACAGTAAGTGACTGCCCTTGCACAGCCACCCACACTCGACAGTAAGTGACTGCCCTTGCACAGCCACCCACACTCGACAGTAAGTGTACTGCCCTTGCACAGCCACCCACACTCGACAGTAAGTGTACTGCCCTTGCACAGCCACCCACACTCGACAGTAAGTGTACTGCCCTTGCACAGCCACCCACACTCGACAGTAAGTGTACTGCCCTTGCACAGCCACCCACACTCGACAGTAAGTGTACTGCCCTTACACACAACATGCACCACATTCGACGGTAAGTGTACTGCCCTTGCACAGGACGTGCACCACACACACTCAACGGTAAGTGTACTGCCCTTGCACACCCACACACACTCGACAGTAACTGTACTGCCCTGGCACACCCACACAGACTCAATGGTAAGTGTGCTGCCCTTGCACACCCACACACACTCGACGGTAATTGTACTGCCCTGGCACACCCAGTCGACGGTAAGCATACTGCCCTTGCACACTGACACGCTTGATGGTGTGCTGCCCTCACACACCCACACACACTCGACAGTGTGCTGCCATTGCACACGATGTGTGCCACACGCACTGGTTCTTGTGTGAAATTACAACAGATAATCCATGGTGATGCAACACAGAAGACTAAGAGCTGGGCACGGTGGCTCCTGCCTGAGATCCCAGGCACACGGGCCTGAAGCAGAGGACTGCTTGAGCTCAAGACCAGGCTGGGCAACATTGTGAGGCCCCTTCTCAAAAATGATAATAAATGAATCAAAGAAATCAGAAGCGTGCTTCTGGTGGCCAGGGTGTAACTGGGATTTGGCAGGAGGGAACGCTCTGCAGTGTGGAAGAGTTCCACGTCTGACTGGCATGTGGGTTACATGGACATATGTGTAGCTAGAATCTGGGCACTTCACTGTAAGTTATAAGTCAATTAAAAAACAAATCTGGCTTTATCAGAAAAAAGTGTAATTTACGTCCTCAGTTTGGAAAAGGAGGAAGTTCACGTCACTGTGAAGGCACATCCATTTTTACTTATTTATTGAATGTTATGGAATTGATACAACATGAACATTCAACAATTCTTTGCCAGTGCTTCTCCATTCAAATAAAAAAATTATGTGTTCACTTTAACTGGCTAGTATAAAACACCAAGTATTTTAATTGCATTTACTCAAACAAGCATCCAATCTTTATTTCTAAAGGCACGGTTTAATTTCCCATCTACTCGTTATTTTGTTTTCACATAATTATTTGTACACTTTAGCTACTGTTATATACTGAATATCTTTCAGTCTATTCTTAGCAATCACTGGGTATAAATGTAAGGGTATGCCGTGAACCCTAAAATATTTTTATTCTCTAGTTCAAAATTTTGTACTCCCATTTATATTTCATAAAAATATTATAGCTGTGTAACTGTATATTAAGGTGGCCCCTGATATTCCAGGGTCGCTTAATATATGTTTAAAACACAAATTAGGATTGCAATACACATAGAAAAACAGCTTTATTTAAAACTGCATGCAAAGGCAACTTGGAGAGTTAATTTAATTACACAGTGCCAAATTAATTCCACCGTCTTGAGTAAAAGGAAACTTGGAGAGAGGTGGAAGCCTCATCCCAGCAGCCAGGTGCCTGTGGGGCAGCCACGTCTCTTGCAGAGCCTGCTGGGGACGCTCCTGAAGGTGTGGACAGCAGGGAGCTGAGCCTTCCCAGAAAGCTGGCAGCACAAGTGTCCATCGACTGCACAGTCAGAGTCCCCCAGCGAAGCACTCCCTCCACCCACAGCCTCAGCTGGTGCCTGGCCACCTTGGCACAGGCGAAAATGGGGGGTGGGGGAATGAGAGAGCTGAGTGCTCACCCACCCCCACTCTGCATCTAAGGCCTCTGAAATACTCAGCCATCCCATCTCCCAAATTGCAAAGTGGAGAAAAACAACAGGCTTTGCCATTTACTTTCTTTGGGCACTTGAGGGATTAAAGAAATTAAGTCCCTGAAACACTCCAGGCACTTTGGTATCGTAAACAGGTGTAGAAAAGTCACTTGATGCTTCTTTTAAAGCCTGTTTAAGTGTGCACATGCTCTTAAAACTCAACCCCTTATAGAAGCTGGGAGTTTTACAGCAGGGGCTCGAAATTAATCTGTAGGGACCTAAAGCTGGTGAACTGGAGACGAGACCAGGGCGGCGTGGGCCCCAGGTGCAGAGGCCGGTGTGCCCAGGCTGAAGGGGCAATGGTGTGGGGCAGGGGGGCTCCTAACTGAAAGAGCAGTTGCAGCTGAATCACACCCACACCCTCTTGTGAGAAACCAGGGTGGACAGATGCTGGCGGTGGGCACAGCTGACCTGGGTCTTCCCTGGAATTGGCAGAGAATCATTGCAGGTAAGACTGTCTCTGAGCCAAAGGGGAAGAAAAGCACTGCCCAGCAGTTGCTAAAACTTCTACATTTTGTGCACTTCCCAAAATCCATTCAAGGTGGGTTTGAGAGCTGAGCTGCATTTATACTTCAGAATCTGGGCAAAATTAAGTAGGAGCTAAGCTTACCTAAAAAAAAGAGAGATGTCTAACTTTGCCTAAAAAGGTGCCTTTCGTTAAATCCCAGTTGAAACCAAGTGCTGTGTTTGTCAACGTTACTTGATATTTATGTTCAGCTGTTTTAATAAGGACGTCTATTATTATAGCAGAAGCAGGACAGAAACACAGAGTGAGTGGGGGCACCAACCCCCAAATCCATTAAGGAAGCCTTAGGAACTCCCTCAACCACTGCCACCGCCACTGCTGCCGCCCCTCCGCAACCCCGGCCAGCAGACACTCTCTCCAAGCGCAGGTCTTGCCCAAATGAGAAAAGAACAATTCACAGCCCTCTAACCTCACCCACCAAATGCTATCACGTGGTAACTCCATAAATCATCTCTGGGACATTACCTGCTTATGCACATTTAACTACTATCTTCCTGAATTTAACATTTCCCTGCCTTCAGGCAGTCCTCCGGGGGTCCCTAGTTCTCTCCAAGGCCTTGGATTCTGGGGTAATGACTCTGACACCACCAGCTCAGGTCCCAGAGCACCGTGTCCCATGAGCTGAGAGGCACCAACCACCACTGGCCATGGCCGAATCCCTTCACCACCACTGGCCACGGCCACAGCCCTTCACCGGGAGATGCTGTGTTGGAGATGTCGATCACTGAGGCCTCAGCTGGTGCTTCCTGAAGGCTTTGCTGGCCGGAATGCATCTCCCTGAAATTCATATGCTGAAAGGGAGCCCCCACAGTGGTGGTATTATGAGGTGGGGCCCTTGGGAGATGATGAGGTAAGAGGCCCTGGAGAGCTCCCTCACCCCTTGTACCCTGTGAGGGCACAGCAGGTGTGGTCTACACACCAGGAAGCAGCCCTCACCAGACATCGAACCTGCTGGCATCTCAATCTCAGACTTCCAGCCTCTAGAACTGTGAGAAATAAACTTCTATTATTTATAAATGACCTAGTGTGGGGTATTTGTGACAGCTGCCCAAATGGACTAAGACAGGCTTTGCCTATTTTCTCTGAGGTTGAAATGTAATGAAATAAAAGTCATCTAAGAGTAAAGACACAAACAAATGAAGCAACACAATCGCAAGCCAGAACAATGGTGCTAATATCTGACATCAACACCATGCATTCAGAATCGGGTCTCGTGCATCTGCTCCGGTGTGCCCAAAGATGGTGGGAAAGTCAGGAGGCCTCCTGACAACAGATGGCAGAACTCGGGCCAGGAGACCACACATTTTTCGATCTGGTAAACCTGATAAAACAGCCAGGCTTATGATATAATGCCTCTCCTGAGCAAAAAATACTCCAAGAACATACGGAGAAAAGATAAATAAATATGGGCAATGGCAAGGGATCTAAAATAAAGCACAATCACAGGACACAAGACAAACCGCATAGCTGAACTGCAAGAAAAGATGTAAGGGCCCCAGCAAAGTTCTTCATTCATGGGGTGCTGGGCGTGCGTGCGTCCACTCGAAGGCTGGGACTTTTAGACCACGTATAACAGGTTAGACCATGTTGACTATATTGTTATAATATGCCAAAGAAAGTATAATTTTTTGAAGTGTTAATGCGACATCAACGATGATCTCAAGGACTGACTTTTCCCAGTTTCCAGAGCCTGGCCACCGCTTGTGTGAACCGTGACTTGCTTGCTCAGTTCCCAGAATTGTGCTGCTTTGCTGCCATGGCATGAAAGGCAGGTCCTGTCTGAGTTGGTGACATATCTAGTCCTTGGCTCTCTCTGCTACTCCATGAGAGGGTGGAAAGAAGCCAGAGGGTGTGTTGAGAGAATGTGACCACCAGGCCTGCCTCCAACCGAGACCTCTTTCCACAGGGACCCAGTGACCATCTCTTCTGGACCAGCAGACGGGGCTGCACCTGAGTGCACAACAGGCAGCATGGCAGACGGAGCCCTGGGCTGCCTCCCTGGTGACCTTCACCTTCCTGCCCTCTCGCCCAGCCTCCAACTTCTTCCCCGTCAACCCCACAAGGAAACACGACCCCTGTCGTGCACTGGATTGAGATGGGTGGGACCTGAGCATGAACAACGTCAATAAACCAGTTAAATTCACAGGGCGGCTGTGAGGGCAGGATCTCCAAGTGTAGTTCCTTCTGGCTGTAATGCTCGTGACTACATTCATCGTTCTACATCTCATGTAAATACTCAGAACAAACACCCAAAGTGTAGATCTAACGGAGCTCACAGAAACTCTGGTGATATGGTTTGGCTCTGTGTCCCCACCCAAATCTCACCTCGAACTGTAATCCCCATGTGTGGAGCGAGGAACCTGAGGAAAGTGTCTGGATCACAGGGACGGTTTTCCCCATGCTATTCTTGTGGTAATGAGGGAATTCTCACGAGGTCTGATGGTTTGAAAGTGGCAGCATTTCCCACACTGTCTCTCACCTACCGCCATGTAACACGTGCCTTGCTTCCCCTTCATCTTCCACCACAATTGTAAGTTTCCTGAGGCCTCTCCAGCCATGTGGAACTGTGAGTCAGTTAAACCTCTTTTGTTTATAAATTACCCAGTTTCAGGTAGTATTTTTATGCAGTGTATGAATGGGCTTATCCATCTGGGAAGATGGACCAGTCAATATTTATCGGGCGGATGGTATGACATAGGCCCTGTGCCAGCTCCCACATCTGCGAATCGCTTTGTCCTCACTTTGCAGATGGCAAAGCCGAGAGGGAGGATGCGACCTCCCCATGGCTATGTGGATAATAAACAACGGGCACAGGGTTTTAATCTAGGTTTGTGTAAATCCAATGCCGAGTGCCTTCCTCTATACTACATGCCCAAATAAGTATTAAGATTTACTTTCCCGATGAGGTATAGGGTGAATGACAAAGATCTAGTTATTCATTCACACAGAGCAGGTCAAGAATTGAGCTCTTAAAGGTGCTGATATCTAACCCCTAAAAGTTTGACAAAACCAAGCCATGGCAAAACACAAGGGATGTATTTATTCCAACACCCTCCAAATTTCTCAGAGACAGACTGGCATTTAGTCATGTTCCTACTGTCCTAATGGAGTCGCATATAGAGCTAGAACACAATGTTCTCCCTTCCACTGACAGCCTCAATGAAACATGATAAACAACTTTTATTAGCCCAAGTACATATATTAGTGATCAAATTATGCTTTTATAATAGTTTCCTTTTTATAAATGAAGGCTATTTTAGTCACAACTATGATGGTAATGTAATTTTTACAGCTAATGATATTCTTCTGGACTCTTTTAGATTAGATGTGCTACAGAGATTCACAGAAAACTAAGCCCACACGTACATGTATTGATCTTCCCCATGAAATGCACTATTGGGCTAAATTTAACACACTTCTTAGGTTTTTTTTTTAAAATCAAGCATGTGAAGACATTTCTGTGCTCACTGCGGGTTACTAGTTAGTAATTTTATGGCCATAGCAGAAATGTCATCAGATAAATTTTAACATTTAACAAAATAGATTCTTCCAGATCTGAAGACAGAAGGTAGCAAAAAAGTGTGGGAAGGGGAATCCTAGAATAATTTTATTGGAAAACTAAATTTAGTTTTGAGTTCCATCCAAACTCTCTCCTGTCATCTGACTACTTTTATAGGGAAATATCTAATTTTCATTCTTGGGGGAACTAGAAAGGGGAATTAATTTTCTTATCATCATAAGAAGGGTGATGAACAACATAAGCTCTCTCAGAGCTGCCTCCTGCCTGTCTCACCTTCTTTCCCTCACTCACTTAGGATTTTGTAAACATAGATAAACAGAACTCAGCTGCTATAGTCTAGATGATGGTAATGATGGAGGTAGTGATAATGATGGTGGTGATGATGACAATGATGATAGTGATAGTAATGATGATAATGATTTTGGTCATGGTAATGATGGTGGTGATGGTGATAGTGGTGGTGATGGTAATGATGATGGTGGTGATGGTGATGATGACAATGATGGTAAAGACGACGATGATGATGGTGGCAGTAATAATGATTTTGGTGATGTAATGATGATGACGACAATGATGGTAATGGTGGTGGTGATGGTAATAATGACTTTGGTGATGGTAATGATGATAATGATTTTGGTGATGGTGATAATGACTTTGATGATGGTAATGATGATGATGATGGTAATGGTAATGATGACGATAATGATTTTGGTGATGGCAATGATGGTGGTAATGGTAATGATAATGATTTTGGTGATGGTAATGATGATGGTGGTAATGGTAATGATAATGATTTTGGTGATGGTAATGATGGTGGTAATGGTAATGATGATAATGATTTTGGTAATGGTAATGACGGTGGTGATGATGGTGGTGATGATGGTGGTGATGGTGGTGATGGGTATGTGGGTAGACTTATCACATTCCCTGCAGAATAGCAATTTTTCTGTTTTTCCTTCTTCCTTAGAATCCTGGAAAATGTACCTAATTCCTAACTCACCCTTCAATACCCAGTTCCAGCCCGACTTAGATCTCCCCTAAGCCCTGAGCCCTCTGTCACTGTTTAACACTGCTCCCATGACCCCTACAACAGCCCAGGCATAGCTGTGTCATGAACAATGGGATCGAGCGGAGGAGCCAAGATGGCCAAATAGGAATAGCTCCAGTCTACAGCTCCCAGCGTGAGCGACACAGAAGACGGTGATTTCTGCATTTCCATCTGAGGTACCAGGTTCATCTCACTAGGGAGTGCCAGAGGTGGGCGCAGGTCAGTGGGTGCGTGCACCGTGCGGGAGCCGAAGCAGGGCGACGCATTGCCTCACTCAGGAAGCGCAATGGGTCAGAGAGTTCCCTTTCCTAGTCAAAGAAAGGGGTGACAGACGGCACCTGGAAAATCGGGTCACTCCTACCCGAATACTGTGCTTTTTCCGATGGGCTTAAAAAATGGCGCACCAGGAGATTATATCCTGCACCTGGCTCAGAGGGTCCTACGCCCATAACGTCTTGCTGATTGCTAGCACAGCAGTCTAAGATCAAACTAGGCGGCAGGGAGGCTGGGGGAGGGGCGCCCACCATTGCCCAGGCTTGCTTAGGTAAACAAAGCAACCGGGAAGCTCCAACTGGGTGGAGCCCACCACAGCTCAAGGAGGCCTGCCTGCCTCTGTAGGCTACACCTCTGGGGGCAGGGCACAGACAAACAAAAAGACAGCAGTAGCCTCTGCAGACTTAAATGTCCCTGTCTGACAGCTTTGAAGAGAGCAGTGGTTCTCCTAGCACACAGCTGGAGATCTGAGAACGGGCAGACTGCCTCCTCAAGTGGGTCTCTGACCCCTGACCCCTGAGCAGCCTAACTGGAGGCACCCCCCAGTAGGGGCAGACTGACACCTCACGTGGCCGGGTACTCCTCTGAGACAAAACTTCCAGAAGAACGATCAGGCAGCAGCATTCGCGGTTCACGAAAAACCACTGTTCTGCGGACACCGCTGCCGATACCCAGGCAAACTGGGTCTGGAGTGGACCTCTAGCAAACTCCAACAGACCTGCAGCTGAGGGTCCTGTCTCTTAGAAGGAAAACTAACAAACAGAAAGGACATCCACACCAAAAACCCATCTGTACATCACCATCATCAAAGACCAAAAGTAGATAAAACCACAAAGATGGGGAAAAAACAGAGCAGAAAAAATGGAAACTCTAAAAAGCAGAGCACCTCTCCTCCTCCAAAGCATCACAGTTCCTCACCAGCAATCGAACAAAGCTGGACGGAGAATGACTTTGACGAGATGAGAGAAGAAGGGTTCAGACGATCAAACTACGAGCTACAGGAGGAAATTCAAACCATAGGCAAAGAAGTTAAAAACTTTGAAAAAAATTTAGAAGAATGTATAACTAGAATAACCAATACAGAGAAGTGCTTAAAGGAGCTGATGGAGCTGAAAGCCAAGGCTCGGGAACTATGTGAAGAATGCAGAAGCCCCAGGAGCCGATGTGATCAACTGGAAGAAAGGGTATCAGCGATGGAAGATGAAATGAATGAAATGAAGTGAGAAGGGAAGTTTAGAGAAAAAAGAATAAAAAGAAACGAACAAAGCCTCCAAGAAATATGGGACTATGTGAAAAGACCAAATCTACGTCTGATTGGTGCACCTGAAAGTGACAGGGAGAACAGAACCAAGTTGGAAAACACTCTGCAGGATATTATCCAGGAGAACTTCCCCAATCTAGCAAGGCAGGCCAACATTCAGATTCAGGAAATACAGAGAACGCCACAAAGCTACTCCTCGAGAAGAGCAACTCCAAGACACATAATGGTCAGATTCACCAAAGTGGAAATGAAGGAAAAAATGTTAAGGAGAGCCAGAGAGAAAGGTCGGGTTACCCACAAAGGGAAGCCCATCAGACTAACAGCTGATCTCTAGGCAGAAACTCTACAAGCCAGAAGAGAGTGGGGGCCAATATTCAACATTCTTAAAGAAAAGAATTTTCAACCCAGAATTTCATATCCAGCCAAACTAAGCTTCATAAGTGAAGGAGAAATAAAATACTTTACAGACAAGCAAATGCTGAGAGATTTTGTCACCACCAGGCCTGCCCTAAAAGAGCTCCTGAAGGAAGCACTAAACATGAAAAGGAACAACCAGTACCAGCCACTGCAAAATCATGCCAAAATGTAAAGACCATCCAGACTAGGAAGAAACTGCATCAACTAACGAGCAAAATAAACAGCTAACATCATAATGACAGGATCAAATTCACACATAACAATATTAACTTTAAATGTACATGGACTAAATGCTCCAATTAAAAGACACAGACTGGCAAATTGGATAAAGAGTCAAGACCCATCAGTGTGTTATATTCAGGAAACCCATCTCACGTGCAGAGACACATATAGGCTCAAAATAAAAGGATGGAGGAAGATCTACCAAGCCAATGGAAAACAAAAAAAGGCAGGGGTTGCAATCCTAGTCTCTGATAAAACAGATTTTAAACCAACAAAGATCAAAGTTGACAAAGAAGGCCATTACATAATGGTAAAGGGATCAATTCAACAAGAAGAGCTAAGTATCCTAAATATATATGCACCCAATACAGGAGCACCCAGATTCATAAAGCAAGTCCTGAGTGACCTACAAAGAGACTTAGACTCCCACACATTAATAATGGGAGACTTTAATACCCCACTGTCACCATTAGACAGATCAATGAGACAGAAAGTCAACAAGGATACCCAGGAACTGAACTCAGCTCTGCGCCAAGCGGACCTAATAGACATCTACAGAACTCTCCACCCCAAATCAACAGAATATACATTTTTTTCAGCACCAAACCACACCGATTCCAAAACTGACCACATACTCTGGAAGTAAAGCTCTCCTCAGCACATGTAAAAGAACAGAAATTATAACAAACTATCTCTCAGACCACAGTGCAATCAAACTAGAACTCAGGATTAAGAAACTCACTCAAAACCGCTCAACTACATGGAAACTGAACAACCTTCTCCTGAAGGACTACTGGGTACATAACGAAATGAAGGCAGAAATAAAGATGTTCTTTGAAACCAACGAGAACAAAGACACAACATACCAGAATCTCGGACACATTCAAAGCAGTGTGTAGAGGGAAATTTATAGCACTAAATGCCCACAAGAGAAAGCAGGAAAGATCCAAAATTGACACCCTAACATCACAATTAAAAGAACTAGAGAAGCAAGAGCAAACACATTCAAAAGCTAGCAGAAGGCAAGAAATAACTAAAATCAGAGCAGAACTGAAGGAAATAGAGACACAAAAAACCCTTCAAAAAATTAATGAATCCAGGAGCTGGTTTTTTGAAAGGATCCACAAAATTGATAGACCGCTAGCAAGACTAATAAAGAAAAAAAGAGAAAAGAATCAAATAGATGCAATAAAAAATGATAAAGGGGATATCACCACCGATCCCACAGAAATACAAACTACCATCAGAGAATATTACAAACACCTCTACGCAAATAAACTAGAAAATCTAGAAGAAATGGATACATTCCTCGACACATACACTCTCCCAAGACTAAACCAGGAAGAAGCTGAATCTCTGAATAGACCAATAACAGGAGCTGAAATTGTGGCAATAATCAATAGCTTACCAACCAAAAAGAGTCCAGGACCAGATGGATTCACAGCCGAATTCTACCAGAGGTTCAAGGATGAACTGGTACCATTGCTTCTGAAACTATTCCAATCAACAGAAAAAGAGGGAATCCTCCCTAACTCATTTTATGAGGCCAGCATCATCCTGATACCAAAGCCTGGCAGAGACACAACCAAAAAAGAGAATTTTAGACCAATATCCTTGATGAACATTGATGCAAAAATCCTCAATAAAATACTGGCAAAACGAATCCAGCAGCACATCAAAAAGCTTATCCAGCATGAACAAGTGGGCTTCATCCCTGGGATGCAAGGCTGGTTCAATATACGCAAATCAATAAATGTAATCCAGCATATAAACAGAACCAAAGACAAAAACCACATGATTATCTTAATAGACGCAGAAAAGGCCTTTGACAAAATTCAACAACACTTCATGCTAAAAACTCTCAATAAATTAGGTATTGATGGGACGTATCTCAAAATAATAAGAGCTATCTATGACAAACCCACAGCCAATATCATACTGAATGGGCAAAAACTGGAAGCATTCCCTTTGAAAACTGGCACAAGACAGGGATGCCCTCTCTCACCACTCCTATTCAACCTAGTGTTGGAAGTTCTAGCCAGGGCAATTAGGCAGGAGAAGGAAATAAAGGTTATTCAATTAGGAAAAGAGGAAGTCAAATTGTCTCTGTTTGCAGATGACATGATTGTATATCTAGAAAATCCCACTGTCTCAGCCCAAAATCTCCTTAAGCTGATAAGCAACTTCAGCAAAGTCTCAGGATACAAAATCAATGTACAAAAATCACAAGCATTCTTATACACCAACAACAGACAAACAGAGAGCCAAACCATGAGTGAACTCCCATTCACAATTGCTTCAAAGAGAATAAAATACCTAGGAATGCAGCTTACAAGGGACGTGAAGGACCTTTTCAAGGACAACTAAAAACCACTGCTCAGTGAAATTAAAGAGGATACAAACAAATGGAAGAACATTCCATGCTCATGGATAGGAAGAATCAATATCATGAAAATGGCCATATTGCCCAGGGTAATTGATAGATTCAATGCCATCCCCATCAAGCTACCAATGACTTTCTTCACAGAATTGGAAAAAACTACTTTAAAGTTCATATGGAACCAAGAAAGAGCCCGCATCGCCAAGTCAATCCTAAGCCAAAAGAACAAAGCTGGAGGCATCACGCTACCTGACTTCAAAGTATATTACAAGGCTACAGTAACCAAAACAGCATGGTACTGGTACCAAAACAGAGATATAGATCAATAGTACAGAACAGAGCCCTCAGAAATAACGCCGCATATCTACAACCATCTGATCTTTGACAAACCTTAGAAAAACAAGCAATGGGGAAAGGATTCCCTATTTAATAAATGGTGCTGGGAAAACTGGCTAGCCATATGGAGAAAGCTGAAACTGGATCCCTTCCTTACACCTTATACAAAAATCAATTCAAGATGGATTAAAGACTTAAACGTTAGACCTAAAACCATAAAAAACCTAGAAGAAAACCTAGGCAATACCATTCAGGACATAGGCATGGGCAAGGACTTCATGTCTAAAACACCAAAAGCAATGGCAACAAAAGCCAAAATTGACAAATGGGATCTAATTAAACTCAAGAGCTTCTGCACAGCAAAAGAAACTACCATCAGAGTGAACAGGCAACCTACAACATGGGAGAAAATTTTCGCAACCTACTCATCTGACAAAGGGCTAATATCCAGAATCTACAATGAACTCAAACAAATTTACGAGAAAAAAACAAACAACCCCATCAAAAAGTGGGCAAAGGACATGAACAGACACTTCTCAAAAGAAGACATTTATGCAGCCAAAAAACACATGAAAAAATGCTCACCATCACTGGCCATCAGAGAAATGCAAATCAAAACCACAATGAGATATCATCTCACACCTGTTAGAATGGCGATCATTAAAAAGTCAGGAAACAACAGGTGCTGGAGAGGATGTGGAGAAATAGGAAAACTTTTACACTGTTGGTGGGACTGTAAACTAGTTCAAGCATTGTGGAAGTCAGTGTGGCGATTCCTCAGGGATCTAGAACTAGAAATACCATTTGACCCAGCCATCCCATTACTGGGCATATACCAAAGGACTATAAATCATGCTGCTATAAAGACACATGCACACGTATGTTTATTGCGGCACTATTCACAATAGCAAAGACTTGGAACCAACCCAAATGTCCAACAATGATAGACTGGATTAAGAAAATGTGGCACCTATACACCATGGAATACTATGCAACCATAAAAAATGATGAGTTCATGTCCTTTCTAGGGACATGGATGAAATTGGAAATCATCATTCTCAGTAAACTATGGCAAGAACAAAAAACCAAACACCGCAGATTCTCACTCATAGGTGGGAACTGAACAATGAGAACACGTGGACACAGGAAGGGGAACATCACACTCTGGGGACTGTTGTGGGGTGGGGGGAGGGGGGAGGGATAGCAATGGGAGATATACCTAATGCTAGATGACGAGTTAATGGGTGCAGCACACCAGCATGGCACATGTATACATATGTAACTAGCCTACACATTGTGCACATGTACCCTAAAACTTAAAGTATAATAAAAAAAAATGGACTCAGGTTAAGTACTTGCTAACGTGTCTGTCTACATCCCTCTACTGAACGTTGGTTTAGGACCTCAACCAGGTACTTTATACTTGACTTTGTACCTCAGTGTCAGACACTGTAGACGTTCAACAAATGTTTGTCAACTGAATGGATGCTGATGCCCAACAATGTCCTAAGAAGTTCCAGATTTCCATAAACCAAGAATATTCCATTGCGTGCCTACTACCCTAAAGAAATTAACTTTCACAAACATTAAAACAAGGTTAAATTATGTGCAATATAATTTTAAGTATTACCTCAATGTGGGCCACTTATGATCATCTGATTAAAGGAAACTAGGGTGCAGTTCATGACTAAGATCCCCTGGGTCTGCAACACTGAAATTCCAGTCATTCATGTAGAAACACCATGGGTTTGACATGCATAAAACCCTGAAACTCTGCTTCCCTAGCAGCCGGGGACACAGCCTCTGCCCTGCCAGCCTCACCCCTCTCTGCCTTTTTCTTCCTGCTTAGCAACTCCCTGTGAGGTACACTGGTCTGCCCTGCAGTGTGTACTGGACTCGAGAAAGCCAATTACTTCTCTCCTGCTCTTGAAGTTGCTGTGGTTGAGGGTTTGTGATAAATTTCATGGAGTCAGACCTTTGGGGGCCTTTGCTTGTGAATTTCATGCATGTGCTTTTTTCTTCTAACTTTTTCGGTCATGTAAGTCAGGAGGCTTTTACAAATTGTTTTTTTCTTTTTCTTCTTTTAGAGACAGTGCCTTGATCAGTTGCCCAGGCTAGAGTACAGTGATACAATCACAGCTCACTGCAGCCTCAACCTCCCGGGCTCAAGCGATCCTCCCACCTCAGCCTACAGATTAGCTGGGACTACAGGTGCATGCCACCACACCCAGATAAGTTTTTGTAAAATTTTTTGCAGAGATGTTGCCTAGGCTGATCCTGAACTCCTGGCCTCGTGGTCCTCTCACCTTGGCCTCCCAAACACTAGGAGTGTTTTTTTCTTTCAAAATTCATAAGCTACTTAAATATAGTATTATCATTATCCATATGTAGAAAACCACGAAACAATACTTACATTTACCAGAGACCATTGTTATTGTATGTAAATTTTATTTTAATTGACAAATAATAATTGTATAATTTATTGAGAGGTAAACTGTGATGTTTTTTGATAGATACACGTTCACAATGTGGGGTGATTAAATCAGACAAGTTTGGAAACAGAGACGACATGCTTATGCGGCATTGACAGGAGACTCCGTATTCTTAGAAAGGATAAAATAATTGGAGAAATAAACACCATTAACCTGCAGGGATATTTCTCATGAATGTTCTGCCCTTCTATAAAAATGTCAGCAAAATGGAGCAATATATACAGTGAAAAGGAGGAGAAAAATCAAACAGAATATTCTAATGTGAAGGCTCTGCCCACTCCTTCCTGGAGACGAACAGAGGGTAAGAGCTTGAGCTATCAGAAGTCAAATCAGATGGCGCATTATTAAATGATCAACCTGGTTACATCTTCAAGGAGATGTCGGTCCTGAATGAAGAGGATAATTATAGGCCGGGGCCTCGGGAATAAGGAAGCACGGGGTGGTGCATCTTGCACGGGGACTGGGCCATTAGCCATGACTCAGGAAGGCAGCAGGAGGGTAGAAGGATGTGGTGCAGGCATTTGTTTAAAATATATAAATAAATTCAGACGCTGTAAGACAAACAAGACCTCAAAGAGGCCGGGGAAGGACAGGGCTGATGCCCTGGCACGGAGTAGCTAAGGTGCCATGACCTGAGAGAGGGCAAGAGCCTCCTCTTTAGATAACCTTGGGCAAAGAGCACCCATGGGTTACTGACGGGAGATTATTCAGTTTTCTTAATAATTAGCCACATTTTTTCCAAATATTACTGGAAGAAAAAAGTCAACAGCAACTACAAGAAACTGGATAATGGTTAAAACAGCAACCAACAAAATCTGTTATTATCTTAAAAGTGGCACATCTATGAAGCCTCCCTGAATGTTTTTTTTTTCCCTTAAATCTAACGTGGGAAAATTAGGCTTTTAAGAAATGATAGCCAAAGAAGAAAATTTAAAGTAACAGGAGGAGATACAAACTGTAAAATTTTAGAGTTCCTAAGAAAAACTGAAAGAGCAAATCTTCATAATATTGTTTGTAACACCTGCACAGCAAACTGAGCTAAAAACGTAAATTCGACAAATAAAATTAAAAATTAAAAAAGACGAAAATCATGTAACAGTCACACGCAGCGACTGCACAATTTCACAAGGGCAAGGGCCACTGCCTGTCTTGCTGGCTGATGTATCCCAGTATCTAGAACAAGGCTTGGCAACACATGCCATGCAAATCACCATCTGATGAGCAAATGTACACATTAATTAGTGCGATGCCCTTTGCACCAAAAACAAATGCACAGACACACATGCACACTTTGAGAAAAACCAGCCTCTGATCACAGCACCTGTCCCCTAAGACCCGAGCCCGGCTGTGCCAGCGCTTGGTAGCCAACGGCCGATGGTCCTGGGGCCCTGAGGGCTGATGCTGTATGCGCGTGCTCTCTCTCTCTCTCCCTGTCTCTCTCCCCATCTCTGTCTCTGTCTCCCTTCTTCTCCATCTGTCTTCCTCTCCCTCTGCCTCTGTTCCTCCCGCCCCCCCATCTCCCCCTCTACCTCCCTCCTTCCCTCCCACCCTCCCTCTCTCTCTGTCTCCTTTCCTCTCCCCCTCTCTGTCTTCCTCTCTCTCTATCTGGCAGCAGAAGTGCAGGGCCTGAGAGGGAAGGAAACATGTCATCTGGAGCGGCCCAGAGGGAGGAGAATCTTTAGCCAGGACCCCGGACTCCCAACACCCAACCCCATCCCTGAACTCATAACAGTCTCCAACTCCCAGACTCTCTAATGGGAAGATAATTTGGGTTTCTACAGCTCAACAACTTTATCATTTTCCACGATTGCATCTTGCATGTGTTTTTACAGGAGACGAGGTCAAGAGTGAGACCACAGAGAGACTGGAGCTGTCTCAGCAACGCTGACAAAGGGACCTGGTATTCTCACTGTCACACGCACACTTTCCACACGCAGCAGTCGGAAGCTTCTCTGAAAGAATGACTTTTCACATAGACCTCAGACATTTGTTTCGGGCCTGGAGGAGTCAGAAAGACAAACTTCACAGAACTGACGATGGAGATCCAGAGAATGCAGCTCAATTTCAGGCAAGGGCCTTAGAGACAGGCCCTGGCGGTTCTGAGCATGGCTCTTCCCTCTGACTTGGGCTTTGTGGCATCTGGGCTTAGAATATGACCCACAAGTACTTGGGCAGCATCCGTGGCACCACCGGGAAGGGAGGAAAGTTCCCACACGCCCAACCTGGTTACCTGGTTAACTCCCCCAACAGGACGTCAGCCAGTGAGAGCCAGGCCATCGCCTCCAGACTTTCACATGGGGCTGAATCGCAGCTCCAGAGAAACCAAAACGACGGGCCCTGGGAGGCTCACAGAAAAATCCCCACAAACCAAAACGACGGGCCCTGCGGGCTCACAGAAAAATCTGTCCCCACAAACAAAAACAAACCCTGGGGGGCTCACAATCAGTCCCCACAAACCAAAACGAGGGGCCCTGGGGGGGCTCACAGAAAAATCTGTCCCCACAAACCAAAATGACGGGCCCTGGGGGCTCACAGAAAAATCCCCACAAACCAAAATGACGGGCCCTGGGGGGCTCACAGAAAAATCCCCACAAACCAAAATGACGGGCCCTGCGGGCTCACAGAAAAATCTGTCCCCAGCACAGGGAAGAGAAGACGGCGCCAGCGTCAGCCTTAAGGACCGAGTCTCACTAGAGGAGATGAAGGAAAGCGTCTCGTCTAAGAAAAACCCTGAACACTGAGTCTTAGAGGGCTCTCGTCTAGGAGGCCTGGCAGGCGGCTCCACCACCTCACCCGGAGGAAGCCAGGGCCCGCGGACGCCGGACTTTCTCTCCTGAAGGGAGCCCAACAGCAAGGACGTGTCGGCAGCCGCAGTGCTGAGCAGAGCTCCTGAGCCTCCGTACCCAAGCACACCCCGCGGGCAGCTGCTTCCTCACCGCTGCCATTTAGAAAACAGAAGGCAGGAAAGTCCTGCACCCGCGGCGGCCGCGTTACTCCCACCAACACCAATTACCACCGAATGTGCCCAGTCATTACAAGCAGCTCCTGAAGCGTTTTCTCGATCCCCGGCCCTCCCCAGGCGGCCGCCTGCAGCCTCTCCCGGGCCCTGCGCTTCCGGGGTCAGTTACACAACCGCGTTCTTGGCTCACGCAGCTCTCTGCCCCAAAAGCACCTTGCTCACACTCGCTAATGAATCCCAAATCCTACAGCTCCCGAGTCTTTGGAATCTTGGTGAATAAATAATTGTCACTGGCATCCACAGAGTTTGCTTCCTGCAGGGAAGGGTCCCAGAGCATCGGACACAGGCCTCCCCTCGCCCAGCGTGGGGCCGCCCGTCTCCAGCCGGAACCGCGGACCCGCTGAGCGGAGGCGAAGGGAACACGACACCCCGGGAAGGCCGGCAGCAGGCAGGGGGTGCGGCACAGCCCGCGTGGTCCCGTCTGGGAGTTTAATATCTCAGAACAGGGGACTCCCCAGAGGGAGGCGATTGGGAGGAGGCGCAGCTGCCATCGTCAGTTTTTCACTGGCACAGACACGTCAGTGGCCTCCGGTACTGGCGCTAGTTTCAGTGCACGTGCGTCCTGGCCACGGAGGACAGGAGGAGGGGACAAGACACACGATCACCCCAACACGCCGCAGCCCCGGGCCTCTTACCAGCCGAGGACTCCACGTTCACACTCCAGGGCCTCACCTCGGAGTCCTACACCAAACACCAAAGCTCCCAGGTGGATGGGATTCCTTGAGGGCCTCAGGTGCCTTCTACCAAGCTCTGACTTTCCTCCCCAGATGGCAGCCCCCTCAGCTGAGCAAACGGAGGACAAGCCATCGTGGACCCCAGCCCAGCACCCTCTTCTGGTGCCCCCGTGCCGGGGCTAGCATCTGCCCACAGCAGCACCCAGGGGACCTCCCGAGATCAGAACTGGGCCGTTTGGCGGCCACAGCGCCGTACAGACAACAGACACAGTACAGACAACGGACACAGCCTCCATGGCTGAATCTTCCCAGTCACTCCCTGGGGCTGTTTGCACACTAAACTATATTATGGAATTAATATTATGAAATAAAAATATATCCAGAAAACACTCAACCTTCTAAGCCCTAAGATGGAACTTCAAGCTATGCACGCTCACATTGCACATCATTTATTCTGAATGTCATTGACTATTACCAGACTACTGGATAGTTTATATTTTGATCATTTTAAAACCTGCTTAATTTTCTCTGTATTTATGGTCTCTGTTCCTAGTGATGCTAGCAGTGAGTTGCATATTTCTCTTCCACGAGTAGAAACAGACTGCTTTAACTGATGCATTTTCCTATTGAAAACAATATTCTTTCTCTTCTACCTAAGACGTCTCCACCACCAGTGTGTGTTGTTTCAGCCACTGCTCAATTCACGCTGGCTAGAAACAAACATGTAATGGAGTCAGACTCACCTACGCAGACGCCGGTGCAGGGTAAACACTGGCAAATATTTGTGAAATGAATAAATGAATAACGACACTCTCCATTCAAAATGGATGAATCGCCGCCTCCCTCGCCTCCGAGTTCTGCAGCACTGGCCGCCCCTGCTGCCGGGAGGGCTTCCTGCCTCCGTAGCCTCCTGTGGAATCTGCCCCACGGGCTTACGGGCATTAATGAGATAAGAATCAGCTGGAACTTCTGCTGCAAACGCAGGCTCCGGGCTCCCCTCACAGGCCGCTGGTCCAGCCAGTGCATCTTGCCAGGCCCAGGCACCTGCATTCTAGCAGGAAGGCCCTCAGGTGACTCTGACGCACCCCTGACTTGGCACACGGATCTCCTCTCTATACCTAAAGCCCCAAGGGTGGGAACCACGTCTCCTTCGAGCTTGTGCTCCAGAGGGCACCTGCAGGCCGTGAGCACAGGAAGCCACCAAGAGGCACCAATGTGGCCTCTGTCTATCCCCAGCAGGCCTCCAGGAGCCCCGTGGGTGCACCATGGCACCCGGGGGAGGCTTCATCTACACAGGACGGCTCCACGGGGCTGGACCATACGTGCCCTGAGACAGAGACATGGACCCCTGGTGTGAGCCCTAGGTAGGCTCCATTTCCCTACAGGCGTTCAAACCCCACCACCATGTGCATGACTCCAGGGCCGAGTCTCATCAGCTCATTCTGTGGAGCGGAGTTTGGGAAGGCGCCGATTTTCTACCTGAAATGTGAGTGTGTGTCTGCTAGGAGGTCTTCTCCCTGTGCCGGCCCCCACACATCCCAACAGAATTTGTCCCTCACTCTTAGGCCAGTTTGCAAGATCGCTGAGCCCTCTGCCAGCATTTAAAGCCTTTTGATCTCTGTTCCAGAGAGAACCTTTGATCAGGAAGTTGAGAAGCTCAGTGAAATCTTCCACCTGCCTGTAAAACGTTAAGCCCGCCTTTCCACTTACCATCTCCTTTCCTACAACACCTAGTTCATGCCTGTTCCACACCAGGCCCTGGGCTGGTGTGGTCAGCTTGTGTATTTAAAACCAGCTGATGGTTCTATCCATGCCAGCCACAAAGACATCTCTGCATAGTAGGATACATCGATGTGTTTACAAGCTGACATAATGCAAACTGTTAATAAATGTAAGACCGTTTTCTATTCCTCACTGCTGATAATTTAGTAATAACAGCCATAAAAGTAAACCTGCTGGAATAGGCAAAGTGTCTTATCAATTTTTTAAGTACCTTCAGGAATAAGTTGGATATAAGTAAATGCATTAGAATAGTATCCAATTATGAAATACATTCACCAACATCTTGGTGGCTATTTTTGCCACAGCTATGGGGTAAAATAATTCCTTAGGTGAAAAACCCAGATGACGGCCAGTCTTTAGTTACTTACCTGATTGCTAGACTCAGATTTAAACAACAAAAACAGTCAAACTAGAGGCGGAATCGCGTGCTGGTCTTCGAGGTGGTGAAAAAACCATCCCTGCCAGGCTTCCTCGCCTTCCTCGCCAGGCTTTGCATGGAAGGAGCCAGGCTCGGGGTGGCTTTACACTTTGTGGTCTGCACCATGCTGATGTTAGGGTCCGCACTGTCCTGGAGTTAGCCTCATTACACACACATTTAAGTAAAAACGAATGGGGCCCAGCGGAGAGCAGCCATCTCCTCCAAGGCCTGTACATAGAACTAAGTTGCTACTCCCCAAACTGGCAAAATAATGAGTGTAAGATAAAGGCATCCAAAGCAAAAACACGTGGACCACGTCCTTCTCAGTCTGCAGTCGAAAAAATGACCACAAAAGACTCCCCTAGCTGAATAAAAAGCACCTCCAAGGCTAGAGAAAATTATGCACACGTGCACACTCACGCCCGCGCCCACATCCCAGAAAACCTTAAGGCAAAGACCAGCACTTCCTTGCCCCGAGTTTGGGGCGGGGCTGATCCTCAGACTCTCCAGAAGGACCCTGCTAACCAGGCACGGGACCTGTCAATCACTGACTGCCGAGGGCATGTCAAAGCCGTGGTTCCATGCCTAGGTCCCCACCCAGCTGAAAAACTGTGCTATTTATACAGGTGTTTTCTACGGTGAACTGACTACTTCTAAGTAGCAGCCTCAGTTTTACATTGCCAAATAGTGCACAGCGATTCAGAGCAATTCCGAACCCACGGGCCGCGGCGTCAGCTTCCGGGCTGTGGGAGATGGAAGTTCCGCCTGTGAGGTGCCGTGGGGGCTCAGTTTACGACGACGGTCATCACAAACAGCGTGCAGGTGGTGCTGCCTCCTCACACTTAAAGACGCCTCCACAACGCCAAGACCTTTCAGGTGATGCTTATTTAAATTTTGTTCTAATCTCACAGGGAGGTGGGAGCAGCATTCTACAGCCTGGTGTCCATGCCTCCTTCAGGGGTTGGGGGGCCTGTAGACAGACACCCCTGCGGGGGCTGTGTTCAACCTTGTTCCAGGTAATCAATCAATAAACACAGAGCAACTTTTCATTCGTTCCTTGAATACTTCACTAGTATTTTTCAATGTATGACTGAAATCGTATAGCCTCAAACTCCGTATAACTAACTGCACCAGCCATCTGCGGAATGAAAATGTATATAAAATAACCAAAGTATCCCAATATTTCCATTCTGAGATATTTTTGATAGATGCAGGTATTCTTTCTCTGTTGTACAAATCTAGATAGAAAAATACACAGAAGAGTGTGCTGCTTCGTGAGTTGTTTAGAACACATCTTAGTAAAAACTCTAATAACTAAAAATCCAGTGTCTCCATAAACCAAGTGCAATGCTCCATACGTAAGGAACTCTGATAACTGCGTATTAATTGTCGACATACGATACATCTCACTAACCTGGGCTCTGAGATGCATTTTTGATCCCACAGAATAAATCAGTCCTGAAAGTAAACGATTTCCTGAAAATCAAAATCAGTATCCCTTATACCTCTTCTTACATTGTTTAATTACAAGTTTCCTTAAAGGATTAAACAACAGGAGACTCTTGAGACAGATAAAGCAGTAATTTGATTTCATAGATGGAACAAGAACCAAAACAATTGCTCACATTTATAATAGCTTTGACTAAATGCAGAGACCTCAACCTTGTCTGTATTTTTTATCAGACATCTTTCCAAGGATCACACAAATCCCTTAAAGGTGTCAAATGACCAGGTCTACGTTCTTCCCTCCTCAAGGGTAACAGAGCAGTGTGGCTCCTGGGTAAAGCTCACTGACATCGAGGTTAACAAGAAAGTGTTTTCATCTCTGCAGAAATACAGGGAAAGGAAGAGAAAAACATACAAAGTTCTGTACCTTTAAGAGGGGTCAGTCCATGCAAGTTTCCTTTGATTTTACTCATTTTCAGTTCCACTGGTCAGGCCGAACCCTCTAAGCATGTCCTTTGGAAAATAGGAAGTAAGAATCCCACTAACGGGGTCCCCAAAGTGACCAACACACAAGAAAAAAAACTGTGCAGTTGTCGATGTGGACAGAATCATGGAGGAGACTTCAAGGGGTCTGTGTGACTCGGAGCCACCAGGACCCGCGTGGCTCTGGGTGCGCAGCCCACAAAGGTCAAAGCTGCCGTGGACGGCGTCACTCACTAAACACAGAGTGCAACGGCCGTCTGCGGGTTCAAACAACCTGGCACCATACAGGGCTTCCACATAAACCATTCATTTCACAGGTATCGTCCAAAGCCATGAAAAGAGAGCAGTTTATATATAGGAAAACACTATCTTTAGAAAGCCACTCACATACACACCACTGGAAAGGTATAATTATTACATTAATAAACCCCAATGATCCAAGGTATAGTGACACTAATTGCAAATCAAGCATACAGTAAAAGTTGGCAATCTCAAATATAAGTCAATAAAACATCTTCACACACACTGTCTACTGAGGGAATTAGATTACATATGTACATACATACATGCACATATAACACACAGATACATGTACGCACATAATGACGTCTGCTGCTTCCTCAGTATAATGCACCATAATGGCAATTTTTTACATTGCCTCATTTTAATTCAAAAAGTTATATTGGCCACAAAATCATTATATAGCTTATTCAAACTGGCAAATTTAGGCTGACCAAATATGTTTGAGTTACATGAGCTTTAGATTAATAGCTGTAAATACGAAGCAGCATGGTCTATTAGAAAAACTAAATGCTCAGGCAGAACCTGCAAGGGGCAGCTGTGCAGCTGCACAGTGCCATAAGCTAGGGTGGGCCATGATTTAACCACTTTGGTGCCCAGGATTCTCCTCTGTAAAACTGGAATCTGTCTCTTGTATAACTCCTGATACTCTTGAAGGCACAGTGAACAGTGTGGATGATAACTGTTGACGTACACAAGGTGCCCAGAAGACTAAACAAGACGGAACACCGGCAGCATCTGAGATAGCGCCTGGGACATGCTTTGTGCTCAGTGAATGGGAAGTGCCCTCATCGCCTCCCTCCGATCCCAGGATGACCTTGTGTTGAAAAGGCTTTTCAAATGACGAAGCTCCACGCATAGGTGGGTGGCTGACGTTCTCTTGTCATGGTGCCATGTGTTATTTTTATTAAGAGCCTATTATTATTTGTATTAGAGTTTTAGAATTATCTTCCTACAGTACATTTGCCAAAGAGGACACACAGGTGAGAACAGCCCCAGAACAAACACAGCGCCACCGTTGGCTGGTCTTGCTCTGGGAGCCGGGACACAGAGCACAGCCTGATTGGTTCTGAAAGGCCCACGTAATTTAGTCTAAATCTAAGATGGGTCTTCAGGGGCTGGGAGATGGGAATGAAAACTTTAGACTGAAAGGGAATGAAAAACATTGCAAAATTTGGTTTCTAATTATGATTCTACCATTCCTAGCATGTACTCTTAAAAACAACAAGTTCTCAAGAGGACTCGAACTCCCTGAGGGCCGTCGTCGCTGGAAGTGCATCCATCGGTGAAATGGCTGAGCAGGCCATCTCTGAACATCACAGCCCGCATCTGTGCCACGAGAGGACATCCTCCAGCGTGTCTGGGGAATCGCGTGAATGCTCCCGGGAACTGCTTCACACACGGGGTACGGAACCCACAGGCTGATCACAGCTAAAGAGAGAGAACTTTTCCCCGCGGTCACCAGTAAATCCACAAGCCCAGGAAAGACCAAAGGATAAACCAAAGTCTGTCAAAACTTCTGTAATTAACTGACACCACCGAGTCCCTCAGAGGCTTCCTCTGAAGGTACCACTGAGAGCCTGGGGCCCTGGCCTGCCTGAAACTTGGAGGGGACTCGGGGGAGGAGCTGTAACAGTGGAGAATTAAGCACGGTGAAGACAAGGAACTCAAGGATGGACCGACTGGGAACCCTGAGTGGACGGCAGGGCCTTCCTGAGTCAGCCTCCTCATCTTCGCGTGGAAATCAGAACCTTTCTACCAACCTCTCTCAGTGTGAATGAAGCTGGATGAAAAATGCCACCTGGGAACAAAGCAAAAAGGAGACGTCAGCACCAGCCGGGGATCCTGAGCTGGGGCACCAAACGGGGGTGCTGAGTTGGGGTGCTGAGCCGGGTCGCTGAGCCGGGTTGCTGAGCTGGGGTGCTGGGCTGGGACGCTAAGCTGGGGCGCTGGGCTGGGGCGCTGAGCCGGGGCGCTGGGCTGGGGCGCTGGGCTGGGACGCTAGGCTGGGGCGCTGGGCTGGGGGGCTGAGCAGGGGCGCTGAGCTAGAGCGTGGCCGGGATTTGGGGGAGTCGGGGCCACTCCTAAAGACGCCTGACTTCTTGTGTGACGGGTTGTGCCACCCAGGCAGGTGAGATGGAGACGTGAGCGTGTGGCCTGGCACCGTGTGAGGCCTGACAGGGACACTGTGTGTGCCACGGCCCACGGCCAGACCCAGGGGCGTCCAGAGTGAGGCCACCGCCGCCTCCCCAACTCTCCTCCGGGCCACCAGGCTTCTGCAGCTCCCATCCTCTCCTCAGGAGTGGCTTTGGCTCTCCTTGGGTAAGCAGCGCCAAAACGGGAAGGAGGAGGAGACCTACCCGGGTCCTGGGTTTCAGGTTCATTGAAGCGGCCGCTCCCGGCGGCAGAGGGAGGGTCTGAGAGCTGCAGCCCCGGTGATTCACACACAGCCAAGCCCAGGGGAGGCTCCTAGGGAAGCCCCTGCACCTGCGGCCCCTGAAACAGGGCTCGGCTGTACCAAGAGCTTTCCTTGCTTAATGGCGGGAGGGGCATCAGCCGTGCGGGTGTCAGGGACGCAGCAGCAGCTGCAGAAAGTCACCGGCCCACAGGCCCTCTGCGACGGGGACTCCGTCAGGGGCAGCGCAGGAACGGGACGCCCACCCAGCCTCCCCGAGCCCCGAAGCTCCCTCGGCCTCTGCATACTGGCCTCCCCCGCCGCTGGATGCAGACAGCGCGTCCTTCCTCATCTTCCTCTCCACACACGCCGCTCGCCCACTCGAGATCGTGTGTTCATTCCACGAATGCCTGCAGCACCTGCCCCCGAACCGGGGCGTCCCAGCCCCACCGACCAAGGCCCCGCGCTCCAGGGACGCAGCCCGCGCGGACGGGGAAGTGAGAAGCGCTGGGAAGCCTCGGAGGGGCCTGGGGGCCTCGGAGGGGCCTGGGGGTCTCGGAGTCCGGAAAGACCGCGCCCATCGCGAAGCAAAACCCCGGCCAGATGTGGTGAGAGCTGGGGCTACCCTGCAACCTGCGAGCCTGCACCACACATCACACATCACACATCACATATGCTGTCGTCAACAGCCTCCTGCCATGGAAACTCTTTAGAAAAGTTCCCTCCAAGATTCCGAGAGTGAATTTTCTAAGGTTGCTAAAAGACTCCCAGGGAAGCCGGTGCGCCCGCCGCGATCCCAGCTAGCAGCCCCCTGGCAAGAGCTCCACTCGGAGACCATCCGGGGAGACCCCCCAGCCCGGATGCCCCTCGCAGGAAGCGGTGGGACTTTCCAGAGAGGCCAAGAAAGCGTGTTGGAAACCACTCCCTCCGGGAAGACGGAGTGCAGCCACAAGAAGAAGAAGCGACAAGTCATTCACGCATCTGTTCACTCATCCAGCAAGCGTTCCTAGAAACCCTGGTGTGTGCTGGGCAGAGGAGAGACGCAGGGGACACGGGACCCGGCCAGCCGCTGCCCCAGGGATACCCAGGGGACGGGACCCAGGCAGGGTTTAAGACGGCCCCTCCGACGAAGGCAGTGGCCAGGGTGAGAGGTGCTGGTGCCCAGGCAGAGGCCTGCGAGAATGAGTGGGAACAGAAGCAGGATGGGAGGGAGGGACAAGGCCCGGGAAGAAGTAGCCATTCACGTCCTGGTGAGGGGCTGCAGTGAGGAGAAACAGTAAGAAGAGAGACATGGTTCCTGTAGGCCGAGGACACTGCGCGTCCAGGTAGCAGACACTGGAGGGTGGAAGAGCAGAGCGGCAGCTGAAATCCTAACTCCAAGGCACCCCGGGCCTTTGTCAGGCCCACAGTCTTATTTTAGGGCGGGATGGACGGCAGGACTATAGAGGGTGCCCGGCCACAGTAAGGACTGGAAATCCTGACCGACTCCGGGAGAAAAGGCAGCTCGGTCCTCGACTGCGGAGGGGCCTGGAAAGCTAGTCCCGGCCTCTTCCGTGGCAGTGTAACTGGCTGCTGGGGTTTTTAATGGATGGTTAATCTATTTCTGTCTTTTCTTGTGATTGCGATGAAAGAAGAAAAGAAACAAGAAACTTAGCAGAAAATAAATGAAAAATTGCTTAATTTAGTTTCTCAGTTTTCTTCTGATCAATTTTCCCTGCCTTGTCTTTGAATAAGGGAAATCATTAATATGCACAAATTTACGGTAGAAGTGAGTGACACCTACTACTTTGATCAGTTGGAAGAGAGGGGCATCTGGATAAAATCGTGTCTCGATGTATTCGTTTGGGGGCAAATACTGGCACATCTCCACGCCTGGTCCTGGCTGTTCTGCTGTGCTGGGGGATCTCACAAACTCACCCCAGGTCAGTAACTCAGCTCTTCAAACCTGACATTAGTGTCATTTGCTTTGCAAGGCATTTTCTCTTTTCCCTTTTGCTTGGACGACGCCGTAGTGATTCACAATTACCCCTTACATTACCTCGAGGCATTCGATCTTTACAATATCCACATGAAGCCATCTGGTTTGATACTGGTGCATATCCATGTATGCACATTTTTAGTTCCTTATTTCTTTTTCCTGCTTGCTTGTTTCTTTTCTTCCATATTCCCCTTGTTTATGCTTGCTTCCTTTCAATAAAGTTATTTTTGAAAGGAAAACACAAGAAAAGAAAATTACTGAAAAATAAGATCACTGCAAACATGAAACCCCCTAGGAAAGGGGAGGAGACAGAAAAACGTCTCTGGGGTCCAGTGCACTTGAACTGATTTTCATGTCAGTAATATTTTTGCCAAGGAAAGTGCTAGATGCATTTATCAAGACCTTAGGTGGTGAAATTTTACCACTGAAATGAGATCTGCAAAACATTACGCTGTGTTTCCTAACAGTTATGACTGCAAATGTCTGCCGCTAAGCAGAGCTAATGACATTAAAATAATGTTAATGGTCTGGCAATGCAGGAAAAGCCTAGTTTTGATGAATTAGTTCTCATTAGACTCACATTCTGATACGCCTGTGAAAAGTCTAAAAAATATTGGTTTGTGTCTTTCACAATGTTAGTTGATAATTTTACTCTAATGAAAAAGAGGATAAAAACAGGTTAATTAACTCGGTGGGCACCATATACATCAACATTGGTAGAATGTGTTCCTGGATTCATTAGCGGGGAAAGGATTTCGTATAATCACGCGACTGGTAAGCTTTCTACGGTACACACTGCTGAGAAAGAGTGAACTGTACCATGTTCTACACTAATTAAATCAGTGACTAGAAAGAGGCGTGTTTAGAAGCCCGACTAAATTGCCTTTTATAGCTCTTGAGGTAGGCAAGTTATGATTTAGGCATAGCCAGTGCCAAAAGCTGATTTTTTTCCTTCCGAAGAAAATGACCCCAATTATCTGGGCATGTTCAGATCGAGACTGATGATTCTCTGGCCAGACCATGAGGAACCAACCACTCTGCCTGCCACACCGCTCGGAGCCTGGAAACTGAGGGGTCAGGCCCTTTGCAGGAAGAAAAGTGGAAATGCACTAAGTCAGGGTGGGTCAAAGCAGGGGGAGAAGGCCTCTCAAAGGTAGTTTCTTGAAATAAAAGCATTTCCTGTCTTTTAAAAGAATCTTAAGCATGAGTAAAGGAGGTAAGTTTCATTTTAAATTTCTACAGAATAGCTTGAATTAATAGTGCCAAATACATCAGAGAGGAAAAATGTTTGAGTGGGCGTGCTTCCATACTTTGCAAAAAGATGCTGATTTGCTTAAGTTCTAGTTTCCAAAGCAAATGGTGTGCAAGATAAATGGCTGTTTTGTGGAAGAACACGGCAGCATTTTTTGCACAGAGCCACTAAGAGGCAAAATGTGATGTAGGTTTGGCCCATCTGGTTTTAGACATAGCCGTTAGCTTCAGCATCTGGGAGGAAGCTGATTCTAAGCAAGCATGTTTAAGACAGTGATGATGCCAAGAGGTGGAAGACCCATTTCTCCCCAAACCCAAGTTCGCATCCTAGGAGGCCCTGCAGGCACCCCTGGGAGTTCCCTCCCCAAACCTCCCCTGCTGGGCCCCCCATGACATCATTCCATCAACCACCACCTTACTCACTGCTTTGCACTTTTTAAGTCATACAAAAAAGGGCCTTTGGGAGAGGAATGAACATACATTTTCCTATTTCACTATGACCAGATAACTGAAGGAAGGAAGAGTCTTCCAGTCATTCATAGCTCCAGAGACTCTATTTCATCCCGTTTAAATACTTAGTGTCATTGCATTGAGGCAACACGTTCCATCAAACTCTGTGTTTTAATGATGGTAGTTCTAGCGGGAAATTTAACACTACCTCACAATTTACATATGTTAAAAATGGCATTTGCAAAATAAAAAGGCAAAAGTCTGAATGCAAACATATTTCTAAAAGTCACAAAGTATTAGTATCAACAATATATAAAGAATTCGAAGGAAACAATAAGAAAATCACTAACACTCTCATAGCAAAATAGATAAATGTCTACAAATAAAATTTACAGAAGAAATATAGCCAGTAAATATTTGAACACATACTGTGCCTCTCAAGGAAACAGAAAAATGCAAACTAAAATGGAATATAGTTGTCATCTTCTAATTTGGAAAACATTAAAAATGAACTATAGCTCAATGCTAGTGAGGTTGAGGTGAGAAAACTACTCGCAGGTGTCTTGTGGGAACCAACATGTATTCCAACAACCAGAAAAGCAATCAGCCTTTACATATCAGGACGCTTCGCTGTTTATGGTATTGGACCCTTAATTTTACTTCCAATAGTTTGTTCTAATGGAATAACCAGAAAGAAAGCCAAAGATTTGTGTAAAAATAAGTTGACTGCAACAGTACAAAGAGTAGTTCGTGTAAACAGAACAACCTAAATGCCTGATCCTGGGGATGGAGAAGATGAGACGACGCCACCTGACAATCGGCCTCTTTGGCCTAAGCACCGCTTTGAGCTGAAGGCAAGAGAGAAACCACAGGCACCGGAAGAGCTCTCTGCCCTCCTCCTTTCTACCTAAAGCCAGTGCACTCATTTCCCCTTGCGAAGGTGCCCCTCACCTCCCTCACCAGGCAAAGAACAACCGGAATCGTCAGAGACGGAAAGCCTGCACTGAGGATCTGCAAACAAGCCTTACTAAGATAACCCTCCTCTCCCGTTCATCTTCGCACGTGTTCACCGTCCCAAAGCTGCCCCCGCGTAGGCCAAAGGTCCTTTTCCTCTGTACAGTGACTTCTCTGCATCGTGTTACCCTTTGTTAAAGTGCCCTATGAGCCCCTGAGTCTCCTGCTCCTCTGAGTTTTTCACTTTTTACTGTGGAGCTTCTTTTCATTTTTACTGTGCATGTAAAAATGTTAACATCAAGCAAAATGTGTATGACTTTTCTCCTATGAATCTATCTTTTGTCAGTTTAATTGGCAGACTCCAGCTGAAAAATGAAAGAGGGTAGAGGAAAAGTTTTTCTTCCTCTGCAGGGACGTGGTTAAGTGAATAAAAACGCATCCATGAGATAGAAGCCAGTCACTACCGATGATCATCTGAAAAAATGTTAATGAAATATCAAAATGTTAACATCGTTTTCAATGAAAAAAGAAAGTGGAGGACCAAATCAAAAACAAAGCATAACGATTACATATGTATGTATGTGTGTTTCATACATGTGCCTGCAAACATACAAAAAACAGAAATAATTATATCCAAATAATAATGATTATCTCAGAAAGTAATACTCCATATATTTTTCATGTCTGTCTTATTTTTAAAGTCAGAAAAACTTATTTGAGAAGTGGTGTTTAATATATTTCAAATAATGATATTTAGTTTTTCAGATTCTCACATAACACTTTTTTTCAGTTTTTAAGAACTCATCTATGTTTTTGAGTCTGACATGTATGCTCTCACTTCTATGTCCATTATTACATGGAAGAAAGTGTTATATTCATCCATTTTGTTTTTCTTTCTCTAGCATTAGAATAACCTCCAAGTTGAGCAGTGTCCAATCCTGTCAACAGGGCATGGACACCACCCTTCTCTCCTTGGATTTTCTAGAAGCCACAGTAGATTCATAGGAATGAGGCATGATGACAAATCCTCGTCTCTGTCCCAAGGGGAATTTTAAGTATAAAAGACAAATCTGGCACAGTCCTGCATTCCCAGATAGAAGATTCTTCAGCCTTCAGCTCTACACAGAACACATGGATACAAAGCCATGCCTAGGACAGCAGGGTAAAACTTTTAAAAACCAAAGGCAAAGAGAAAATATTATAAGAAGCCAAAGAAACGTAAGATTTAAGCAATGATACCATGCCCTGGCTTCCTAATAAAAACAGGGAAGGCAGAAGACAGTGTAATGACAGCTTTAAAAGGCTGAAACAGATAACTGCCAACTTACAGTTCTAGAGCTGAGAAAACATCTTTTTCATCAAAAGCCGAAATGAAGACATTTCTAGGCAAACAAAAATTGAGAGAATTTTCTTCGAAGAGATTCACACTAAAGCAAAAATTAGGGGAGCTCTTCAGGGAGGAACAAAACAACCCCAGAAAAAACAAGGAAATAAGTGAAGAAATGAAGAGCAAAGAAAGGTGAATATGTGGGTCACTAAATCTAAATATCAACCACACAAAACAATAACACTGATGTCTTACTGACCTTAAACATACATACAGAATTCGTATCTGTGGCTAAACACAGAGCAGGAAGATATCAGAGGAGTTAAAAGGTTCCAGGGTCTTGGCATTTTCTGGAAGGTGATAATAACACCCATCGGTCTGAGTTTCTAATAACCTAGAGATGACTGTGGTGATCCTCAGGAACTACTGAAAGTGAAAGTGACGAGTCAAGAGAGGAAAATGTGGAATAAAAAAGATAAATCTAGGTCAATACAACTGGATGCAAGAAAGGGAGAACAAAGAATATAAAATAAGTGGAGAATACAACAGGAATAGTAAGATGGCAGATGAAATTCCTGGATGTCATGAATTACATTTAATATATACAGTCTGACCAGATGAAAATAGAAACAACTATATGCTTAAAGAATAAAACTTAAATATTAGAATATAGTAAGTGTGAAAGTAAAATGATGAAAGAAGACATAACATGCAAATATTAACCCAAAGAAAACTGATATATACTAAAATCAGATAAGTAGATTTTAAGACTGAAATCACTGAAAGAGATAAAGAGGGTAATTTCAGGCCAGGCGCGGTGGCTGGTGCCTGTAATCCCAGCACTTTGGGAGGCCGAGGTGAGCGGATCACGAGGTCCGGAGATCGAGACCATCCTGGCTAACACAGTGAAACTCCGCCTCTACTAAAAATACAAAAAAAATTAGCCGGGTGCGGTGGCGGGTGCCTGTAGTCCCAACTACTCGGGAGGCTGAGGCGGGAGAATGGCGTGAACCCAGAAGGCGGAGCTTGCAGTGAGCCGACATTGCGCCACTGCACTTCAGCCTGGGCAACAGAGCGAGGCTCCATCTCAAACCAAAAAAAAAAGAGGGTAATTCCACAATGATAAAATAGTGAATTTTTCAGGAAGGTATGACAATCTGAATTTGTACATCCCACTATGTGACTTCAAAATATCAGATGCAAAAATTGACAGAATCAAAAGCAAAAATAAACAAACCTGGATAAATCTGATCAATTAAGCACATAAATTAATCCGAAAATATAAGATTTAAAACATCTGAACACAAGGATTAATACTGAATTATTGATACATAGAGACCACTGAAGTCAGAAATAAAAGAATTTCATTTTTTAAGTACACACAAAACATTTGCCAAAATTGGCCATATGCAGGAACCTAAAAAAAGACCCAGAAAAGCTCAAGTAATTGAAATACGTAAAATACATTCAGAATATATTATCTGACTACAGTAGAATTAAATTTGAACTCAATAATGAAAAGCTAACTAGAAAATGGCAAATTATTTTAAAATTAAGAAATATACTTCTAAAATATTTTTGTCAAAAGAGAAATAAAATGAAAATTAGAAAATGTTTTAAGCTGAAGCTCATTCAATTATTAAATGTTAATACTCGAGAGGCAGCTAAAGCTGAACATAAAAAATTGAAGTATTAAGTTCATATATTAGAAGATAAAAGTCTAAACATCAATCACAAGAAATTAGAATAAGGATAGGAAATTAAATCCAAATGAAGAAACAACAAAGATTAAAGCAGAAATTAATTTAAAAACACAGTGTAGGGAAAAAAATCAACAAAATCAAAAAATATTATTCTTTAAAAGACTAGTAATATTGATAAATTCCTATTAAAACTAATAGAGAAAACAAAAGAAGCTTAAAGCAATAACATCAGAATTGAAAAGGAAAATAATCACAGATCCTAAAGACATGAGAATATTTTAAGAGGGTGGTGTAACTAATTTTCTATCACTAATTTGTAAATCCAACTGAAATGGAAAAGTTCCTTGGAAAACACAACTTATAAAAACTGACACAAGAAGAAATAAAAAAATCTTAACAGTCCTGTCTAGAAAAGATATCAAATCTGTAATTATACCTTCACATAAGAGAACCACCAGAAGTAGATGGCTTCTCCAGAAATATTTCCAATGTTTAAAGAATAAATAATATAAACTATACAAATTCTTCACAGTAGAGAAAAAGAAACACTTCTCAAACTTGTCTTGAGGCCAGATTAACTTTAATTCCAAATCAAAGGGATTTTAAAAAATAGACAATCTGTTGTAAACGTAAATAGAAAAACACTAAATAAAACATTAGCAAATATTACATGTTAAAACAATTTTTAAATTATAAAATTATTGTATTTATTTCAGGAATCAAAATTTCATTTATGATTCAGAAATCAATCACTATACCACTGTATTGGGAAGTCAAGGTGGGAGGATCACTTGAGGCCTGGAGTTCAAGTTCAGCCTGGGAGACACAGCAAGACCCTGTCTCTGAAAAAATTAGCTGAGCTTGGTGGAACTTGCCTTTAGTCTCAGTGACTAGGGTGACTGAGGCAGAAGGAGAGCCTGAGCCAGGAGTTCAAGGCTGCAGTAAACTCTGATCTCACCACAGGACTCCAGCCTGGGTGACAGAGACTCTGTCTTTAAAAAAAAAAAAAAAGAAGAAGGTATAAAAATTACATAATCATCTTGATGAGAAAAACGTTAAATGAAATTCAATTTATGAATTTCAAAAGAAAGATAATAAAACTGGCATTTGCAGACAACTTATAAATGTAGAAAGTCTAAAATGTCTACAGAAAAAATAGAGTTAAATAATACATAAATGTAGCAAGATCACTAGAATCAAAGTTAATAAAAAATGTATTTCCATACAATAGCAATAAAAAACCTGTAAATTATTTTACAGAGTTTCATTTTTACAAAAGCATCATTTTTTTGACGCACATAAAGTTTACAATAGCATGAGGAAATATCGAATACCTATGATAAATCTAAGGAAGATGCACAAATACACAGAAAACTGTAAAACACTGGGAGAAACTTCAGAGGGCCCAAAGAAATGGAAGAAACTACCATGTCAATGCATTTGAAAGACTCAATATAAGGATGCCAAATGTCCAAATTTTAATTTACGGATTCCATAAATTCCTAATCAAAGCCCAATGAGTTGTTCTTTAAAAACTGAGAGGCAGATTTTAAAATTCATCTGGAAATGCAGGGTTGGAACATAAAGCCAATTCTGAAGAGGAGAAATTTATTGGAAGAAAAGAAAAGCAAGATCCGGCAATAAAAATAATTGTGGCAGTGAGGAATTGGCTCAGTGTTTGACAAAGAGATCAATGGTTCTAATAGGCAGCCCTGAAACAGGCCTACCCTTGTGTGGGGACTTGAACTCTGAAAGGCTGCACTTCAGGACAGTGGGGACGGCTTGTCCTTTCAATAGCTGGTACTGGGCCAACTGGATATGCCTTAGGAAAAGGAATGAATGTAGCCCCCCCTCTCCCTACACAGGCACATGCACACACATGCACACACACGTGCATGCACACACTCACATGCACACACATGCATGCACACACGTGCATGCACACACATGCGCAGGTGCACACACATGTGCATACACACACATGTGCACACACACAGTTCCAGAGATATTACAGGTCTAAATACACGCAGGAACGCTTCCAGAACCTAATGGAAGTTCTAACTACAAAGGATAATATTGATGAATGGCACTGAATTACATGTAAGAACCTCTGATCATCAAAGATTCCATTTAAGAGAATGAAAAGATGTCCCACAGAGCAAGAGGCGTTAGAAAAACCTGTGTTTGTAAAGGGCCTCATATCTGGAATCCGTAAAGACAGCACACTAGGAAAATGAGCACGGGACTCCATTCAGCCCTTCTTAACAGAGGCTACGCGATATCAGATGGCAGATAAAGAAAAGACGTTCGAGGTGACCGAGCATCCAGGAAGTTACATTAAACCATGACAAGATGCTGTCACAGCACCTGCAGGGGCTCCTGTGGAGAGGCTGACACCCTCGTGGCTGCAGAGATGTGTGGCAGGCGCCCTCCTGGCCTGGCAGTGGGTGTGTGGGTTGGTGGAGTGAAGTGTCTGCTGGGATGTGTTAGAGGGGACAGGCATGCTCTGCCACCCGGCATCCTGGGGCTACCCACACACAACAGAATACATAAGAAAATGTGGCACATATACACCATGGAATACTATGCAGCCATAAAAAATGATGAGTTCATGTCCTTTGTAGGGACATGGATGAAATTGGAAATCATCATTCTCAGTAAACTATCGCAAGAACAAAAAACCAAACACCGCATATTCTCACTCATAGGTGGGAATTGAACAATGAGAACACATGGACACAGGAAGGGGAACATCACACTCTGGGGACTATTGTGGGGTGGGGGGAGGGGGGAGGGATAGCATTAGGAGATATACCTAATGCTAAATGACGAGTTAATGGGTGCAGCACACCAGCATGGCACATGTATACATATGTAACTAACCTGCACATTGTGCACATGTACCCTAAAACTTAAAGTATAATAAAAAAAAGAATACATCCATAGATTCACCAAAAATATGCAGAAGATGTTTACAGCAGCATTATTGGTAAGAGTTTCAAACTAGAAAACAGGAGGAGAGAAGTGGAAGGAGGAGAGGGGTCTGTTGACGTTGCAATGGATGGATGAAGCATGCACACCCACAGGACGGGAGACCACAGTGGAGTCATGTACAGAGGACACCACACACCAGCTCAGCCAGGTCTCCCAGGCCCCACGCTGGGCGAGTGGAACCGCAGCCAACAAGCCCATGCTCCAGGGTCCACCACACCAGACACAATTCATAACTCATGGGAGGGGATTAAAAACAGCGGCTTCCTGGAGGGATGGTGGGTGGGTGGGAGTTGTGTTTCCGGATGGTGGCTGGGTGGGGCAAGCTGTGTTTCTGTACAGTGGCTGGAGGGAAGCTGTGTTTCTGGATGGTGGCTGGGGGGAAAGTTGTGTTTCTGGTTGCTTTGTCTGTCTCCATCCTCCTGGCCACCTCCAGAAGCTACAGGAAATAAATGCTCTTTTCATCCTGGTCCCTTGGCCACCTACTAATACAGAGAAGTTGCATCTAGGTGAATATTAACTTTTGCTTTTGCTTTTCCTTCCTTTGCATTGTGAATACAGGCCATTTGTGGTTTGTCTGTTCATACAGGCCGTCTGCGGTCTGACTGTGGGTACAGGCCGTCTGCGGTTTGACTGTGGGTACAGGCCGTCTGCGGTTTGACTGTGGGTACAGGCCGTCTGTGGTTTGACTGTTCATACAGGCCGTCTGCGGTCTGACTGTGGGTACAGGCCGTCTGCGGTTTGGTTGTGCATACAGGCCGTCTGTGGTTTGACTGTGGGTACAGGCCGTCTGCGGTTTGACTGTGCGCTGTGTGTTTCCTGGATGGACCCTAGAGCATGGGCTACTTCAGCCAAAAGTAAAACTGCAGACAGGGCCTGTATTCACAGCACACAGGAAGGAAAAGCAGAAGCAGAGATTAATATTTACCTAGACGCAACTTCTCCGTATTTGTGGGTGGCAAAGGGACCAGGATGGAAAGAGCGTTTATTTCCTGTAGCTTCTGGAGGTGGTCGAAAGGATGGAGACAGACAAAGCAAGAATCTTTTGTTTGCAACGTCCAGTCAAAGCAGGACGCAGACTGGGGAGGAGCATTCGGAAGCCTCAAAGAAACAAGAAAGCTCACTGTCATCATTGTCTTTACCGTCTTCACAGCTTCTGGATTTCTTACAGCATTCTTTCTAAAGCACAATTCCACTAAACTTTAGGACGTGGCCTCCCTGGCCCATAAACAGTAATTTTACCTCCTGATTTGTTTTTCTCTTTAATCATCCACTCAAATGCTCCACCGCCTTCTCCATCTGTGTCCAGATAGTGTGAGTTTATATTCATTATCTTCCTAAGTGCCTTTCCAGCACAGGGCGGTGAAAACGCGCCCGCTGGAAGCCATTCCCCTCCTTTCTTTTTGCCTCATCTTTATTCTTCCGTGACTCCCCTCATTAATTTACTCGATATCATTCCTCACATTCTGAGCACAGGGGAAAGGTATGCAATGGAGGAAACAAGCGGTGCTGTGGGGAAATAACAGGACTAAGATGCGCTTTGTGGGGAATATGGTCTTAACTCCAGGTATTCCAAAATTCCTCCTAATTATCTTGCCTTCCCTTATCTGTTATGCCATTCAAATAACACACGTGCATCTAGTCCTCTGTTATGTTGCTAGCTGAGCTAGCAATGGAGACAGAAAGCTGCATCTGCACAGACCCTCAGTGAGGGGCACAGGTGCAGGTCAGGAGGGTCCAGCACTGCACAGAAGGGAAAGCAACAATGCCTGCACACAGAGGTGCTGGTGACTGTTGGGGAGGTTGGGTTTGAAAGAACAGAGAACAAGGTGAGGGCACCCAGTGACTTAGGGTGGCCAGCGTGTAGCATCCGTGGGCCAAATAGTGGGGAGCGTGGGTGAGGGAAGGAGAGGCCCGTTCTGAAGCCTCTCAGATGCCGCCTGCAGAACTGCACTTCCCTCCCAGGCAGCCTGGAGAGCCCGGGGCTGAGTCCTGAGCGCTGACCAGATGTAACTTGAAGCACCTCACGGAAATCCACCACACCCGTGGGTTCCTGTTCCAGTTCCTGAAACATAGTGCTATCACAACTCAGTAAATATCCCGTCTGTAGCTTTTTGGAAAGAAACCGTGGAACCAAAAACTGAAAGTTTGATAGAGATATTAAGGGGAGATACTCAGAGTGGTGAAACAGTAAACTAAAAATTTGAATGCAGAGATTTTAGAGAAATTCTCCTTATTGCCCATTTCAGACAGACACCCTGCTTAGGATGTCTATGTTTCAGTGCGTCATTCACGTCAGTTTGTGGAACTTTCTGTCCTTTCCAGCACATTGTATGTGTTTTCATTTTACCCTTGTCATATAGTAACTTTATACAGAGAACAGCAGCAGAGACTGGGAGAGACTGTTTCCCCCAATTTATAAAGGAGAGAACCCTGGCTGGAGGGTGGCCGCTGCGCTAACATCAAGCAGCTGGTGGCCCCGCTGTGGCCGGCAGTCCCACACCCTGAGGCCCCTGCAGAGGGGATGCTGTCCTGCCAGCTTCCTATAAATCCAATCTCAGGAAAAATGGCCTCTATCCTGTGTAGTTCTCCCTGGGAAAGTCTCTATGAGAACATGACGAGCAATTCTGAAAGGAAGGGGATACGACCCCTCTTGGCTTTTCGGAAACCTGGGTGTGCCCTGCCCACCTGCTGCTCCCCACGCCATGATCCCAGCATCTCCTCCTCCCGCCAGGTCTCTCCTGAAGGGCTGGCTTTCCTTGCTTTTCAATCCTCTGCCTAACCTCCCTCCCCTCACCCTCCCCATGCCTAGAACTGTCCTGACTCCAATAATGCAGGGATGACAATGGCAGCCCCGTCCTGCCCTAGCAAAGCCGTTCCAACGGCCAACGGAACAGCTGTTACCACTTCACCGAAGTCGCCGCACTTCCCAAAACCCTGTGACTCCAGGGCTTACAGAACAAGCATGAATTGAGACCTGCCCTTTTCAGCTCTTCACGTCAGAAATGCCATGTTTTATCTTCTTATGGCACTTTTACAAAAGATGTTCTATACTAGACCCAAATAATTCACAAATATCTATCGAAGCCATAAGGGAACACTGGCTTCCCTTCTAATCTCTGTGTGCGAACACTGCATCTAGCTTCTTTCTTGCAAATCTCTACGTTCAAGGGATATGCTAAGCCTATCAACTCATTTTCTCTAACATTTAAAATTATGAGGCATGTGATGCTCAGAACTCATGGCTTCTGTGTCGTACTTTTTTTCTTCAGAAAAAAATTAACTGTATAACCCTTCATTCTGTTGGTGAACCACCTTATGATGCATAATTTTATTATACAATTAATACACACAAAAAACTGTATAGCAACCTCTCAGAACCTTAAAGATCTTCAAATCCTTAAATAAAATGCAAATTTACTTTCCAAAGATTTCTTAGGAAAAACGATTGTCTAAAATGGCAATTTCATAGCAAAAAAAAAAACTTATATACGTAGGCAGAATATGGACACTTCTGAATCATCTAAAAAGCAGAAAAATACCTTGAGATGTATTTCTCCAAGTCATTCTTAAACAAAAAATAAGCTTACTTATTTGCAAATTTTTCCATATACAATCTTTATAGCATGCTTAAAAATTATAATGAGTTCATTTCAGAAATTTTTGAAAATATTTTTCAAAATTTAGAGAAACAAAGAAAGCATCTAAAATCTAAACATAAGCATCAAGCTTTTGTATAAATATCATTAGTATTCAGCCTTGAGTCATTTTTTTCAGTCATTTTTATATGTTAAGCACTTTACTCATGTTATTAAATATTCTTGAAGACTATGATTTTTGTTGCCAAGTTTTGGGTACATAATTCATTTTCTCATTCCTCTATGTTAGAACCTGAAGGTTGTTTCCAAATTTTTGCTAATACTTACCCATGTCTTTGAGTATGTCCACAGGAAAAATATTCTAGAATTGGTGTAATCTCTTATAAAGGTTATGGCTGTCTGAGTTCCCATTAATAATATAAGAAAGATCCTATTTGACCACAACACCAACATTCTGGATTACATTTTTCTTTTTTTAATAATATAGGCTCTCTTCTAACCATCAGCTGTGTGGAATTCAAGAGTTCTGATTCACGTGCCCGTGAGTTTTTAAGCATAAAATAATGCTTGAAATGCTTTATCAAGCATAAAATAAATCAGGTCCAATTGGGTTTCTTTAGCCCAAATTCAATTTTGTTGGGGAATCCAGTTACAGAATTTAAAAATAAGTTAATTTAAAAAGTATTCAACTTTCAACGCTCAGTTGAAACGAACACCTTTCTCTAATCTCAGTTGAACACTCCCTGTCACTCCCACATCTGCTTTGGAAGTCATGACCCAGCCCCCACGTAAAAGCCCCTCAGTCCCTCCCCAGGAGAAAGCTGCCTTTTCCAGGCAGCACGGCCTCCCCATCATTACTGTCCACAGGACACAGCAGAGTCCTGAACTCAACAAAGACAGACCCAAGGAAACCAAACCACATTCCTGCCACACCTTCAATGAAGAAGACAGAGAACTTATCATTTTTATCTATTTTTGAGACAGAGTCTTGCCCTGTCACCCAGGCTGGAGTGCAGTGGCATAATCTCTGCTCACTGCAACCTCCACCCCCCGGTTCAAGCGATTTTTCTGCCGATTCTCCTGCCTTGGCCTCTGAGTAGCTGGGATTACAGGCATATGCCACCACGCCTAGCTAATTTTTGTATTTTTAGTAGAGACAGGGTTTCACCCTGTTGGCCAGGCTGGTCTCTGAACTCCTGATCTCAAGTGATCTGCCCACCTCAGCCTCCCAAAGTGCTGGGATTACAGGTATGAGTCATTGTGCCCGGCCAAGGCAGGGAATTTAAAAAGAACAAGGTGGCAAGAACTACAGGAGGACAACCTAGGAAGTCAGCTCCCAGCCTGGCTGAGTGAGGGAAGGGAGGGTCAGGGCCAGAGCCCTATGGGGCCTCTGATAAGTCAGCTCCCAGCCCGGCTGAGTGAGGGAAAGGAGGATGAGGGCCAGAGCCCCAGGAGGCCTCTGAGCAGGTGCATGGGACCCAGGGGCCTCCGAAGGGCACCAGGGCTGGTTCTGGGAGTTGCTGGGACAGACCACTGGTAGGGGAACAAGCACCCTAGGGCATGAGGCATGGAGGAGACTGCAAAGAGGACGGAGCAGGTGTGTGTGCCCTGTTCTGCCTTCCAGATGGAAGGGAGGCCAGAGGGAAGGCGTGGGACCATCCAGAGCCTCCCAAGGAGCAGAGGTGCTGTCACCCACCCGGCAACACTTCATCCAGGAATGCCCTCGGCAGAGCGGGACGAGCGCTGAGGCCCGGAGTTTCATGTCACCCTGGTCGCACCTCCCCGCTACGACATGGGCCTGGCCAAGTGCTGTATCTGCTCTGAATCTAGGTTTCCTTGTAATGGAAATGGGAGATGATTCTTCTTACTGGGCTGATGGCCACACTGTTATGATGCTTACATAGAAAAAAAGCACCATTTAAAATTTGAAATGTTATGAAAATGTGCCATGTTCCTGCACAGTGGAGAGGGCAGCAAGGCTGGCTCAGGCCCCAGAATATCCAAGTTCAAGCCTCGCTCTGCCAAATACCAGCCGTGTGACCTCAGGGAAATCCCCTCACTTCCCCCCGATTTCCCTCACCTTAACTGCAGCCAGTAATAGAACCCTACGCCACAGACCCCTTATGAGAATTAAAAAAGTTAATACACTTACGGTGCTGAGAGAGCCCCTGGGACCTGTCAGACCCCAAACCCTGTGCCAGGCACCATCCTCACTCCCTCTCCAAGAAGGTCCTGAAATAACAGGGGCCTGTCGGGTGCCACAGTTCTAGGTGGCCTTACTGTTCCCTTGATAAAGTGTCTCCCTGGGCTTCATGTTAATTAGTGACCTGTGGGCTTCCTACTTGCCACGGACTGAATGTTTGTACCCTCAAGATTCACACAGTGAAATCTTAACCCCCAAGGTGATGGCTTTGGGAGGTGACTAGGTTGAGAGGGTGGGGCTCCTGCAAATGGGATTAGCGCCGAGGGAGGCCCCTTGCTCCACGTGAGGACACATGAGAGGGTGTTATCTGTGAGCCAGGACACCATCATCCATAGATTCCACACCTGCTGCACCTTGATCACGGACTTGCAGCCTGCAGAACTGTGAGAAGGAAATGTCTGCTGACAAGGCTGCCCAGCCTATGGTATTGCATCCCTGCAGCCTCAGCTGAGACAGTGCTTACTGACCTGATTTTGTAAGATAAGCACAGCTGTTGGCAGAGAACACAGGGGCAACGAGGGGCAGCCATTGGTGGCTGGGAGCTCCCCCCGCCCTGTGCACACCCCAGTCTCACAGGCAGCCCAGCAGGCCACCCATGCCCACATCCCCCCAGCCAGGCCGCAGCGGCCGGCAGCAGGCGCTCAGGAAACAGTCATCACCCGAGGAAACACCTGAACAACCAGGACTTCCAGAGCAATTTCAAAAGTTCCTTCAACTAGAACAGTGCGTAACCAGCCAGGGGGCTGAGGCAGGGTGAACGTTTCCCACCAGCCGCACAGGCCAGAACCAGTAAATAAACAGGAAGAGTTTCCCACCAGCCGCACAGGCCAGGACAAGTAAATAAACAGGAGGAGTCTCCCACCAGCCGCACAGGCCAGGACTAGTAAATAAACAGGAAGAGTTTCCCACCAGCCGCACAGGCCAGGACTAGTAAATAAACAGGAAGAGTTTCCCACCAGCTGCACAGGTCAGGACAAGTAAATAAACAAGAAGAATTTCCCACCAGCCGCACAGGCCAGGACTAGTAAATAAACAGGAAGAGAAGGCACCGCTGCAGACTGAAACTTGGCTTCAAAAAATATTTTTGCAGACCTGAGAGGGAGGCCAGCAACATTCCATTTAAAGACGGAATTCGTTGGGAATGTCACTCGGCACTTTATTCGCACTTGAACTTCTCAGTGTCTTCTCGTGTTTCTAATGGGCTGCCTGTGTCCCTCTCTGCTTGCCAGCCCACCCCAGCCTGCTCTATTCAAAGCATTTTCAGGGCCCCGTGGACCTGAGGGCCGATGGCCATGAGTGAGGCCACGAGTGAGGCAGATCAGAAAGCACAGGTTCAGCAGGGGAGAAGCCAGATCTGTGGAGAAATCCCTCGCAGTGGGGGAAGCATGCAGGGCAGGCAGGGCCTGCAGAGCTTCCAGCCCCCTGTGAGGTCTTCATCGGCATGCAGACAGGACACCCAGGCCTCCCCAAGTGGCTCCCAGGGGAAACCTAGGCTCCTGCGATGCTTAGAGAACCAACAGGGGACTCAGGGAGCATTGAGGAAAGCCACCCAGGAGCTGCGCTTTCCAAAGCTGAGCACCAGTGAGCTGGGAGACACCCCGTTTCCCCTCAAATCCATTCTCAGGCTCGCTCTGCTGGATTCATGGCATCAAGGGATTAAGAGCTGCCATCCCGGTGTCAGCGGGGCAGTGTGGATGTGAAAAGCTTCCATCGAGAGAGGGGGCCGGGCGCCGTGGCTCACGCCTGTAATCCTACATGATGGGAGGCTGAGGCGGGTGGATTGCTTGAGGCCAGGAGTTTGTGACCAGCATGGCGGCCCATGCCTGCAGTCCCAGCTACCCCAGGGGGTGAAGCACTAGAACTGCTTGAACCCCGGAGGCAGAGATTGCAGTGAGCTGAGGTCACGCCACTGCACTCCAGCCTGGGCAAGAGTTAGACTCTGTCTTAAAAGAAAAAAAATAAAAAGAGATAGCTGGGAACCAGGTTGTAACTGTTTATTTCCAAAAACACATTTTTTTAATGAAAAATATTTGATTAGGGAAGTTTATATAGTAGAAAGAGCAAGGCTGTAAGTTGCAGCCCATGTTCTTATTTCAGATACCAATCGTTATAGAAAGACAGTGACCCGGGCTGTGAATACTAGAAACATTCAAACAGGGAGTTTTACTAATGCATTTTTTTCTGAGTCAAATATAACTTTAGGAATCACCCATCGTAGTCAATTAAACATTTTCGCTCCAATGCATAGAGTAAGAAAATGGTGTGGGCCGGCTTCAGGTGAGGCTCAGACAGCGAGAGGCTCCATGCAGCAATGGGACAGTGTCCTGCAGCCGCACCGATAGCGGGACATCAGCTCGGGGCAGCTTCTGTGGTTTGGTGGGTGCTATGGACTGAATTACGCACACCCCAAATCCATATTTGGTGCACCAGTCCAATAGGACTATAGTTTGGAGACGGCCTAGGAAGAAACAATCCAGGTTAAATGAGGTTTTGAGTGAACCCTAATTCAATAGGACTGGTGTCTTTGTAACAAGGGGAACAGATGCCAGGGCTCTCCCCTACTCATGCACAGAGGGGAGGCCCCGGCACACAGGGAGGAGGCCACAAGGAGGAGGCCACGCTGCAAGCTGGGAAGAGAGGCCTCAGGAGAAACCAACCAGGCTATGGGCCCCTTGTCCTCGACTGCCAGCCTCCAGAACTGCAAGAACATAAGTTCCTGTTGTTTGAGCCATTCTGGGATCATGGCCTGAGCTAGCACAGTGGCTGGGCACCATCTTGAGAGGCAGGATTACAGTTTTTCAGACATACTACACACAAGTTGAAGCAGCACAAACAGAATACCTCCAGCACTCAACAGGTGCTATCAAATGTCTTTGTTCTGAGCATTTACTCTTCACCATTTAAGATCACTACATTTAAAAATGGTCATTCTGGAGAGCAGCCAGGCCTGGTCTTCTAGGCGCACCTGCACCACCAACACGCCCCGTGTGCTCCTGCTCCCTGGCCTCCATGTTTGCCAGCCTCAAGAGCTGGCTTCGGGTGGTTCCTCACTCTCTTCAGGCACGAAGCTGGGGGAATCCACATTCAATTTGAAGAGCATAGAGAAAGACGTTTTTACTGAGCATAGTCATGTGTTCAGAGTCATGGGTCTGCTGTGCACCAGGCACTAGATCTGAGTGCCCTATGTTGTCTACACACCAGGCACCGTACTTGGTGCTAGCCACGTTGTCTGCCGTGGCCCTCACGAAGGAAGCTTTGATTATGCAGAGCCAGCCTGACGATGAGGAGGGCATCCACCCCGGCCTGTATGGGGAGCCAGAGAGCTGTCCAGATCTGCTGCTGCAGGGAAGCTGTGTTCCCACTCCCTTCTCTCCCACGAGCATCTGCTGTGGACAGGCTGCGGGGCATCTGAGTTACAAGCCCACTTCATGGCTGATGGGAGGGGAGTTTTTTTTTACGAGGTTTGAAGTCTATTCGCTGGTAAATGAGAGGGCTGGAAATTGAGGCCAGGTGTGAGGTCAACCCAACTCATGTGCCTAAGGGAGCAGAACCCAGGGGTCTTCAAAGGCAGGTGTCCCGCCCCTTGGGACAGTGCAATACCAGATTCCTCACTACTTCTACCTGGCAGCTTCCCCTGGAAGCAAGAGGAAGGCAAGGGGAATCTCAAATCCCTTGCGTGAATTTTTCATGAGCAGGTTGGGAAAAATATCTTAAGCACAGGAAGAGAATGAGCTTCTTGACTTGAATAAAGTTTGATTTTTGGAGGATCTGGCTCATTGATTCTGTGCTCTGTGGCCAAGAGGTAAACTGTAAAGCAGTTTAAATCTCGTTTCTTAACTTCGAAAAATGATTGCTTGTGATTACACGACGGGCAACCTTCCCTGCGATGATTCCTGCCAATCCCCCGTGCTCAGCAGAGATCTATTGTTTTGTCATCATGAACATCTCCTTCGTGTTTTTCTACCAGAAATATCACCAGCTCATACTGTCCACAAAAGTGGCCATCCTCTGCATCGGTAAGCTTAGGGATCCATGGAGAGGTTTGGCTTTTTTCAAACGAAGGCTTAGCGCCCAACCTGCAGTTCCTGGAAAGCACACTTTCTGACATGCCGCAAGGCAGTGAGGAAGGGATCACCTTGAGAATGTCGTTCCCCTTAGGTGTGCCACGCTCCGTCTCCTGAAAGACCGCATGCCCCTTTTCAGAGTCTAGCGCTTCTTAAGATATGGACAAAAAAAAAAAAAAAAAAAAAAAACCCACAAAAAAACCCTTCTAGGATCCAAGGTGAGAAATCTCTAAGTAACTATCTCTGCGTGGTTCCTAAAACCATTTCCGCCTCTCCACTGACGCACCCTCAAAGGCTCTTTCCCCTAAGACGAGATGCACTCAGACAGCCGCCTGGGTCCTTAGCTTTGCTTTTGTTTTTATGAAACTGTGTCCTGAAGCTGCTTTTTAATTCTTGAAAATGGATTTGGGGACAAAGGTTTTCCTTAGGCAGCTTGGAAAATACTAACTGACATGTATTTGTTAAAAAGCAAAAACAAAACAAAAAACCCCACAATGTTATATAGGGTAAGTGCCTATACTTGTAATTTTATGTAACCAATAGCAGCAAAAAAACTGTCAAATCCCAGAAAGCTTTACAGGTTAAGGTGTTAGAGTCCTTGGGGAGGGACACCTTTCAGTGACAAGAATGGAGGAAATAGAAAATAAAGAATAGAATCATCTTATCGGAGTCTCTTTAGCACTAAAAATCATATTCAAAGTTTAATCAATAGAGTTTGATATTGATTCTATTGATATCCCCACCCAAATCTCATCTTGTATGGTAACCCCCAAGTGTTTAGGGAGAGACCTGGCGGGAGGGGATTGGATCACGGAGGGAGGTCTCCCCCACACTGTTCCCATGATAGTGAGTTCTCAGGAGATCTGGTTTATATTATAAATGGTGTTTTTTTCTGTGCTCTCACATGCTCTCCCTCGCCTGCCGCCACGTAATATGGGCCTGCTTCTCCTTCCACCATGAATAAGTTTCCTGAGGCCTCCCCAGCCCTGCTGAACTGTGAGTCAGTTAAACCTCTTTCCTTTATAAATTACCCATTCTCAGGCAGTTCTTTATAGCAGTGTGAAAACGAACTTATACAAGTTTATTCAATTTGAAATCATGTTTTAGATTACATTGCTTACATTATTAATATGATTAATGTAAGTTCTATCATTAATTAATGCAAATTCCTGGCTATTACTAAAACTCAAAAAATAACACATGCTTACAAGGTGGCAGAAAAAAAGGAATTGCTTATACACTGTTGGTGGGAGTGTAAATTACTCAACCATTGTGGAAGACAGAGTGGTGATGCCTCAAAGACCTAAAAACAGAACTACCATTGCACCAAGCAATCCCATGACTGGGTATAAACCCAAAGGAATATACATCGTTCTACCACTAAGACACATGCACGTTCATTGCAGCACTATTCACAAGAGCAAAAACATGGAATCAACCTAAATGCCATCAATGGTAGACTGGATTAAGAAAATGTGGTACATGTATACCATGGAATACTATGCAGCCATAAAAAGAACAAGATCATGTCCTTGGCAGGAACACAGATGGAACTGGAGGCCATTATCCTCAGTGAACTAATGGAGAGAAAACAAATGCCACATGTTCTGTCTTATAAGTGGGAGCTAAATGATGAGAACTCATGGATGCATAAAGGGGACCAACATCCACAGGGGCCTGTGGGAGGTGGAGGGGGGAGGAGGGGGAGGAGTAGGAAAAGTAACTAATGGGTACTGGGCTTAATATCTGGATAAGGAAACAATTTGTATCACAAACCCCCATGACACACATTTACCTATGTAACAAACCTGCACTTGTACCACTGAACTTAAAAAAAAAAAGGGTTAATCAATTCCCAATACGGATTTTATGATTGTATAAAACAACTGAGTGATGTTCATTACAAATTAAATACTACTGTGTTATCTGAAATCCAAAAATCAAAGTCTGGTTTTAGATTACTCTTAATTCTATTGCTTACATTCATATGATTAATATTAATATGAATTCCTCACATTTGTGATGCTGGCTAAACTAGAATTTATGCTGTAATAAAATCTGAATAATATTTATTTTGACTTGGTGAGCAAAGTGTTTGTGTCCAGGCCCTTCTTAACTCCAAACCAGCTTTATAATTTGGTCAAAATAGTCACAGTTTCAGAAATCTATTTCTGATAAAGTTGGACTTAATTGTTTTCCAGAAGACATATCTATTACTTATCATTCTAAGTCCCTTCTAAAAGCAAAAAATATATATTTTTATTCATATATATTTCTCATGACTCCTATTAATGATCAATATAATTTTATGATAACTTCCTGGTTTTACAGAAAGATGAATTTATTTTTGATGATTTTCTAATCATAATCTTCTGCAGAGAGGTTGAAATGAACTGGAAACCCCCCACTTTCAGGAGCCTGCAAACCCCCAGGCATGGAAGTAAAGGAAAATTCCAAAGTTCTTTTCAGAAAAATGCCAGGTATCTGGCTGGCCCCAGGAGTGCTTAAGTAGCTTGTTAAGAAGGTAATCACCTAAAACAATAGCCAAGGAAGCTAATGCTCCAGAGATGTTTGCTTTCTTCTGGAAACTAAAGGAACGCCTGGAAACTGCCCTTGAACTGTCCTTCACAGGCTCTGACCCCGACTAAGGACCCCACCACACACAGACCCCAGATTAGGGGGAAGTGAAGACACAACTTCAAGGATTGCCCTTTGCTCTAAATTTCTCCCTGAGGGCCTTGGAGAAAGTAAGTCTTTCTAGCGAGTTAACATTTTTCTGTTGACCCCCAAATTTTTAAACAAAGCTTCTCTTCTTTAACCAGTTGCAAATGAGAAGATCTCTGAATCCATCTATGATCCATGAGCCCCAGCGACTGGGCGTCCTGCCCTTCTAAGCTTAAACCAATGTGTGGCCTCCATGGGTTGATTTATGATGTTGCCTGTAGCTTCTGCAACCCTACCTTTAAAAATCCTTGCTATAGCCATCAGGGAGGCCAGGATTAGAGCGGCAGCTGCCTGGTCTCCTTGCCCAGTGCTCTCCAGTAAACGCCTTCTTTACATCACTGCCAAAACTTCGGTGTGAGCATCTGGCTTTACTGTGTTGGGCGAGTGCATGCCAGCTCAGTTCTATATCAAGGTGTACACATATATGCTACAGTAAGTAAATGTTGCCAAGAAAAACTACCAGTGAGTTTTGTATTCACTGCTGCAGATCAGTCTTTTAATTATTTAGTTGATTCTTAACCTTGCACTCCTCTTTTAACCACCCAGGAAAGACAAGTAGCTTAACTGTAATATTACAGAAATTTGTACCTACCAGCTGGTTTTGCTAGTCCCTCACTAACCCATCTCCAGGCAATGCTTCAGGTAGTCTAGTTTTTATCTCAGGCTTTAACATAAACTGATTAACAGAAGAGATTTTGCAATAAAAATCACCAAAAACAAAATAAAGACTCTCTACAGGATTTAAAAGTCATCAAAAACATGGCTTTCTATTTCTACAAATTTATGTCTTTTAAATACGACAGTAGATTTTTACTCTCAAATAAGGTTGGCTTGTTGATTTTGCAATTAACACATATAATGAAAAACTGTCATTCATTAAGAGATCACAGCACTAACCTTTGTGCATTATCTGGGAACACACACACCATCTTATTCTAGTCTGTGCTGACAGTTAAATGCAACCTGTAATCTTTCACAGCTGGTCAAGCTTAAGACACCATCGATCCTCTCTAATTCATAACAGTCACACTTATGAAGATACAAACATTCTAATTAAGGTATCTGTCAATCAAATCCAGTAGAATGGAAGAATGACTCAGCATTGAAAAACGGGACCATTTCCAAGGAGGAAAAAATAACTCAGATGTCCCCAAAAAGCATAGAATTCAAAAGATATTCTGGATAAAACCCCTTCACAAGCTAGAAATACAGGAAATGTCTGTAACACAGCATATCTTACCAGAACCCCAAAGCAAACATCTCACCTAATGTGGAACAGCAGCCGCGTCCGGCAAACATCTCACCTAATGTGGAACAGCACCCATGTTCATTCTCATGAAAGTCACTGTATGGAGCAGGTGTTCGTGTCCCCCTAAATTCACACGGTGAAGCCCTAACCTCCAGTGGGACGGTAAGAGGAGGGTGTGGCCTTTGGGAAGTGATTCGGGTGGGATGAGGTTATGTGGGTGGTGGAGAACCCAAGGTGGGATGAGCCACTTATAAGACGTGAAGAGCCCAGAGCTCCCTCTCTCCCCTACATGAGCACAGAGTGAGAAAGCGCCTCCCGCAAGCCAGGGAGAAGGTTCCCACCAGGAACCCCACCTGCCGGCACGTGGATCTGGAGTATCCAGAACAGATACATGAAGGTGCTGTTTTCAGCCGCCCATCTATGGCAATGTGTTACAGCAGCCTGGGTGACTAAGCCAGTCACTCGTTTTTCCTGAAAGCAGGCACGTGCCCGGCACCCCTGACTCTGAGTGGCTACTAATGGGGCCCCTGAAACCTGGGAAAAGCAGCTGAAAGATCCAGAGAACCGTGTGAAGGTAGAATTACTGCTTTTCTTCTGTTATAAAATGAGTGCATTTTATATTTCCCAAAACATTAAAAAACAAACATGTTTTTTCTCAAAATTAAGGAAAATAATGCGCATCCTTCTAAAGAAAACTGAGTGGCATGAGGAAATGTGTACGGAGTAAGCTGTGCTCTGGGCAACAGTAGGACACAGCCAGGACCGGCCCCTCAGAGCCACCCTTCCCCTCATCAGGGAGGCCCGTCTCCGGTCTCTCAGCCCAGCCGCTGCCGAGCTAGGGGTCATGCTATGAAGAGAGGCCACCCTTCCCCTCATCAGGGAGGCCCATCTCCGGTCTCTCAGCCCAGCCGCTGCAGAGCTGGGGGCGTGCTGTGCCACACTTCCATTTTCCCGCAAAGATGACTGCACCAAACATCAGGCCTCTGGTGCGGTCTGTCTTGGGACGCCCTGCCTGGGAGGAAGAGGCTGGTTGCTGGTTGCTATGGTTACGAAGATGCTGCTGTGCAGCCTCTGGTCCGTGCCACGCTTTACAGCCTCCTGGTAAACACCCAGGGGGGTGTCTCCTTGTCGCCAGGGACCAGTTACAGTTGGGGTTCAGAAAACGCGGCATCTGCTTTTATCTAATGGGTGCATGAGTCACCTAATTGAGCCTCCATCCCTTTTTAGACACAAATTCCTGGCTTATCTCAAGCGTACGGCGGTTCATGCTGACAGGTCCCTTCTGCTCCTGGTTTATCTTGTTGATATTGTTTTACTTTGAATGTCAATCGTCATATCTGTGAGTTGCTTTTTATTACTTTTTTGAATAATAAATGAGAAAAAATAAATACACCCATACAATCACATCTATACCAAAAAACAGAACACTAAACTTCCCATCAATCCAAACATCTCCTTCTCCAAATAACAACTTTCAAATCTAAAGAGGCCAGAGTGCGTTTGTCAATAACGCACCTCACTTCTGGCAGATTAACTGAAGGTCCCTCTGCATCGGACACCACTCTTTGCATCATCTCATATAACTCGCGTGAAGTGTCTGACACGATCCCTTAACTCGCGTGAAGTGTCTGACACGATCCCTTAACCCACGTGAAGTGCCCGACATGATCCCTTAACTTGTGTGAAGTGCCCGACGTGAGCTACACGCGCAGGATCCCTTGACCATGATTAGAATTAGAACTGCCTGTCCTTACTCACTTTACAAATGTGCACCTGGGGTTACAAGGCTGAATGGATGCTGAATTCACAGTCAGCGTTCCCAGCCATGAATCCAGGCTTTACAAATGTGGTCCTGGGGGTCCAAGGCCCACGGTTGCTGACTGCAGAGTCAGCGCTCCCAGACATGAATCCAGGCTGCTCCTCAGTGGGCCTCTGCCACAAGGACTGATTCTTTCCTATCGTAAAACGTAGGATTCAGGTTAACATGTGAAAAGGTACAACGTGGGAGAATGGAACATGCCAGCACCAACTCGAACTGTATCCACAGTTACAAGAAAACTAAGCAAAAATGAAACCAAGACAGCAGGAGTCACCTACGAGGCAACACTGGCAAACTCAGGCTTCCCGCAAGGCTCGTGGGAGCAGGTGCCCCTCTCGAAATAATATCAACGTCTCCTCCCAGCATTTTACAAAACTTCATTAGGATTATAGCTGCAAATGTGAGTGATAAGACTTGCTTCAATTCCAGAAGAGTATAAAATCACTTTCAATTTTTAATCAGTTTTTACCTCTTTAAGTAAATTTTTTTTTTTTTTTTTGAGATGGAGTCTCACTCTGTCTCCCGGCTGGAGTGCAGTGGCGCAATCTCAGCTGGCTACAACCTCTGCCTCCCGGGTCCAAACAATTCCCCTGCCTCAGCCTCCCGAGCAGCTGGGAACACAGGCACGTGCCACCTTGCCTGGCTAATTTTTTATATTTACTAGAGACGGGTTTTCACCATGTTGGCCAGGATGGTCTCAAACTCCTGACCTTGTGATCCACCCACCTTGGCCTCCCACAGTGCTGGGATTACAGGTGTGAGCCACGGCACCTGGCCCTAAGTAAGATTTAAAATGTGATTCCAATGTCCATGTCTGTACACAAAAGCGACAGAGGACCATGAAGTGGAATTGTGAGTTTGTTTTGATTTCTTGTTACTGAAAACACATGACTATCAGTGGGCAAAGAATTGTAAGTTCCTGTGGGGAGCGTCAGCTTGCCAGTGTCCTGAGACACACACACCGGCCACCCTGCCTCATGGAGCTTCTGATGCTTCCATCCAGGTTAACTCATGCTGTACCTTCAGGGCTTATTTCCATCAGCCAAAAACTAGTAAAGAACAGACTTCCAACACTTTACAATGAGCTTTTAATCTCTTAACAGAGACTGATTTGCATGTTGGATATTTTAGGACCCTCATAAAAAGTCACTAAGTTCTATGCTTCAATATTTCTGACACACGCTCGTAAGTATATAAAATACCAAGTAGCTAAATCAATCTCATATCTCTTAACACCAGGGACAGGTTCTGGGAAACGTGTTGTTGGCCAATCTGGTCATGGTGGGAACATCAGAATGTGTTATACAAACCCGGCGATTGAGCCTGCCGCACACCCAGGCTGTGTGGTGCAGCTTGTTGCTTCTGGGCTACACACCCACACAGCATGTGACCGCGCTGAGTCCTGCAGGCAGCTGGAACACAGTGGCGAGGGTCTGTACATCTAAGCCCAGCTAAACATAGAAAAACTGCAGTAAGGACTGGGCTGTATAATTCCATGGGACCACTGTTCCCTGCAGGCCCTCACAGAACACAACACCGGGAGCAGGTCCTCACGGAACACAACACCGGGGGCAGGTCCTCACCGAACACAACACCAGGAGCAGGTCCTCATGGAACACAACACCGGGAGCAGGTCCTCACCGAACACAACACCGGGAGCAGGTCCTCACCGAACACAACATGGGGAGCAGGTCCTCACCGAACACAACACGGGGAGCAGGTCCTCACGGAACACAACACCGGGAGCAGGTCCTCACCGAACACAACACGGGGAGCAGGTCCTCACGGAACACAACACGGGGAGCAGGTCCTCATGGAACACAACACCGGGATATGGTGCACAACCGTATTGAAATGTGGGGCTGCTCTTTTCTAAAAAGGCAAACATGTAAACCTAAAAAGCCTGGTTTACTTTGTTTTACATTTAAATTGGGAAAATGAGAATCTATTTTAGAACATTTTGCGTGGCTTAATCATTATTTGAAAGATCCGGAATAGGAAAGTGCATCTTTAGACTCTTAGTTCAGACTCTTTATACCAAGCCTCGAATGACTAATCCACTTAACCCTTATGAGGCCACATCAAAACAACCTCCAGCCTTTCTACTTCACATCCAGTTACAACAGAACGGGCGTAGTTAACCGTCCTCCTCTGGGCCTTAGTGTTTTCTTGAAAGCTGCAGTTTCCAAGGTTTTCTGTTAATGCCGGAACACTCTCATCTCTCCCCTCCAGGGTTCTGCACAGGGACAGGGAAAGGAGGGGCCTGGGGCTGCCCTCAGGCTGTCCCCTCCTCTCAGTGCTTGGCCTCCAGGATGAGGCCACTTCAGCAATGTCCATCGGATGCAGGAGGGTCAGCCAAGTGGTCTGAATGCCACTGCCCCAAATGATGAGCCTGGGAGCCACAGCACCCTCCGGGGAAAAGCAACGCGAGGCTCTAACGTGGCCACGAAGGGGCCTCCACACACGAAGGGGCCTCCACACACGAAGGGACCTCTACACGTGAATGGGCCTCCATATGCAGGGCCACCAGACCTGGGGCCCATGGCTCTCAGCCTGCCCGTTCCATGACCCCTCATGGTGGCTGTAGCACTCAGGAAGAGAATGGGGGTTCACCCGACCTGGAGTCACCCCAATGAGCCCAGCTACAAAAATCTTCAATTCCTCAAAGTGTGGCCACAGCAACCCTGCAAGAGGCGGCTCCAGGAACACAAGCAGAAGGACCGTTTAAGAGCTGGGTTGGGGACAGGGTGGGGTCCCTCATGAGCTCCAGGAACACAAGCAGAAGGACCGTTTAAGAGCTGTGCTGGGACAGGGTGGGGGTCCCTCATGAGCTCCAGGAACACAAGCAGATGGACCGTTTAAGAGCTGGGCTGGGGACAGGGTGGGCATCCCTCATGAGCTCCAGGAACACAAGCAGAAGGACAGTTTAAGAGCTGGGCTGGGGACAAGGTTGGGGGTCCCTCATAAGGCCGGCACAAGCGAGGGCCCTGCCTCAGGAGGAGCTGGCTGGAGGGCAGTCCCGTTTCCCCAGGGACAATCCAGTGAGGCCCCTCATCTGCACCACAATGGGGTGGTGCCTTCCAGAGCCCGTGGGAGTCTCCAGACCCACGTCTGGTCTCCTGGACCCCTCAAGAGTCTCTGCACATCTTTCCTTCCAGAGACAACAAATGTTCTTTCCAAAAGACATTCTGACTAACATGACCCTGAGACTCTTAATCAAAGCCCTCAGCAGCAGAGCACCGCCCACAGCGGGAGTCTAAGCCTCTGATCACCCCGAGACCCTACTGAAAGCCCTCAGCAGCACAGCACCTCCCACAGCAGGAGTCTAAGCCTCTGATCTCACCACCAGGATCTCCCAGCCTGATCTCTGCCTGCCTCCTGTCCACGCACAGCACGATGAGAGATCCCAGCCCCTCACCTGCCTTGCCTCCCTCCTCATCTGCCTGTGTCTCTTCTCTCCCCTGCCTCCCTCCTCATCTGCCTGTGTCTCTTCTCTCCCCTGCCTCCCTCCTCATCTGCCTGTGTCTCTTCTCTCCCCTGCCTCCCTCCTCATCTGCCTGTGTCTCTTCTTCTCTGTTCTGTTTCTGGCTACATGGAAATATATTTTTATATATGGAGGAAGCTTTCAAGGACCTACCTACTTAAAAAAATCAACCTATTTTTGAGAATAAAGGGTACAGGGCTGTGAAAATCCATGGCTCTGCCAAAGCCTCGCAGGTGGAGCAGGTGGCCCATCTGCATAAATGCAGAATCCACGGCACCACTGCCTCACGTATTCACCGCAGGGGCCATCAGACACTGGGATTTTAGTCATTGATTTCCCGCGTGTTCGAAGACATGTGGGAGAAGACCATGGCAGGGGATACACAAACAGTTTTACAAATTATCAACTTCCAGAGCCGGAAGTGTCCATGGAGATGAATGTGTTATTTACAGGAAAGGGCGGATGGGGCGCCAGGGATTCTCAATGCCAATGCCAAGCTCGCTGGGTCCTTCTTCAACTCCCACAGTCCTCCCTGCCTTTCTGCCTCCCCGCATTTCCACCTCCCCACCACCTCAGCCCCACTAACTCCAGGCTTAAGAGCCTAGCTGTAGAGCGGCCTTCCCGCCTCTGCAATGTTTTGCTTTCAAATTCCCAAACACTGGTTTCAGTAACTTATACACAAGACAACGTAAAACCTTGCGAGTCTGAAATGCACAAATAAATCAAAGCTCATTAGTAAGAAAACATCCATTTGTGATGGGTATTTTTATGTTATTTATCTAATAAAACATAAAAACATAAATCACCTGGCTTTCATAATGTTAGATTTGAATCAGATTAGATCGCAAGAAGAAATAGCCCCTATTTTTAAGAGTTGAGTTGTTTTCATCTGCATGATATAATTCAAAATAAGTGGTTATATGGCATTCAAACACAATCTAGGAATATTTATTATAAATATAGTACCTACAATTGGTTGAAAAACAAGCATCACGCTATCATAGGAAATTCCATTTCACATAATGAAAGAAACTCATTTTTTTCCATAAAAAAAATTTGATCAAGATCCAGGTATTTGTCCGGGATGCAGTAGAATTTCGATTCCAAAGCTCTAACCATAACGTTCTGGAGGCTGGAAGTACCAGGTGGACAATGACAATGAAATATCTTACAGGGAGATTTTTACAACCCTGACGGTGTAACAGATTATGTGTGGAGGAAGCTGTAAGTATCTCATTTTGTCAATGCAAGGCCATGCATCCTAGCGGGGAAATATTTAAAGTCAATCTTGGGAAAATGGTCCGAGTCTGCCAGAGAAGGCAGAGGTCTTATGGAATGCAAAGACATGACAGGATTCAAAGAACTAGAAATACAGACCCTGAACGAGGAGGTGCTGGACAGTCAGAGACGAGGGAGACGATGCTTCCTCCGTGTGGGGGCAGAGCAGGTGCTGGACAGTCAGCGATGAGGGGGACGATGCCTCCTCGGTATAGGGGCAGAGCCTTCTGAGGGCAGCCTCAGCAACTGGAATGGGAATCATGCCTGAAACCCAGAGCCTGGGGTTCCGGGCCCCACTCAGCCATCCTGCAGACTGGCTTCTACCCACTAAAACGAGATGATTTGATGGGAAAAATGAAAACACCACACGGGGGCTGTGTGTGGCATTTCAGATGACAGCAATGACACTGATGGTTATTATCTGTATTTCAAAAGATAGTGAAAATCATATGTTTGCTTAGGATCAAAAACACAGATTAGCTAAAATGCAGGTTTCCTGTTTTCAGCTGCTTGGCTTTCTTAAGCAGCTTAGTGCAGGAACACAGCTAGATTATAAAATGGTGAGAATATTCAATTCACAATTACATATCATGAATGGTAGAAAACAAACAGAAAAGTATATTTGATGAGTAATAAAAATAGAAACATAGGAAAACATTAGCCAAGTCATGGTGGCTAAATGTAGCTTACTTAAGTGGCCCAGCTTCTCAAACATACAGTCTGAGGAGAAGCCCTTGGCAGCAACGTTCTGGGCCCTGGACTCAGCTCTGAGGTCCCTGAGAGAGGAGTCTGGGCCACAGGTAACCCTTCTGGAAGTGGAAACCCTTCTGGAAGCAGAAACCCTGGAGCCGCTTCCAGGCTCTTCTCTTTGGCGAGTTCCTTAGCCCATGGTCCTCTCCCTGCTGACTCAGTTTCTGTCTTCAGAATGGAAACCAAGGACTATGTTCTATGTATGCTATGAGAATTGAATCAGTCAATACACAGACAGCATTTAGATTAGCACCTGACATTTTTATTGGCGTTAAACTCTGGGGAAACGATATGCATGAGAAACATTCACGGTGCCAGGACAGTGCTGTTTGGTCTGCATACAGGGAAAATGAAGGGCTGAATTTTTTTTAAGAATACCACGCTCTCACTTCCTCCAAAAACAGGCAAGGAAAAGAAGGTCACTGCCTGCTCTGGGGAGCAACCTGAATGCATGCTGTCAATTAGACCATGTTCTTTGTTTCAGAAGAAAGAAAATTCTTCTGAAAAATAAAATAATTTTTAGGCAAACAGGAAAGAATACTGAGGAAAAGGTGAGGTTAATCCTTGACATTATTAATTAATATTGAAAAATGTACAAAGTGCTGAAGTTTTATTCCTAAAGGGAGTCAGGAAGGTGGTGAGAGAAAGGCAGGGAGAGACACCTAGGAACTGGAGGAGGAGAAAAAGAGGTTGTACATAGAGAAAAAAAGAGAAAAAGAGGTTGTGCATAGAACTATTTCTTTTTTTCCCTTAGGAATAAAGGAAAGATAAATTACACATTATTTGAATGGCCTTCTCAGGTTTATAATGTATCACTTTTCCAGGTTTTAGACCAAACATCTGACACTGTAATGATTTTTCCTTTTAGAGTCTCCAAAGCTAACAGGCATCTTTCCATGATATGTGTGCTTGGAAAATACTATGAGGAACCTCCTTGTTTACTGGAAAACAATGGGCATGGACTCACTAGGTCCTGGTGTCTCATTCTGACCGGGTGGAGGCTGTACCTACTAAGCCTCAGGTGTTACTTGAGCAAATTTAAATATTATCACCCGCCTCATGGGAACTGAGAAGTGAAACATAAAAGAACCACCATGTGAGTTTATAGTAATAAAAAACATTTTTCATTATTCTTTGCTTTACATTTTAGAATGCAAAAGCCATTAGTAACTAAAATTTCTATAAAAGTTGATTAATGGGGAAGCCTTTTGGTTCATAATTCACAAAATTGTCAAAGGCGATCATTCCAAGCTTCTGAGCGAAACTTATTCTCTGAAATGTGAGATATTTTGACAGAAAGATTTGCATAGTTATTTTCAAATACATTTGAATATTTAGTGCCCCCAACCCAGTTTGTATAAAAGATTTGAAGGCATAGAATTATGCTGAGTTTAACTGTATCTCCTGATCACCCTCTATCTGGCGGACCTAAGCCAAAGCTCCTGTTGTGTGAGGTTCTTAAGAGCTGGTATCACACTCTTCCCAGAGCTCCTATGATTCCATTTAGAGCCTAACAAATCTTCACCATCAAATACGAGGGGAGCTACTGGTCAGGAGAAATGAGAGAAATGGTATTTTCAAGACTGAATCAAACTTAAAAAGACAGCTTCCAGAAAAGAAAAAAAAAAGAAAAAAGAAGATGAAGGGAGGGAGGAAATGAGAGGGAAAGAGGGAGGAAGAAAGGGAGTATAGCTTCTACTTTATCAACTAAAAAATAATTCTTCAAAGAGAAGTATCAGTTCTACCTTGTTATAAAAACCAATATGTATTTTTGAGAGACCTACACATAGTAAGCAGGAAAAATGTACATAAATCACCAAAGGGAAACAAGTTTACTATGACAAAACAGTTTATGATAAAAGAAAAAGGATTTTCTTAAATGCGATTCAACCTATTGTGGGATCAAAAATGTGATCTTTCTCTACGTTCCCCTCAGCTCTGGATGGCAGTAACAGAGCTCCCAGGAATCCTCCTCAGCTGCACATTTAAACAGCCCATTGGTAAAGATCAGCCCATCCTAGGGAAAGCCATTTAGAATCTCATGTGTCACCAGTGACTCAGAGGTTCTTTCAGTCCTGACCAGAGGATCCAACTGGCAAAACCTGTGCGTGTCATGAAAACTCTGTCTCCATGGACAGAAGAGGAGAAACAGGGTCACCCAGTGATGTCCCATTTCATTCTTCCATGAAATGAGAGTCTGCTGTGGAACCGAATGATCCCTAAAGCCATAAACAAGACCGGAACCTGATGGTAACCGTAGTAACACCAGTCCACATCTGGCTCAAAGTTCACCTAAGGGAGTGCAATCTCTGGCTCAATGGCTTGGGGCATTACCACGAGGGGCAAATGCACTCAATCCCTAGGAAGGTCTGTCTCCCATTAAATGAAATTCTGTATGGGTTGGGGCAACACCATGAGAAAGAAGCACTCAATACCTAGGAGGGTCTGTCTCCCATTAAATGAAATTCTGAGCAAATGGCCAAAATAGGACAGATGCTCATGGATGCTAAAGGAACAAGGATAGAAGGTTATAAGTTCTGAAGAGACAAGGATGTGTTGTCATGAATTCTAAAGGAATGAGGATGAGAGGCCACGGGTTCTAAGGAGACAAGGATGGGTGGTCATGGGTTCAGGAAAGATGAAGACGGGTGGTTGTGGGTTCTAAAGGGACAAGGATGGGTGGTCATGGGTTCAGGAAAGATGAGGTTGGGTGGTCAGGGGTTCTGAAGACATGAGGATGGGTGATCAGGGGTTCTGAAGGGATGAAGATGGGTAGTCATGGGTTCTGAAGGAAAGAGGATGGGAGGTCATGGGTTCTAATGGGAAGAAGATGGGTGGTCATGAGTTCTGAAGGAACAAGGATAGGTGGTAATGGATTCTGGAGGAACAAGGATGGGAGGTCATGGGTTCTAGAGAGATGAGGATGGGAGGTCATGTGTTCTGAAGGGATGAGGATGGGTGGTCAGGGGTTCTGAAGGGAAGAGGATGGGTGGTCAGGGTTTCTAAAGGGATAAGGATGGCAGGTCATGGGTTCTAACTGGGCGAGGATGGGTGGTCATGGGTTCTGAAGGGACGAGGATGGGTGGCCATGGCTTCTAACTGGACGAGGATGGGAGGTCATGGGTTCTGAAGGGACGAGGATGGGTGTTCATGGGTTCTAACTGGACAAGGATGGGAGGTCATGGGTTCCAAAGGGGAGGACGGGTGGTCATGGGATCTAACTGGATGAGGATGGGTGGTCATGGCTTCTAACTGGACGAGGATGGGAGGTCATGGGGTCTGAAGGAATGAGGATGGGTGATCAGGGGTTCTAAAGGGATAAGGATGGGAGGTCATGGGTTCTGAAGGGACAAGGATGCGTGGCCAGGGGTTCTAAAGGGATAAGGATGGGAGGTCTTGGGTTCTGAAGGGACGAGGATGGGTGGTCAGGGTTTCTAAAGGGATAAGGATGGCAGGTCATGGGTTCTAACTGGATGAGGATGGGAGGTCATGGGATCTGAAGGAATGACGATGGGTGGTCACGGGTTCTGAAGGGACAAGGATGGGTGGTCATGGGTTCTAACTGGACGAGGATGGGAGACGAGGGGTTCTGAAGGGACTAGGATGGGACTAGAATGACTAGTTTCTAAATAAATTAGGATGGGTGTTCATGGGTTCTGCAAAGTCTAGAATGGGCGGTAACGGATTCTAAAGATACCAGGATAGGCATCATGGCATCCAAAGGACTAGGGTTTATAGTCATGAGTTCTGAAGGAATGAGGATGGGTGGTCATGGGTCCTAATGGGCAAGGATGGGTGGTCATGGGTCCTAATGGACAAGGATGGGTGGTCATCGGTTCTGAGGGGATGAAGATGGGCAGCTGGGTAGCTGTGGGTTCCGAAGGATGGGTGGCTGTGGGCTATGAAAGTAGCAGAAAGGTGGTTATGGTTTCTGAAGGGTCTAGAATGGACAGTCATGGATTCTTAAGATACCAGCATAGCTGTCATGGTATCTGAAGGACTAGGGTTAGTGTTCACAAATTCTGAAGGGGTGCCCCTTCGTATTGTTCTCATTCGGACGCATGTTGGCTGGAACGAAGATGCCTAATGAGTGTGATTTGAGCTTCTCAGGCCTTGGCCCTGACTGCTGCTTGACCCCTCCGTGTCTGGGTGTGAGCCACAGAAGCAGCTGCATGGAGGATGGCTCTCTTCCTCCTCCCATAAATGAAGGGGCTGAACCCTTAGCCTAACTCTCAGTAGGGTTACGTCCACAGACCCAACGGTGGTGAAATGGGACCTGCAAAGATGTTTGAATTTCCAACTTAGCTAAGATGTAGTAGGGATTTTCCTGTTTTTGTTATAAGTTGCTGCCTGACACAGGGTTTTGCCAGCAGACTCATTTTTCAGCCCAGCCCTAAAAGTGCTGAGTCCCACTTTTCATCTTAGCCATTTCCTATAGCAGCCTTCCAGAAAGGGTCTTCCCAACTACAAGGAAACCTTTCTAGTGAGAAGTCCCTAAAGCAGAATAAGCTAGGGTGCTGGACCCCATTCACTGTATTTTATTTAAAATCATGGTGCCAACCACTCTCCTAAGTCAAGGTAGGGTCAACTGTGACTCTCACAACTTGTACCAACTCTAGAGGCAGCTGTGGTCCAACTTCAAGGTGAAATTCCCCATTGGATATAAAAAGTTTGACAGTCCCTGGGGATACTTAAATTCAAAGTTGAGTGGCGAAGCCTCTCACACATGCCATCACTTGAAGCTCAGCTGTTCACATGAGGAAACAGCGTGTGTGCTGTGGTGGGACCAGTTCCAGGCACGGCACCCAGAAGCCTCAGGCTGCTCAGCATCTCTCAGCTACTGCCCCTGCTACCCCGATCTGCTGAAGAAGAGCAGCAGGGCTGAACTGCGAGAAGCAATGGGCCTTGTGCTCATTTATGAACTGATGAGTACAGAAGTTAAGCAATGTTCTTGGTGTCATGGAATAAAACCAGCACTCACATGACGCACTGCAGTAGATGCACAGTCAGCCTCCCATGTAAGAGCATGGGGAGGCAACTGGAGCTTCTTTCTAGCTAAACACGCTGGACACTAAAATATTTTGCAGATGAATTAACAAGCTTATATTATGTCAAAGGCTGAAATAAAAGTAGTCCTACAAAAGATTCCAAACCTACTTAAAATTTACGTCTTATTCTGCAAATTGCATGCCTTAAGTGCGGGAAGGATGTGGCATTTATGCCATCTCAGTGCAAAATAATATGGGCCAAACTGCAAATCAGTACTTAAATGGGAAAAAATCACTTATCAATTGAAAATAGAATCGGTTATAAAGTAGTAGGAAAATAGTTAATGGTAAAGTTGTCTATTAAGTATTTATATGAAGTAATTATACAGTCACTTGAATGGTTCTCCACAGTTATGCTTAAATAAAATGATATTGAACATCAAACGATAAATTATTCTATGTAAGCATAATGCTATGTCTCACAAAATAACACTCACCTAGTCCCATAAATTTAAACTTAACTATAGGTGTTGGTGTCATTTCGAGGAAACAAATTATTTTGAAAAATTGTATCATTCCAGGAAGTACAGCCATGAAGAACTCACCCAAGGTCGTTTTCCATCATTTAATTTAGTTCAGATTCAAAAACGGTCCCACCACATAGTACATGTATATTTATCTCCAAGTTCTTTCGGTCCTCATAGCAGAGTGTCATGATCTTGAAGGTTGCTCTAAGCACTGACAAAATGCCCTCAGTACAGGGGCCGTCTGCAGTTCCTCCTAGACTTCTGTTTGGGAGGCAGAATTCCATTTCTACTGATTAAAAAGAAAGCAGCAGCAGCAGCAGCAGCCCCATTCATTTCTATTCGCACAGTTTAGCTTCTTTTCCTGATGCTGCTTTTGGATTATAATGAAGACATTTGTCCCAGTGCAGAAGTTTTGCCCTGAAAATAAATTAGGCTTTTCTTGGCAGCTAAAATGAGCACTTTACACCAGGTGGGCTCTTTTCACTGTCCTCAGTCACGTAAGGAACTGAACAAAGACAATGTAATGCAGTTTCGAAAGTTTCTCAGTCTCTGCTCACACACTACGGGGTCAAGAGCTGCAGATGCTGGAATCAGCACCAGAGTGAAGCTGAAGAAGTTCCCCCGAGCTCACATCCTACTTACATAAGGGACTTCAGAATCTCCAGACATGGCCTATTTAAAGTGTAATGAATGCATTTTAGAAAAAGCCATTAAAGCACTTTCTGAACTGCGGTTAATTTCCCCACTCCGCCCGCTCCTCTGTCAACTGACATGCAATGCTTTTGGGAGCTGAGGTACAGCATTCAGGTCAAAACCACTTAAGACCAAATGAATCTATACAACTTTTGAAAGCATATCAATATTAACGAATTTGCTTTATAATTTCATTGGAACTATTCCATCTGGAAAACGGTATCTACTCATTAACTTTTATTTTAAAATGCTTTTTCCATGTTTGAATTGCTGATACTTTTGTCTGATTTTCTTAAAGGAAAAAAAAAAACTTTCAAAAGCCTAACTGTGAACCAGTGCTGCCCACTGTGAAAGGGGGAGGCTCTGAGCCCAAGTGAGTGTCAAGAATGCGCAGGTGATTCTGTGTGCCTGCTCTCCTGGGGGAGCCCCCTGGGGGTGTCTTACAAAGAGTCCTGGTCTGGAGAACAGCCGCCTCCCCCTCCTCTCTACTGCCCTCCCCTCACTCCGGCAACCACAGGGTAAGAATGAAAAGGCCATCTCAGTTCAGACTTGCTCTACTCAGCGTCCATCCCACCCTCAGTCCTGATTTCTAAGCATCTTCCCACCATGAGCCTGTTTCTTCTCTCTGAATCTGACGGTCAGGAATGAAAAGGCCGTCTTGGTTCAGGCTTGTCCTACACAGCGTCCACCCCACCCTCAGTCCTCATTTCTAAGCATCTTCCCACCGTGAGCCTGTTTCTTCTCTGTGAATCTGACACTTGATCACCCATAACCCACTACACATTTCTAACCTTTGGCTTCAATTTCTTGGCTCAAAGAAGACCGTGCATCGTCACCGCATCCCCAGCGTGGCGTCCCCAGTGTGGCACCTCTGAGTGGTGGGATCTGTCTGCACACCTGCCCAGGGTTGTGCCATCAGCCTCAGAGAGGGCACAGCCCCGAGGCACTAGCTCGGCACTGTGCTTTGTCCACAGGCTCACCTCAAGAAGACAGGTCAAACAGACGGTGTTGGGTTTTCCAAGACAGGTCAAAGAGACGGTGTTGGGTTTTCCAAAACCTCTTCTTGATGCTGGGTCCCAAGGAGATGAAATTGCTGTAGCAAATTTTAAAAACCCATAAAGCTTTGGGATCCTGCAGAGAAGCACAGGGTTCATCTGAGGACTGCACATCGGGTTTATTTTTCAGCTTTCTTTTGGCAGAAGCGATCCTGGGATCTCCCTTCCGCAGAGGAAGCCAGTAGCTGTTGGCTGCGGAAGAGGTTTTGCTTTGGTTTCTGTCTTCCCATCAACTGTGTTCAGACTCAGAGTCAACTAATTTTTATTCAGTTCTTCGTGTTCCAGATACAGTAATGAATATTCTCTTTTTTTTTCTCTTTTTTTTGAGACAGGGTTTTGCCCTGTCACCTAGGCTGGAGTGCAGTGGCACAATCACAGCTCACTGTAGCCTTGACCTCCTGAACTCAGGCAATCCTTCCACCTCTGAGAGCCTCCTGAGTTAGCTGGGACTACAGGCATGCCACCACGTGTGGCTAACTGTTTTTATTTTTTTGTAGAGATGGGGTTTTGCCAAGTTGCCCAGGCTGGTCTCAAATGCCTGGGGTCAGGCAATTCACTCACATTGGCCTCCCTAAGTGCAGGGATTGTAATTACTGGATATTTTCAAATATATTATCTGCCCCATTCTCAATGTGAGGTGAATATTGTCACCCCCACTTTACAGATAAAGAAACTGAAGAAATAAGAAAACCCTCAATGCCTCTTGTAAGGTTATCTAGCACCAAATTGTAGAATTTAAATCCAAACCCAGGTTTTCTGACCCCAAGTCTTCCGGGCATCAACCGCTCACTCTTCGTCCAGGCTGTGGCTGAGACACAGCTGGTGCTTTGGAGGGTGGTCGGTAACCCTTAGTCACTTGACAATACAGAAAACCCAAGAGCATGTCAGGACCCAGATGAACGGGGAGGGCCTGCTCCCTTCTCACACGGAAGGCCAGTGCGGGTGTCCCCAGCTGACGCCTGCGCACCCCATGGGGATGGGATTGCGTACCGCATCAAGGCCAAGATCTCCAAAACCACAGACACCCACCAGGCCCACACCCCCAGCTTTCCAAGAACCCCTGGAAAGTCCTCCCAAGTGACTGTCACTGGCCACGTCTGACGGAGTGAATGGCTCCCACGGTGCTGTCTGCTGGGATCGTTTCCTGGGCACTGATGTCTATGAGTGATGCTCTCATGCCTTCTAGAAGATTCCAGGCCCATTATGTCCCATCACTGAGCAAAGGACAACAACGTTCCATACACCTGGCACAGTCCCCTGTGTGTGGCAGGGATAAATGACTGACTAGAAGAAGAGCCCAAATGAGATCATCTCAACAAATTCGAAAACTGTCATTTGTGCCTTAAAATGAGTGTGGCTGACCGCTGATGTGAATTCTCATGCCAAAGCACCAGCTGTAACTCTACATAGCCAGTGGTCTCAGCACTGGGGATCCCTGGCAGCACAGACACTTCACAGCTACACCTCCGTCCTCTGAATTGTTTGATTTTACCACTGCCTACAAGAAGGATCCCTAAAGATGCCACCACTGTATTTAGATCATTTAAATTTCTACAGCATCTATGGTGTGGTAGGCACTGTCTTAGGCACTTTACATACACAAACTCAGAATCTTCACAATATTTTTATAAAGTAGTTATTACTACTCCAATTTTCAGATGAAAAGTTATTCCCCGTGGTTAAGAAACATGCCCAGTAAAGGGTTCAATTCAACAAGAAGGCCTAACTATTCTAAATATATATGCATCCAACACAGGAGCACCCAGATTCATAAAGCAGGGCTTAGAGACCTTCAAAGAGAAAAAGACTCCCACACAATAATAGTGGAAGACGTCAACATTCCACTGACAGTGTTAGACAGATCACTGAGAGAGAATTAATGAAGATATTCAGGATCTGAACTCCACATTGGACCAAATGCATATGACAGACCTCTATAGAACACTCTACCCCAAAACAACAGAATGCACATTCTTCTTATTGCCACATGGCACACACTCTAAAACAGACCACATAATTGAACATAATCCTCAGGCAAATGCTAAAGAACTGAAACCATGCCAAATACAATCTTGGACCACAGCACAATAAAAGTAGAAGTTAAGACTCAGAAAATCACTCAAAACCATGAAATTACATGGAAATTACACAACATCCTCCTGAATGACTTTGGGTAAATAATGAAATTAAGGCAGAAATCAAGAAGTTCTTTGAAACTGATAAGAACAAAGAAAGAACATACCAGAATCTCTGGGACACAGCTAAGGCAGTGTTAACAGGAAAATTCGTAGCACTAAATGCCACATCAAAAAGTTGGAAAGATCTCAAATTAACTACCTAACATCACAATTAAAAGAATTGGAGAAGCAAGAACAAATCAACTCCAAAGCTAGCAGAAGACAAGAAATAACCAAAATCAGAGCTGAAGAAAATCAAGACACGAAAAACCATTGAAAAAAATCAATGAATCTAGGAGTTCATTTTTTGAAAAAAAAAATTAGTAAGATAGGCTGCTAGCTGGAATAATAAAGAAGAAAAGAGAGGAGGCCCAAATAAATACAATTAGAAATGACAAAGAGAATGTTACCACTGACCCCACAGAAATAAAAATAACCACCAAAAACTACTATGAACACCTCTATGCACACAATCTAGAAAACCTAGAAGAGATGGATAAATTCCTGGACACTTACACCCTCCCAAGACTGAACCAGGAAGAAGCTGATTCCTTGAGCAGACCAATAACAAGCTCTGAAATTGAATCAGTAATGAATAGTTTATCAACCAAAAAAAAGCCCAGGACAGATGAATTTACAGCTGAACTCTACCAGATGTATAAAGCAGAGCTGGTACTATTTCTACTGAACCTATTAAAAAAAACTGAAAAGGAGGGACTCCTCCCCAACTCATTCTATGAGGCCAGCGTCATCCTAATACCAAAACCTGGCAGAGACACAACAAAAAAAGAAAACTTCAGGCCAATATCCTTGATGAACATCGATGAAAAAAATCCTCAGCAAAATTCTTGCAAACCAAATCCAACAGCATATCAAAAAGCTAATCCACCACAATCAAGTAGGCTTCATCTCCTGGATGCAAGGTTGGTTCAACATACACAAATCAATCAATGTGATTCATCACATAAACAGAACTAAAGACAAAAACCATATGATTGTCTCAATAGATGCAGAAAAGGCTTTTAATAAAATCCAATACCTCTTCATGTTAAAAATTCTCAATATACTAGGTATTGAAGGAACATACCTCAAAATATTAAGAGCCATCTATGACATCCCCACAGCCAGCATCATACTGCATAGGTAAAAGCTGGAAGAATTCCCCTTGAAAACTAGCACAAGACAAGGACGCCGACTCTCACTAGTCCCATTCAACATAGTATTGGAAGTTCTGGCCAGGGCAATCAGGCAATAGAAAAAATAAAGGGCATCCAAGCAGAAAGAGAGGAAGTCAAAGTACCCCTGTTTGTAGATGACAAGATTCTATATCTAGAAAACCCCAGTCTTGGCTCAAAAGCTCTCTCAGCTGATAAACAACTTAACCAGAGTTGCAGGATACAAAATCAATGTACAAAAATCACTAGCATTCTTACACACCAAAAACAGCCAAGCTGAGAGCTAAATCAGGAAGGTAATTACATTCACAACTGCCACAAAAAGAATAAAATACCTAGGAATGCAGCTGACAAGGGAGGTTAAAGATCTCTTCAATGAGAATTACCAAATGCTCCTCAAAGAAATCTGAGAATGCACAAATGGAAAAATATTCCAGGCTCATGGATAGAAAGCATCAACTTAATTAAAATGGCCATACTGCCCAAAGCAATTTATAGATTCATTGCTATTCCTATCAAAATACCAATGACACTCTTTACAGAACTAGAAAAAAACTATTGTAAAATTCATATGGAACCAAAAAAAAGCCCAAATATCCAAGGCCATCATAAGCAAAAAGAACAAAGCTGGAGGCATCATATTATCCAACTTTGAATGATACTACAGGGCTACAGTAACAAACAGCATGACAGTGGTACAAAAACAGACACACAGACCAATGGAACCGAATAGACAGCCCAAAAATAAGGTTACACACCTGCAACCATCTGATCTTAGACAAAGCTGACAAAAATAATTAATGGGGAAAAGACTCCCTAGTCAACAAAGGGTGCTGGGATAACCGGCTAGTCATACGTAGAAGATTGAAGCTGGACCCCTTCCTTATGCCATGTACAAAAAGCAACTCTAGATGGATTAAAGACTTAAATGTAAAACCCAAAATTATAAAAACCCTGGGAGACAACCTAGGCAATATCATCCTGAATGAGCAAAGATTTCATGATTCATGCAATTTCTGCAACAAAAGGGGAAATTGACAAATGGGATCCAATTAAACTTAAGAACCTCTGTAGAGCAAAAGAAACTATCATCAGAGCGAACAGACAAACTACTAGAATGGGAGAAAATATTTGCAAACTACGCATCTGACAAAGGTCTCATATCCAGTATCTATAAGGAACTTAAACAAATTTACAAGAGAAAAACAACCCTATTAAAAAGTGGGCAAAGGACGCCCGGGCGCGGTGGCTCACGCCTGCAATCCCAGCACTTTGTAAGGCTGAGGCAGGTGAATCATGAGGTGAGGAGATCGAGACCATCCTGGCTAACATGGTGAAACCATGTCTCTAATAAAAATACAAAAAATTAGCCGGGTGTAGTGGTGGATGCCTGTAGTCCCAGCTAATCGGGAGGCTGAGTCAGGAGTATGGCATGAACCGGGGAGGCGGAGCTTGCAGTGAGCCAAGATCACACCACTGCACTTCAGCCTGGGCAACAGAGCAAAACTCTGTCTCAAAAAAAAAAAAAAAAAAAAATGGGCAAAGGACATGAACACACTTTTTAAAAGAAGACATACATGTGGCCAAGAAGCATATGAAAAAACTTAAATATCATTTATCATTAGAGAAATGCAAAGCAAAACCCCAATGAGATATCATCACACACCAGTCAGAATGGCCATCATTAAAAAGTCAAAAAATAACGGATGCTGGTGAGGTTGTGGAGAAAAAGGAACACTTATACACTGTCGGTGGGAGTGTAAAGTAGTTCAACCCCTGTGGAAAGCAGTGTGTGGTGATTCCTCAAAGAGTTACAAGCAGAACTGCCATTCAACCCAGCAATTCTATTAGCGGGTATATATCCAGAGGAATATAAATCATTCTACCATAAAGACACATGCACGTGAATGCTCACTGCAGCACTATTCACAAAAGCAAAGACATGGAATCAACTTAAATGCCCAGCAATGACAGACTGAATATAGAGAATGTGGTACATCTATACCATGGAATACTATACAGCCATAAAAAGAATAAGACCCATGACCTCTGCAGGAACATGGATGGAGCTGGAGGCCATTATCTTTAGCAAACTAACCCAGGAAGAGAAAAACAAATACTGCATGTTCTCACTTACAAGTGGGATCTAAATAATGAGAACACATGGACACACAGAGGGGAAGAACACACTCTGGGGTCTATCGGAGGGTGGCATATGGGAGCGGGGAGGGGACCATGAAATATAACTATTGAGTAGCGGGCTTAATTAAACCTGGGTGATGAAATAACCTATACAATACATCTCTGTGACATGAGTTAACCTAAGTAAGAAGCCTTCACATGTACCGCGGAACCAAAAATAAAAGTTAAAAAAGAAAAAAAAAAGAAACACGCCCAAGGTCACACAGAAAATGGGGACTGGAACGTGAACCCAGGGAGTCTGGCCTGAAAATCCACAGCCTTCAGCACACACAGTGCTGGGTCTTCCGGGAGCTGAGGGAAGACGATTTCTGCCATCACTCTGGGAGCGCCAACAGGAAACTAGGCAAGTCGGACACTAAGCCACCTCTCTCCATGTTTTCTTTGTATTTAATTTATTTTCTGTAGCTTGGCCATCTTTGCATTTCCAGCCCTGCCATCAGTGATGTTCTGGGCTTGGTAAGGCGGAGGAAGGCCCGGGCAGAAAGCAGCCCCGGAGTCGGGCACTGTGGCGTGCAGGTGGCACACGGGTGTGGAGCATGTGTTCCAGCAAGCACAAGGAGAGGCTGCTCAAACCCACGTGTGACCTTCGGCTGGCAGATGCATCTGACTTACCCAGCCAAGGAACCAACCCTCACACTCCCTGACCCCAAACCCCCAAAAGCACCATCCACAGGGAAGGGCCCCACAGACAGGGGTAGCTGAGCCCTGCACCAGGCACAGAGGGTGTGTGGGGTCCCGGGGGTCAGGGCTGTGCAGGGTGAATATAGAAAGCTGTATGTGAGAGAGAGGGTCTGTAAAAACAGTGCCACTGCAGGGCTGCGGGACACTCAATGTCTCTCAAAAAAAAAAAAAAAAAAGGCTATAAATCTTCCCTGAAAATGGAAAGCAGTTACTTGCAGATGTTTGGGTTTCTCATTGTTTTCCCCTAATTTCAGGGACAGTATGGCACTGCTGGATCTCTCACATGCCAGATGCAGACACACTGAAGACCCATGCACACTTCACAGGCACGTGCACACCTCACCCACCCTATGCACACCTCACAGACCCAGCACACTTCACAGGCACGTGCACACATCACAGACCGAGCACATGTCACAGACCCATGCACACCCCACAGACCCAGCACGTGTCACAGACCCATGCACACCTCTCAGACCCATGCACACCTCACAGATCCAGCATACTCCATAAGCACATGCACACATCACAGACCCAGACCCAGCACATGTCACAGACCCGTGCACACCTCACAGACCCAGCACATGTCACAGACCCGTGCACACCTCACAGATCCAGCACATGTCACAGACCCGTGCACACCTCACAGATCCAGCACACGTCACAGACCCATGCACACCTCACAGATCCAGCACATGTCACAGACCCATGCACACCTCACAGACCCGTGCACACCTCACAGATACAGTACACATCACAGGCACGTGCACACCTCACAGACCCATGCACACCTCACAGACCCGTGCACACCTCACAGACCTGTGCACACATCACAGACCCAGCACACTTCATAGGCACGTGCACACCTCACAGACCCAGCACATGTCACAGACCCATGCACACCTCACAGACCCGTACACACCTCACAGACCCAGCACGTCACAGACCTATGCACACCTCACAGATCCAGCACACTTCATAGGCACGTGCACACCTCACAGACCCATGCACACCTCACAGACCCGTGCACACCTCACAGACCTGTGCACACATCACAGACCCAGCACACTTCATAGGCACGTGCACACCTCACAGACCCGTGCACACCTCACAGACCCAGCACATGTCACAGACCCATGCACACCTCACAGACCCGTACACACCTCACAGACCCAGCACGTCACAGACCTATGCACACCTCACAGATCCAGCACACTTCATAGGCACGTGCACACCTCACAGACCCATGCACACCTCACAGACCCGTGCACACCTCACAGACCTGTGCACACATCACAGACCCAGCACACTTCATAGGCACGTGCACACCTCACAGACCCGTGCACACCTCACAGACCCAGCACATGTCACAGACCCATGCACACCTCACAGACCCGTACACACCTCACAGACCCAGCACGTCACAGACCTATGCACACCTCACAGATCCAGCACACTTCATAGGCACGTGCACACCTCACAGACCCATGCACACCTCACAGACCCGTGCACACCTCACAGATCCAGCACACTTCATAGGCACGTGCACACCTCACAGACCCATGCACACCTCACAGACCCGTGCACACCTCACAGATCCAGCACACTTCATAGGCACGTGCACACCTCACAGACCCATGCACACCTCACAGACCCGTGCACACCTCACAGATCCAGCACACTTCATAGGCACGTGCACACCTCACAGACCCATGCACACCTCACAGACCCGTGCACACCTCACAGATCCAGCACACCTCATAGGCACGTGCACACCTCACAGACCCGTGCACACCTCACAGACCCGTGCACACCTCACAGACCCAGCACACTTCATAGGCACATGCACACCTCATAGACACATTCACACCTCACAGACCCAGCACACTTCATAGGCATGTGCACACCTCACAGACCCGTACACACCTCACAGACCCAGCACGTCACAGACCTATGCACACCTCACAGATCCAGCACACTTCATAGGCACGTGCACACCTCACAGACCCATGCACATCTCACAGACCCGTGCACACCTCACAGACCCAGCACACTTCATAGGCACATGCACACCTCATAGACACATTCACACCTCACAGACCCAGCACACTTCATAGGCACGTGCACACCTCACAGACCCAGCACACTTCATAGGCACGTGCACACATTATAGGCACGTGCACACCTCACAGACCCATGCACACCTCACAGACCCGTGCACACCTCACAGACCCAGCACACTTCATAGGCACGTGCACACATCATAGGCACGTGCACACCTCACAGACCCATGCACATCTCACAGACCCGTGCACACCTCACAGACCCAGCACACTTCATAGGCACATGCACACCTCATAGACACATTCACACCTCACAGACCCAGCACACGTCACAGGCACGTGCACACTTCACAGACCCAGCGCACATCACAGGCACGTGCACTCACTCACATCTCACAGCATCATCTTACATGACGGCTTCAATCACAGGCCGCCCTGCAACGTCAAACAAGCATGAAGGCTGCTCCCAGGGTTTCGTTTGTTCTATTAATGCTGAAAGTGGTTAACTTTCAGAAATTGACTGCACTGTCTTCTTTTCATTTCCCCATAGATTGGGGAAACATTCAGCACATACTGAGTTTGGAAACCATTCTCCAGAAAGCCTCCAAATGCATCTGGACAGGAAGGACAGTGACAGCCAATTCATTTCCCATCAACCTTCCTATCCTTTCTTCTTACCTAAGATCTCCACTTCTGCGCAGCGTCCAGTCCATCCTTTCACATGGTTGGAAAAACAAGCTGAAATTAGGACCATTTTTTCAAAAAAGCAACAATAAAAAGAAAACACGCAAGTTGGTTTTCTGCCCCTCTGGAAACTCAGGCTCAACTACGACTATTCTCTATTTGCTTCAGGCGCTTCAGGAAGGAAAGCTGAGTCCACAACCCAGGGTTACGTTCTGTGCACATCCTGGTCTGTCTGCCATCTCGTGAGCTCCCTCTCGTGCTCCCCGAGCTATAGACATTTGTCAGCTTAGGGTGGTTCGGTGTCAGGAAGGCTCCTGCCAAATGCAACATGGGTGTGGAAACACAGCATAGGATGGGCCGTAACTCACAGAGGGGGATGGAGAACAGAGTCCCTGGCATAATAAATGTGACGAATGGCAAATACTATGTGTGCTTTACAAAAACAGCTCTGCTGGGACAGAGCAGGGAAGAGCAGGGGAAATAAAGCCTCAGGAAGCCCTTCCAGGCACACGTCACACAGAAAGCCCATTCTCCTAGGATTCTCGATAGTCAGCTGCCTCCGTGTTTCCACCCTGGAATTCCGCTGGAAAATAACAGCACACGAGCTTCCCACGCGAGGGGCCCTGGCTCTCCCTGTGAAGAGCTGTGGCTTTTTCTCAGGCCAAATGAGACCCACACAGGACAAGGATCTACCTGGTGCACAGACGCTTCCTTTGGACGCCTCTGGAAGCCTTCGCTGACCTCTGTGTGAGTGGATCTGAGGCCTAGGCAGGCCCGGGTGCGGGGGCTCAGCAACAGCAAGGGGTCTGTGCCAGCCCAGCCTCCCAGCCCTGGAGTGGTGATGAGTATCTAGAAAGCACTCAGTCACCCTCACCTCCAGCCTCTCTGTGAGCTATTGTCTCCATTTTACAGATGAGAAAACCAAGTCTTGGAGCAAAGTCACAGAACCAGTGCACTGCAAAGCCTCTGCTCTCTCCACTTTGTGGTGCTTTAAGTACCCCCACTGATTTTTATTTTGATGCGTGTGTGATACCGCCCGCAGGTGAGCAACTCACACAAAAGTCACATTTTGTTAGAATGGGAAATGCATTGTCAGTACACTCACTGCTGCCTGCTAGATGCTGTATACAGGTGCGGTTTAATAGACTCTCTCACTCTGCTTATCTGGCAAGACTCTTCCCAGAAGAAAATACGTCTGAGATGTTGAAGCAATCCTGCTCCTAGAACCCTTAGAGTCTTATCCTCTACAGAGTCCAAATGGTTCTATTCTCATTTGATAATTTGCTTTTGAACACAGTTCATCACAGGTGTCACTCACAAGTAAGTGACAAGCACCTCACCCTCCTAGAATGGCTCCCTTCAATAGAAAACCCTCCTAGAATGGCTCCCTTCAATAGAAAACCCTCCTAGAATGGCTCTCTTCAATAGAAAACCCTCCTAGAATGGCCTCCTTCAGTAGAAAACCCTCCTAGAATGGCTCCCTTCAATAGAAAACCATCCTAGAATGGCTCCCTTCAATAGAAAACCCTCCTAGAATGGCTTCCTTCAGCAGAAAACCCTCCTAGAATGGCCCCCTTCAGTAGAAAACCCTCCTAGAATGGCTCCCTTCAATAGAAAACCCTCCTAGAATGGCCTCCTTCAGTAGAAAACCGTCCTAGAATGGCTCCCTTCAATAGAAAACCCTCCTTGAATGGCCTCCTTCAGTAGAAAACCGTCCTAGAGTGGCTCCCTTCAATAGAAAACCCTCCTAGAATGGCTCCCCTCAATAGAAAACCCTCCTAGAATGGCTCCCCTCAATAGAAAACCCTACTGGAATGGCTCCCCCTCAATAGAAAACCCTTCTAGAATGGCCTCCTTCAGTAGAAAACCCTCCTAGAATGCCCTCCTTCAATAGAAAACCCTCCTAGAATGGTTCCCTTCAATACAAAATCCTCCTAGAATGGCTCCCTTCAGTAGAAAACCTCCTAGAATGGCCTCCTTCAATAGAAAACCCTCCTAGAATGGCTCCCCTCAATAGAAAACCCTCCTGGAATGGCTCCCTTCAATACAAAACCCTCCTAGAATGGCTCCCCTCAATAGAAAACCCTCCTGGAATGGCTCCCTTCAATACAAAATCCTCCTAGAATGGCTCCCTTCAGTAGAAAACCTCCTAGAATGGCCTCCTTCAATAGAAAACCCTCCTAGAATGGTTCCCTTCAATAGAAAACACTCCTAGAATGGCCTCCTTCAATAGAAAACCCTCCTAGAATGGCCCCCCTTCAATAGAAAACCCTCCTAGAATGGTCCCCCTCAGTAGAAAACCCTCCTAGAATGGCCCCCTTCAGTAGAAAACCCTCCTAGAATGGCTCCTCTCAGTAGAAAACCCTCCTAGAATGACCCCCTTCAGTAGAAAACCCTCCTAGAATGGCCCCCTTAAGTAGAAAACCCTCTTAGAACGGCCCCCTTCAGTAGAAAACCATCCTAGAATGGCCCCCTTCAGTAGAAAACCCTCCTAGAATGGCTCCCTTCAGTAAAAAAAAAAAAAACCCTAGAATGGCTCCCTTCAATAGAAAACCCTCCTAGAATGGCTCCCTTCAGTAGATAGTGCACCGGCAGGAAGCTCCTACCTTGTCACTCAGGCACAGACCCCCGCTCAGCATGGCTACCCCCTCCCTGCATCTCCCACCATCAGAGAAACACGGACCAGAACCATGTTAGGGTGACTGTTCTCATCAAAGGACAAAAGTCACAGGTGCTGGTGAGAATGCGGGGAACCTGTTCCCAGCACTATCTCCTCCTTCAGGCAGAACAAGGTTAATCCCCACAACATGAGACCCCTACAGTTCCACAGCCCTAACTAATCACAACTGTGGTAGAGTCTTCACTTTCAGAATACTTTTCATTTTCAGGCACCACGGTTGTAATTTTTAAGAACTTTTTCTCTGTAGAATGGATCACATATGAAAAGGTGGCGTTAAGAAGGTAAATCAATGACACATCATCACTCCGAAATCTCAGGATAAAGTATGAGCCTGTACACTGGGATTCGGGGCACCCGTGGGCCTCCTTCAACACATCCTCATGTCATGAGACCGCACCTTTCCGGCTTCCTGCCTGGTTCTCCCAGGTGGACCATCAGGTGTGGCACCTGCACGGCTGGCCGCTGCCGACCACTGCTCCTCCTCTGCTCCAGGGCGTCTGGCGAGTCGAGGTAGGCGAGCACGAGATGGCAGAGATTTTCTCCTCTGCTAAGAAGGAAGCTGCCGGTGCTCTTCAGAGGCCCTGCAGATGGAGGAAGCACACTCCACTTCCTGCTCTCTGGTGAGGGATGCAACCTAATTAAGGGTAATTAACCCAACAGCAGGTGCGAGTGGTCCCGGGGCTGCCTCGCTGACAGGCCTCGGGCACAGGAGCAAACTGGGGAAGGAGGTGGCAGCCCTGGGCCCCGGGACCCCAACCCCTCAGTGCAGCCCACCAGCCCAGGGAGCGACAGCTTCTTCCTCTGCCAAGCGGGGTTGCAGGCGGCGATTTCCTGGAGCAGCCCAAGGATTAAATGAGACAGAGTCAGCAAACGCCTCGGCCAGGCTAGAAACCATTCGGGCCTCTGTTATTGATCGTGTTCAGGATCAATTAAGTCAAGAGTTCAAGTCCCTCTGAAGATGCTCGTGGTTTTACACGCCCACCCCTAAGGCATCTGCTCTGGCCCACACGTGCCGTGACTTCTTGTCACCAAAGGGATTTCCGTAACATGACTGTGCTGGTCCTGTGGCTGGAACCCTCTCCCAGGCTCTCTTTACATGGCTGGCATCAACCCTCCCTCCACTATTTGGTGATGTAACATGGCTGTGCTGATCCTGCGGCTGGAACCCACTCCTGAGCTCTTTTTACTGGGCTGGCGTCAACCCTCCCTCCACTATCCAGTGCACGCCCCTCTCCAGCCACCTTGTCTGAGGCTCCACCGTGGCCGGGGCTGGATGCTGTTCTTGCTCCTGAATCATCCATCACCAGCAACCCCTCACCCTAACACGTGGTACCCCCATGGCTCCCTCTGCCTTGGCATGAAGGAAACGTGCACACATCTCGCTGTGGTGATTCATGCGTGAAGACGAGCCGGCCGAGCAATCCTGTGTCCCACAAGCAAGCGCTTTGTGTTCTTGTGATGCCACCTGATGCAGGGGCCCAGAAAGGGTTTGTTGTTAGAAGATTCCCACAGCCAGGTCCATCACTGGCATCCTCACCAAAGGCCAACTCAACAGTGGCAGATGCAGCCCCAACATGGGTGCGGGGACCCCTCGAACTGATTTCCAATAAACAACCACTTGCACACTCCTGAATACAGCAGACACCTGCCAGTCATCACCGTCAACCAAGGCCCCGCCAGTCATCACCGTCAACCAAGGCCCCGCCAGTCATCACCGTCAACCAAGGCCCCGCCAGTCATCACCGTCAACCAAGGCCCCGCCAGTCATCACCGTCAACCAAGGCCCCGCCAGTCATCACCGTCAACCAAGGCCCCGCCAGTCATCACCGTCAACCAAGGCCCCGCCAGTCATCACCGTCAACCAAGGCCCCGCCAGTCATCACCGTCAACCAAGGCCCCGCCAGTCATCACCGTCAACCAAGGCCCCGCCAGTCATCACCGTCAACCAAGGCCCCGCCAGTCATCACCGTCAACCAAGGCCCCGCCAGTCATCAACGTTAACCAAGGCCCCGCCAGTCATCACCGTTAACCAAAGCCCTGCCAGTCATCACCGTTAAACAAGGCCCTGCCAGTCGTCACCGTTAACCAAGTCCCCGTCAGTCATCACCGTTAACCAAGGCCCTGCCAGTCATCACCGTTAACCAAGGCCATACGACTCTGAGAAGCCCTGAAAGTTTCAGCATGGTGGGTCCACATGAATCCAACAGAGCCTGGAAGTCTCCAAACACCCCCAGACGACGCCCAGGGCAGCCAGCATGTGATACACACACAGGGCAGATAGGCCACCGGGACTCACGGCCACCTCCGTTCCCTTCTTACCTCCACCAGAGTCAGACTCCAGAGACTCAGAAAGACCCCGGAAAACCTCAGAGACCCCCAGAAAGTTACGAAGACCCCGGAAAACCACAGAGACTCCAGAGACTCATAGGGAACCACAGAGACTCCAGAGACTCATAGGGAACCACAGACTCACGAAGACCCCAGAATCTCATGAAGACCCCGGAAAACCACAGAGACCCCAGAGACTCATAGGGACCCAGAGACTCACAAAGACCCCTGAAACTCATGAAGACCCCAGAAAACCAGAGACCCCAGAGACTCACAAAGACCCCGGAGACTCACAAGGCCCCACGCACATTTTCTGCCCCGTCACCTCCCCCAGGGCTGTGTTTTCTTCCCCTTTTTCTCCTCCCCACATCACCACCTCTCAACTGTGAGGACACCAGGCTCCTGAGTGCAGACGCAAAGGTGCCTAAATCCCCCCACGCACGAGGCCACAGTTTCACAGGCTCCCTTGCCACAGAGGCGAGTGCCCACATGACAGGCCCAGTGGGGAGATAACATTTCCTGAAATATTATCAGAATTGCATGGACTTGTGCAGAGCCTTCAGGAGACCATGTCTACACATTAATGGTATAAATATATAATATCAAAAGAAAACATTTACTCTCTCTCAAATCCCACGAATAGCGTGCGTTTCTCATTTAAGAGACTTAGTCTCTCTCCGCCATGGATTTTTGGACGGCATGCCAATCACTGAGTGACTCGAGACAGCTGTGTCTGTAATGTTTTATGTATCTATAAATTATATATAAATATATAATAGATATATAATATATAATTATATATGTAATTTATATATATTATTATGTAATTATATATTACATGTAATTTTTATATTATATATTATATATGTATGTAAATATATATTAATATTAATCAGTAAAAGCTTGAATCTATATTCATTATATATATTCAATATGTAATTCAATATTATATATAATTATAAATTAGTAAAAGCTTGAATATATATTAAGCTTTTACTAATTTATATTGAATAAAATGTGTGTCATATCACATATGTTGTTTTATAATATGAGTTCTTCTCTTTATCTGAACATTTCCTGAATTGAATGTTCCCCTATAATACAATATGCTGGCTGCTTTTTTAAGTTCATAAATCTTTTTTCCTTTTTTGTGCTAAAATAAACATAATATAAAATCCACCATCTTGACTGTCTTAGGTGTTTGCCTCAGTGGTGACAAGGACCTTCCCATCATCGTGTCGTGTTCGGCTCAGGGGTGACGAGGACCTTCCCATCGTCGTGTTGTGTTCGGCTCAGGGGTGACGAGGAGCTTCCCATCGTCGTGTCGTGTTCGGCTCAGGGGTGACGAGGACCTTCCCATCGTCGTGTCGTGTTCGGCTCAGGGGTGACGAGGAGCTTCCCATCGTCGTGTCGTGTTCGGCTCCGGGGTGACGAGGACCTTCCCATCGTCGTGTCGTGTTCGGCTCAGGGGTGACGAGGACCTTCCCATCGTCGTGTCATGTTTGGCTCAGGGGTGATGAGGACCTTCCCATTGTCGTGTCACCATCTCCGGAACTCTTCCATCTTCCCAGACTGAGCGTCTGCCGCCATGAAATGCCCCCTCCACCCCCAGCCCCGGCACCCCCGTCTGCCTTCTGTCTCTGTGAATCTGCAGACTCTGGGTGCCTCCTGTGAGTCGCTCACATTGTGGGTGTCCCTCTGTGGCCGGCCTGTTCACTGTGCTTAATGTCCTCAAGGTTCATCCACTTTGTAGCCTGTGGCGGAATTCTAATAAACAGCATGCTCACTTACTGATTCTGCAAGCAGAGCATACACTGGCCAACAAATGGCCCCCCTGCTCCTCGGCCTTGGCCCCCCACCCTGTGTTGGTGAGTGAGCCTTTGTTGGATTTTAAGGAATTGTTTTCCCAGTTCCATTCGGCAGTTCTTCCAGATCCCCCAGGCTGCACACTCAGAGACAGATTTTATGTCACTTAACATTTGCGTCTGCCATGCCCATCAGTGCAGATTCAAATTGCTAACATCAGAGTGAAGATGCCGTTCAGGCCCTTCTAGCCCCTGAGGAGTAGACGTGGGCTTGTGAACGCCAGGAACCCCAGAAGAAACCCCACGTGGGACCAGCATAGGAATCTCACCACATCCTCCCAATCACTGCAGGTGATGCGGGTAAAAGAAATGTAACTGGTATTGCTTATCTTTAAAGAAAGTTTCACTGGAACAGCTATAAAGCACTTGAAATGCTATGGTTAAAATGAGTGGCTTTAAGAAATTGATTTTTAAATGCTATCATCTGTATGAAATTGAATCCATTTTCAAGGTTAGTCTATTTCTACAGAACACACGGTTTCTCAGCAGCCCCTCCTTCTTACAAAACTCTGTCCTGCGTGGCAGATCATGCGTGGAAAGAGAATGAAGTCAAAAGGAGCTGAAATGCAACAGGCGCGCCAAGTTCACACACTCATCAGTCATGACGTCTGACAATTATCCTCTGAAATACAACTTCTAAGTGTGTGACCTACCTTCATTTTCTTATAGAGTAATTCCCCTGTATCAGAGAAGACACATTCTGAGACCACCGGGGGTGCCTGAAACTGTGGGTAGGCACGTGCACGCACACACACACACACACCACAAACTCTAATACATGTTTTTCCCTACACACATTGTACACTGTGGACATGCTGGACAAAGGTTTTCCCTACACAAGCTGTACACTGTGGATATGCTGGACAAAGGTTTTCCCTACACACATTATACACTGTGGACATGCTGGACAAAGGTTTTCCCTACACACGCTGTACACTGTGGACATGCTGGACAAAGGTTTTCCCTACACACGCTGTACACTGTGGACATGCTGGACAAAGGTTTTCCCTACACACGCTGTCCACTGTGGACATGCTGGACAAAGGTTTTCCCTACACACGCTGTACACTGTGGACATGCTGGACAAAGGTTTTCCCTACACACGCTGTCCACTGTGGACATGCTGGACAAAGCTTTTCCCTACACACACTGTACATGCTGGACAAAGGGATGATTCATGTCCCAGGCAGGGCAGAGCAGGATGGCACAAGATTCATTACACTACTAAGAACAGTGTGCAATTCAAAACTTATGACTTGTTCATTTCTAGAATTTTCCATTTAATATTTTCAGATCTCAGTTGACTTCGGGTAACTGAAATCTCGGGAAGCAAAACCCTGGAGAAGGGGGCCTACTGTAAGAGCTTTGCGGCATAATAGAAGGGACGTGTTTCCATTGAAATGAGGATTTTGAATGCATGTCTATGGATATTCAGAAGGAATTATCACATTTAAGTGAATTATCTTCAGAATCCCAAGGATTGGGTAAATATAAAAGACCTGTGGTATTTCTAAATACTGTACACACTAATTACCAATGTCTAAATGTCAGGCTACTTTTAGTAAGTAAACCAATTGATTTCAAACAAGCTACCCACTTAATTAATGTAGAAATCTCAGGGCAGAAGACGTTCTCCACCTCTGAAGCTTCAAAGCTTCACATAGAAACACATCCGAACACTTTTCCTAATCCTCCTGGTAGCCTCTGAAAGGGACGAAGTCCCTCCTCTAATGAAGAGACACCACTGCGAGGATGTGGTAGCACAGACCAGAAACTCCCTGAGGGCTGAGGTCGGCACCGAGTTTACTTAGCAACGTAGCCCCAGTACGGCCCTGGCGCATCCCAGACACTCGGTAATTTGTTGAATGAAACTTGCGAGCAAAGATAAATGGCTGCAGGAATGATCAAAGGCTCCTATGCACACCGGAGACACACGTCTCTACGCAACACACAGGACGCTGCTTGTTTTCTTTTCATTGTTGTGAATGTGAAGAAACTGATGACAGAAATATTAACTCTCAGAAGCCCTCTGCGGGAATTCATCGCAGTTACTACGCATTCGGAGAGGATCTGAGAGCACAGCCAGGTAAAACCACCAGGCACGTGGGCACTTTGGAAAGCAGGAAGCCAGGAACACCGGCGAGGCTGAGAACTGGGGTTATTTTAGTAAATAGTTTTTGCCTTCAAAGAATCTCTTTGAAATGCTGTAAGAACAGTATTTTCTAAAATACACACTAGCCCCAGAGGAGTGAGCCATGAAATGTACCCTTTTCCAAACGAACAGACTGTTGGAATGCACACCTATCCCACCTCCCAGGCACCATTTAGCAACACATTTGGTAAAAAGCAATAGCAAAGTCGTTCTGTGATTTGTGTGATGTTCAAAGCAAGTGAGGACGAAGGGCCCTACCGGGACCCTGGTGTGCGTCGCAGCGTCCGTGCGCGGCCGGGAGCCTGGAGTGGGTGGCGGCGTCCGTGGGCGGCCGGGAGCCTGGCGTGGGTGGCGGCGCCCGTGGGCGGCCGGGAGCCTGGCGTGGGTGGCGGCGCCCGTGGGCGGCCGGGAGCCTGGCGTGGGTGGCGGCGCCCGTGGGCGGCCGGGAGCCTGGCGTGGGTGGCGGCGTCCGTGGGCGGCCGGGAGCCTGGCGTGGGTGGCGGCGCCCGTGGGCGGCCGGGAGCCTGGTGTGGGTCGCGGCGTCTGTGGGTGGCCATCGCAGGGTGGGGCCAGCCCGCTGTGCCTGTCCTCCCTGAAGCCCAACAAACACTGGCTGCATTCCCAGCTGCTCCGTGCCTTGGAAAACATTCTCAGATTTACCCACCAAGTTGTAAAAAAGCAAACCTGCCCGGGAGGCCCTCGTGAGGAGGAGCCAGTCACACGTCGGGTGTCCCTGAATGTTCCAGAAGCGCGTTCCAGGGTTGAAGGTGAACATTCATTGAAGGTGAACAAACATTGTTTGGGCACCTCATTTGCCATTTTGCATCCAAAACGATTCACTTCCAAGTTAGTTTCCAAATTGTAAACATATTTTTGGAAACAAACTGGTGTGCGGAGGAGTTTCTGTGACGCATACGCAGAGGACGCCGGGACTCAGTCCAGCTCCAAGGCCGGGATGCCCGGCTGTGCTCTTGGGGAGGGACGTGTGTCCAGTGGCGCCGCCAACGTTTGCTGAGAGCAGAATTGCGTTGCAAGGAAATATAACTCACGGCAGTTTTCTCTTCAGATCAAAACCAGTCAACGTAGTAAGAGAAGAGGCAGAAATGTCGAAGGCCATGCGGCTGGGGTTCATACAAACCTCTAAGCAGACTCAGTCAAAGGCAGAATCAACATGGTGCAAAAGCCTGCCCTAGGCTCCCAGCTCGACTCTCCTGAGCGCAGGGAGGTGGGTCTCACACTGGAGGGGACCTCTCCATGCCACAGACGGTGAAGGCCTGCCCCGGGCTGCCAGCTCGACTCTCCTGAGCAGAGGGAGGTGGGTCTCACGCTGGAGGGGTCCTCTCCATGCCACAAAGGGTGAAGGCCTGCCCTAGGCTCCCAGCTCGACTCTCCTGAGCAGAGGGAGCTGGGTCTCACACTGGAGGAGACCTCTCCATGCCACAGAGGGTGAAGGCCTGCCCCGGGCTCCCAGCTCGACTCTCCTGAGCAGAGGGAGCTGGGTCTCACACTGGAGGGGACCTCTCCATGCCACAGAGGGTGAAGGCCTGCCCCGGGCTCCCAGCTCCACTCTACTGAGCAGAGGGAGGTGGGTCTCACGCTGGAGGGGACCTCTCCATGCCACAGAGGGTGAAGGCCTGCCCTAGGCTCCCAGCTTGACTCTCCTGAGCACAGGGAGGTGGGTCTCACGCTGGAGGGGTCCTCTCCATGCCACAGAGGGTGAAGGCCTGCCCCGGGCTCCCAGCTCCACTCTACTGAGCACAGGGACGTGGGTCTCACGCTGGAGGGGTCCCCTCCATGCCACAGAGGGTGAAGGCCTGCCCCGGGCTCCCAGCTGGACTCTCCTGAGCAGAGGGAGCTGGGTCTCACGCTGGAGGGGACCTCTCCATGCCACAGAGGGTGAAGGCCTGCCCTAGGCTCCCAGCTCGACTCTCCTGAGCAGAGGGAGCTGGGTCTCACGCTGGAGGGGACCTCTGCATGCCACAGAGGGTGAAGGCCTGCCCTGGGCTCCCAGCTTGACTCTCCTGAGCACAGGGAGGTGGGTCTCACACTGGAGGGGACCTCTCCATGCCACATAGGGTGAAGGCCTGCCCCGGGCTCCCAGCTTGACTCTCCTGAGCACAGGGAGGTGGGTCTCACGCTGGAGGGGTCCTCTCTATGCCACAGAGGGTGAAGGCCTGCCCCGGGCTCCCAGCTCCACTGTACTGAGCGCAGGGAGGTGGGTCTCACGCTGGAGGAGACCTCTCCATGCCACAGAGGGTGAAGGCCTGCCCCGGGCTCCCAGCTCCACTCTACTGAGCGCAGGGAGCTGGGTCTCACACTGGAGGGGACCTCTCCATGCCACAGAGGGTGAAGGCCTGCCCCGGGCTCCCAGCTCCACTGTACTGAGCGCAGGGAGCTGGGTCTCACGCTGGAGGGGACCTCTCTATGCCACAGAGGGTGAAGGCCTGCCCCGGGCTCCCAGCTCCACTCTACTGAGCGCAGGGAGGTGGGTCTCACGCTGGAGGGGTCCTCTCTATGCCACAGAGGGTGAAGGCCTGCCCTAGGCTCCCAGCTTGACTCTCCTGAGCACAGGGAGGTGGGCCTCACGCTGGAGGGGTCCTCTCCATGCCACAGAGCTTGATGAGTCCCTCGACTCTGGAGCACAGGGAGGTAGTTCTCACGCTGGGGGGTTCCTCTCCATGCCACAGAGGTTGAGTGCTGCTGCTTCTCCTTTTGTGCTAACACACTGGTCCCTAAAGCTCTTGATGATGAACATGCCCCGGAATGCATTTAAATGCTGGTGCCCTGAGCCCACACACAAACCTCCTGCATCCAAGTTTCCTTGGGAGAGGTCTGAGCAAAGGCTTGGCAAGGCTTGATTTTATAAGTGGCCCAGGTGCTTCTTAGAGCTTGGGAAATAATCAACAGTCCTGGTTTGGCAGCAACCATGGAAAGTCAGCCATGGTGAACAGCATGAAAACAGGTCCAATTAACCCCAAACACACCTAGAACACGTTTACACACTTGTGTGATGTAAATGGAAAAATAATTTAGGGCAACGTCATCTCTGAACAAACAAACGTTTTGAACAATGTTTACACTGAATATTTTCTTCATTTAGCATGTAGATCTTGATTCCTTAAAAAAATCATTAATTTTGTTTTTAAAATATTCAGTTCTCTAAAATTGTTAGATAGTTTTGGTGTCAAATTCACCCAGAGCCTGTTCTCTAGGGAAGAGCATGCATTCACTCCGCAAACATTTCTTAGACATCTCAAGCTTGGCCCACACTGAAAAATAAATAAGCTCTTCCTAATGCATGCAATTGCTTTATTACCTATTTACTTTGCATTCTAGAATTAGAAGGTTTTTATGTTACAAAAAGAAAAAGACATTTAAGAGTAGAGCCTCAGTAGAGCTTTCTTCTCCAGCACGGGACTGTTTTGGCCTGGGACCTGATAAAGCCGACAATAACACAGTAATTACAGCCAGTCCTCACTGTGTGTCCTGGCTGTGCGCCCAGCACTCGGAAAATGGTTTACTTTGAAGACCCCCAAGCCTCACAACAGTGTTGACGGTGGACACTGCTAACCCATTACTAAAATCAAAGCAAGGGGGCTCAGAAAGGTCACCAGGAAGTAGACTCTGAATCACTTCACCCAAAAACCCCTGTGCTCACCGCCAGGAAGTCAAGTGTAACCGGAAGCAGCCCTGATGGAGGATCCCAACAAGAACCCCGGGCGAGGGTGAGCTTGGGGTCTGCTGCGGACAGGGGTGGGACCAGCCTCGTGTCCAGGGTCTGCAGAGGGCAGGTGGTGGGGAGAGAGCGGTTCTGCAGATTTGGGTGCTAAACCCATCTCTCTGTTCTTTCCCAAACGTGGCCCTAACGCAACTATGAGGGCCTCCATTCCTGTGCTTTTGTGTTCACCAATTTAAAAATGACAAGTAAAGGGTGACCACGGCATCTTCATCTCCCTCCTGAAGGAGCACCAGGCTGTCTCACTCCACCCTGGGAAGGTGGTCCATGCCAGCGCAGGCTGCTGCCCCAGGCTGTCTCACTCCACCCTGGGAAGGTGGTCCACGCCAGTGCAGGCTGTTGCACCAGGCTGTCTTGCTCCACCTTGGGAAGGTGGTCCACCTGGAGCAGGCTGCTGAGACCTGGAAGTGCCGCTCCTGAAGAGCAGAGCTGTCCTTCTGTTTCTCCCTGTGTCCACTTAAACTAAACCCTCAGGAAAACAACGACCAAAACCAAAGAAAAGGAAACACTCGCCCAAGGGGTCAGGACGTTTGCTTGGATAATCCCTGTATACTCTCAGTACATTCTAACATCCTAATATAAGCCTTCTGTGTTCAATGCCATGCCCACGCTAAGAGAAGAACCTGCGGCTGGGTCCAGAGAAAGAGGGGGAGGCACGGAGCTTGTCCAGCCACTCTTGTGCCCGCTGCACGGTCAATAAAGACACAAAACAGAGGGCATTTTGAGGGCTTCGGGTAAATCCCTAAAGAAGCCTCATATTGTGATGAGCCGAGGAATTCAAGCTGCAGCTCGTCGCTGTCGCCATAGAAACAAGACATGTTGGAAGGTGTGATGCACCATCAAAGGACTGAGAAATTTAAGCCTCAGCACAAAACAGAGAAAAGCACTTGAAGCCGGTTTTTTGTTTCTTTTTCTTCACCCAGAAAAACACAATTAATTATTCATTCTCTGTACTGACAGGAAGGCCTCAGTTTTACCGTAAATACTGGATTCTCCATCTCTGCACTTCACCGTGGACCCACCTTGTGACTTTCTAACTCCGTTAGTGGATTGGAAAGAAATCATTTTTTATAACATAATTAAAGTTAAAATGCCTTAAAATATTCAGCCTTCAGTTGCTGAAAGCTTTACTCGCGTTGGAAATGCTCAACCTCCCAGCTCTACCGTCCAAAGTCTCAGCCAGTCCCAGTTCCCTGCCTCTCCCAGGGCTCTGTTCCCAAATGGGCCCTGGCATCAAGAAGCACAAACTGCCCCCTGCCCACTCCACGGAGCTGCCCTCCATCCACCACAGAGCTGCCCTCCGCCCACCTCGCAGCTGCCCTCCCTCCACCGCGGAGCTGCCCTCCCTCCACCCACCGCGAAGCTGCCCTCCCTCCACCGGGGAGCTGCCCTCCATCCACGAGCGCCTGCATGGACTTCAATCCATCCACAAGCACCTGCACACAGAGAGGCATGGACTTCAGCCCCGCTTCCTCAGATGCAGACAGACCCCTCGGCTGGCACCCATCGTCACCTTTGAGACCCCAACTCTCATTCCAGACCTGAATATTCCTAGAGCCAGAAGCAGCAGGTGCCTGCCCATGATGGCTGATGTCGTGTATTCACCTGGTGGGCCATGGTGCCCAGAGAGTTGGTCAAACACCTGTCTGGCTGTCAGTGTGAAGGTGTTTCTGGCTGTTGGTGTGAAGTTGTTTCTGTCTGGCTGTTGGTGTGAAGGTGTTTCTGTCTGGCTATTAGTGTGAAAGTGTTTCTGTCTGGCTGTCGGTGTGAAGGTGTTTCTGTCTGTCAGTGTGAAGGTGTTTCTGTCTGGCTGTCGGTGTGAGGGTGTTTCTGTCTGGCTGTTGGTGTGAAGGTGTTTCGGTCTGGCTGTTGGTGTGAAGGTGTTTCTGGCTGTCGGTGTGAAGGTGTTTCTGTCTGGCTGTTGGTGTGAAAGTGTTTCTGTCTGACTGTCGGTGTGAAGGTGTTTCTGGCTGTCAGTGTGAAGGTGTTTCGGTCTGGCTGTTGGTGTGAAGGTGTTTCTGGCTGTTGGTGTGAAGGTGTTTCTGTCTGGCTGTTGGTGTGAAAGTATTTCCGTCTGACTGTCAGTGTGAAGGTGTTTCTGGCTGTGGGTGTGAAGGTGTTTCTGGCTGCGGGTGTGAAGGTGTTTCTGTCTGGCTGTTGGTGTGAAGGTGTTTTTTAGAAGGGATTAATGGTTAGATTGGTGGACTGTGGGTGAAGGAGATGGCCCTCATACCGTGGGCCTCACCCAGTCTGCTGGAGGCTGTGAGAGAAGAAGCGTGCGGTCCCCAAGGAGGAAGGAGCTCGGCCTCGGTTTTCAGCCTCAGCTGCCAGCCTCAGCTGCAGCACTGGCTCTTCCCAGGGCGCCTGCCCATGGCCTACTCTGGGGATTTCGGACCCGCAGCCCCCATATCCGGTGAAATGATTCCTTACAATCTCTCTCTTTATCCACAAACACCCCTATGGGGTCTGTTCACTGCCCCACACCACACAGTGTAAGTGGCTGATCTGGGCTGAACCCAGTTATGAGGCCCCGGTCCACACTCCTGGCCTTCCAGGAATCCGTCCCTGTGGCTGGATTCTGCCCTCCATGGGAGGGTCCCCCACACCATCTGTGTTGCTGGGAGAGCCACATCTGGGCTCCCAGGCCAAGTCGGGACCTCAGGTTCCTCTCTGGCTTCAGGATTCTGCAGAACCAACCCTGAAACCTCAGCACGAGACAGTGTGACTGTAATTACAAGATCCAATCAATGTCTGCAGCCTTGAAGGCTCTGTCCCTGGAGAGGCATGTGACTCCTCTGAAGTGGGTCCACCTGTGGATGCCACAGAGCCGGCCACAGCCCCCTCTTCCTGCCAGGAGACCCCAGACCCAGGGCCCTCATGCTCCCTGCATGCCTACCCCTGAAATCCTCTGCAGGAACCACGGGGCAAAGAGGAAGGGGAAAGTGCGAAGTCCAACCACAGGCAAGCCAGCCCCGGGATCGCTGACGGCAAAGGCTATAAGAGGCCTCAAGGTGCCAGGCGGACCCTACGCATCCACGTGGCCACCAAGCACACATATTGCACATCAGCAGAGGGCTGTGGAGGTGCCAGCCCGGCACAGTGGAAATGCCAGGCTCTGAGTTGGAAAATTGTGAAGACAGCAGGGACTTAAACTGATTCTGGGGACTGTGTGACTGCCCAGCGCTGACCTGTGAGGCCAGCTGCACCCAGGACTTGAGCCAGGCAGGCGAGGACAGAGCCTGTTCTGGGTATGAAGGGGCAGACACCGGCCGCTCCCATGAGAGTCCCCAAAACATGGAGAGGAGACACGCAGGAGAGGCTGCACGGCTGGAGTGCAGTTCAAACACGCTGCTCTCTGACGCTGTGTTTTGTTCCATTGTCACTACTGAACAATCAGAAAATAAAACGTGGGGCAGAAGTGGCAGACGACATGGAACTCCCAGAGGCTGGGCCGCTACACCCCAGCCTGGGATGTGGGGAGCTGTGCGTTAGAGAAGAGGAAAAGCAGAACGAGCGAAAGAGGGAAAAGGGGGAAGGCAGGTGTGGGGATGGCGAGGGCAGGAATTACAGGGGCTGCGGAGGGGTAGGAGTGGGGAGAGGGTCGGGGGCCATGGAGGAGACTCAGGGCCAGAGCTGCAGCTTCCACGGGAGACACGCAACGTCAACAACCCAGACGTCCACCCACAAGAACTGCTTCACCAACTCATGATCTCTCCATAGCATCCGGCATCATGATGCAGGTCTCCATTTAACACAGAGATAATGACAGCCGGAGGGACCTGCCGAATGATATGGCATCACTGCGGGCTCTTGGCTGAAAAGCACTACAGGTGTGTGCACACACATAGGTGGGCGCAGGAAGGCAACACAGCAAAATACCAGCCATCTGGATGGTGGAATGAAGACGATGTTCCATTTCTCTTTGTAACTTTATTAAGTAGATGTTTTTAATAGTTAGCGTCTTACTAGACTGAGAAAAGGAATCCACTGAGGCCGCGAAACACTGGCCTCCCCCATGTCCTTCGCCAACCCAATGCTCAGCAGACGCTTCTGAACATTTTTGTACAGTTTTTACAGACAAGGTGCCGGCAGATTTAATCCTCACAGGCCTCACCTTCGAGTATCCGCTCTGGAATTTCAGTGGCCCAGTGGGACTGACCGGGTGCTTCCAGTACTTCACGAAGTGACGTTTACATGACCAGGAAGAGATGCACAGGCTCCCAGAGAGAACCGGGGTGGGCTGTGTGCTTCTGGCTCTCCACTGCTCGAGATGGGTCTGGGCGCTGCAGGCTGCCCGGAGCCCTGTGCGCAGACGGGGCAAGACTGCCTTTCAGACCCAGAGTGAAGACTGACAAACACCACGTCCCTCAAGCTGAAGTTAACGTTCTGATGAGGTTAGAATTCCAAAGAATGGAAGATGTTCTTCCAAAGTAATCAGTTTAGCTAAGTACTCCAAGCCACTGGAATACTAAGTTTAAACTGAAATCATAGAAATTATAGAAAATGATTTTCATGTGAGTCTAAACAGACTTTTGGACAAAATCTCCATCAATAAGAGTCCTCGATGAAAAGAATTTTCCCTACATTCAGCTTTTGTACTAAATAATAATAACAACAACAACAACAACCTATGCAGGATAAAAACTTGGAAACAGAAAACAAACCCCAGGGTGCCCTGGAGTCAGCAGACGTCCACACAGCGTACTGCCTTCCACCTGCACAGCAGCCTCTGGAGGCCCCTCAGGGCTCAGTCAGCAAGAGGCAAGACCCCCAACCTCCCCACTCAGGGGGCTGCCACTCTCCCCACAGGACAAACCCCCTGTGGATTCTCAAACCTCCCACTCAGGCCCTGAATTTCTGGACTGCCTCAGGCATCTGTGCACATGCCTGTGCTGGTAGCTGGCACAGGCGAACCCTGTCGTGGTCAAAAGCTAAGGAGCCCAAGAGCCTGCCCTGCCTGGCCAGGAGGGCCCCAGAGTGCAGACATGGAGCAGGTCCTCGGGGTGTGAGTTTCCACCCCTGCCTGGCCAGGAGGGCCCCAGAGGGCAGACATGGAGCAGGTCCTCGGTGTGTGAGTTTCCACCCCTGCCTGGCCAGGAGGGCTCCAGAGGGCAGACAGGCAGCAGGTCCTCGGGGTGTGAGTTTCCACCCCTGTCTGGCCAGGAGGGCTCCAGAGCGCAGACAGGCAGCAGGTCCTCGGGGTATGAGTTTCCACCCCTGTCTGGCCAGGAGGGCTCCAGAGCGCAGACAGGCAGCAGGTCCTCGGGGTGTGAGTTTCCACCCCTGTCTGCCCAGGAGGGCTCCAGAGTGCAGACAGGCAGCAGGTCCTCGGGGTATGAGTTTCCACCCCTGCCTGGCCAGGAGGGCTCCAGAGTGCAAACAGGAAACAGGTCCTCAGGGTGTGAGTTTCCACAGCCCCCCAAGTCACTTCTTCCAGTAAAGTCACGGACTTCATCCCAAGCAGTGGATTTGCACAGCTCAGAGCTGCAGCTCTTTGGCAAGAAACTGTCACATGTGTCTCCAACCCCCGAGTGTCTCCCAAACAATCAGGTCTGATCACAATGTGGAATCCATACAAAAGCGAAAGAATGGATGGATATGTTGTAGGAATGTCCTTTAATGTCCTCCAGAGGAAAACACCCCTCCTTTTAAAAATATCCTTTAAACTGCCATGATAAATGATAAAATCATGAACACAGCATTTATAAGAACAGCATTCCTTGGCCTGAAAATCAATATGAACCTATCATTTTTCAGCACATTTGCAAAACAGCTACTTCCAACCCAACTCTGAGCAGTGGGCCTCAGTGCTCTCAGCCTGCATGGCAAGGAGGGAGGGTGCCAGTCTCTGCAGAGACAGAGATGTTGCTGAAGGCCTGGGGCAGCAGGAGAGACCCTGGGGGACAGACGGAGCTGACTCTGGGCCCATTCAGGCCCCTGATGCTGGAGGAAGGCGATGGAGTCTCACCAGCCCACGGTTATGAGTGAGGGCAGCATGCCTCAGGGGGACAAACGGCTGGCTGGTGTCAAAAGGGAAAGTAAGACATTTGTTTTCATATTGTGGTGCCACTCAGGCCGACATATACAGACCAATAGACCATGTCCGGAGAAAGCCTGTGCAGGCCTAAGAGATTTGTTACTTTCATTTTTACTTTTGCAGCAGCTACTATGGCCAGAGCAATTGCATAGCCTGCTGGATGAGGGGTGGAGAGAGTGAGGCCGGGGAGCGAGAATTGCATAGCCTGCTGGATGAGGGGTGGAGAGAGTGAGGCCGGGGAGCAAGAATTGCATAGCCTGCTGGACGAGGGGTGGAGAGAGTGAGGCCGGGGAGCAAGAATGGCATAGCCTGCTGGATGAGGGGTGGAGAGAGTGAGGCCGGGGAGCGAGAATGGCATAGCCTGCTGGATGAGGGGTGGAGAGAGTGAGGCCGGGGAGCGAGAATGGCATAGCCTGCTGGATGAGGGGTGGAGAGAGTGAGGCGGGGGGAGCGAGAACGGCATAGCCTGCTGGATGAGGGGTGGAGAGAGTGGGGTGGGGGGAGCGAGAATGGCATAGCCTGCTGGATGAGGGGTGGAGAGAGTGGGGTGGGGGGAGTGAGAATTGCATAGCCTGCTGGATGAGGGGTGGAGAGAGTAGGGTGGGGAGAGTGAGAATTGCATAGCCTGCTGGATGAGGGGTGGAGAGAATGAGACTGGGGAGTGAGAATTGCATAGCCTGCTGCATGAGGGGTGGAGAGAGTGGGGTGGTGGGAGCAAGTAACGTTCTTCTGCCTGTTTGCCTTTCGGAGACCCTGGAAGAAGCCACAGCTAAATTTCCTACAATCTCTGATGATGCACCACATGTCAGAGATTTGACAGCTTTATCCCATCTCAAGGGCATGAAAAACAGACAGAGAAAGACTAAAATTCAGCTGTTTTCTGAATTTCCGGCAGTGTTACTGGTCAACTGCCATAGAAGATGGAAATCAGCCAACAGCACGCAGATGAGGAGGAGAAAAGCTTTTCACCTTGCTTAGAAAGTCCTGTGTCACCCAGTCCCCACCAGGCCCTTGGTGCCCTGTCCCACACCTCCCCGCCACAGACAGACGGATATGGAACAACTCTTCATGGTAGCTCTAAAGTCCATTAATGAAACGCCACAGAGGTCCAAGGAGAAGCAATGAATATTGGCTACCAGGACTAGTGCAGAAATTGCAGGGCCCATTTAGGGGATGGGAAGTCGTCTGGAAGGTGGACCAGCAGCCGCCTTGGTGACGTGGAACAAGCAAAGCTCTCAAAGCAGACATCCCCTGTGGGGCCAAGCCCAGCTGGAGAAATCCATTTTGGCAGTGGTGTGAAGGCAGAGCCAGACGGGAAGGGACCCAGAGCTGTGACGCAGTGAAGTGCAGCTCTATCCAGGATGGATAAGGAGGCCACATAGCCCAGGAACTGGCACTGACATTGTGCCCTGAGGGCGGACTGTGCCAGGGTGGGGACCTGGTGACATGGATGTGGAGACAGGGAGGAGGCAGAAGGATCCAGAGCTTTGCACTGTGTGCTGATGGCAAGCCCATGAAGAGAAAGGACAGAGGGAGCAGGAGGGTCAGGAGACAGTAAAATGGATTCTGTTTTGACATGGGTTGTTAGTGATAACCAATCATCAAGGTGAGAATGTCCAGTAGATTTTGGAAGGAGGCTCTGACAATTTGGAGATGCATCAAGACTACCATTTAGCTCCAGGGAATCAAAGATGTTGATGTGACAATTGGAGAAATAAGATCAGATGAAACAGCCAAAGGAGACAGCCTAGAAGATGAAGATGGCACAGAGAGAACATGAAAAAAAAAAAAAGAGAGAGAGAGAAAGAGGAGTCACACATGTGGTTCACTGACAACTAAACAAAATGTCTGAGATTACAAATCATCCTGCCAAATACTGCAAGAGTCACACACAATTTGATGCTGCTCACAGCCTTGAGAAAGGAGCTGGAGTGAGGAACACAGCCAGGCATAGACAACACTCTGAACTGGAGAGGCAAAGAATGAAAAGACTTCAAGTGAGCTGGAGGACACAGCGGATGAAGGGAAAGAGTCTGGGCATACTAAAATCATGTTTATTGAGACAGAGAGGAAAGACTTCAGAATGTTATGATATTGCTAAACTTTCCTCTTAAAATTGCTTTTGCTGCATCTCATATGTTTCGGTACGCATGATGTTTCCATTTTTGTTTATCTCAAGATATTCATTAATTTCTCTTTTCTGCACATTGTTTAACTTTTTTATCTATTTATGAATTTTCTGAACTTCCTCATGTTAATTTCTAGTTTCATATCATTGTGGTCAGAAAAGATACTTGATATGATTTCAATCTTCTTAAATTTGCTAAGATTTGTCTTTTGGCCTAACAAATGATCTACCCTGAGGAATGTTCCACGTGTGCTTGAGAAGACTGTGTATCCTTTAGCTGTTTTTGGCAATGTTCTGTATTTATTAGGTCCATTTGGTCTAAATTGTTGTTCAAGTCCAATGTTTTCTTATTAATTTTCTGTCTGTATGATCTTTCCATTATTGAAAGTGGTATATTAAAGTGCCCTATGATTGCTGCATCATAGCCTATCTCTACCTTTAGATCCTTTTCACATTTACTTTATATATTTAGGTGCTCCATTGTTGGGCGCACATATATTTATCATTGTTACATATTCTTGATGAATTAACCCCTTTATCATTATATAATGTCCTTCTTCATTTCTTTTTACAGCTTTTGACTTTAAGTCTATTTTGTCTCATGTAACTACTCTTCCTCTCTTTTGACTTCCATTTGCATGGAATATCTTTTTCCATCACTCTCAGGCTGTGTGTCCTTCAAAATGAAGTGAACCTCTTGTGGGCAGCATATAGTTGGGTCTTATCTTTTTATACACATATTCACTCTATGTGTTTTGATTAGAAACAAATTAGATATAGAATGAATGTACCTCAATACAACAAAGGCCATATATGACAAACCCACAACAAACATCATACTCTCAATGTAGAAAAGTTGAAAGCTTTTTCTCTGACACCCAAAACAAGACAAAAATGCCCACTCTTACCACTTCTATTCGATATAGTACTAGAAGTCCTATGCTGGGCAATTGGACAGCAGAAAAAAATGAAAAACATACAAATTGGAAAGAAGTTAAATTGTTCCTGTTTGCAGATGACACCATATTATATATAGAAAACCCTACAAACTCCACCAAAAACTGTTAAAACCAATAAACAAATGTGGTAAAATGGCAGGATATAAAATCAACATGCCAAAGTCATTAGTGTTTCTCTACACTAACAATAAACTTTCTAAAAAAGAAATCAAGAGAACAATCCCATTAACAATGGCAACAAAAAATAAAAATAAAATACTTAGGCATAAATTTAACCAAGGAGGTAAAAGAACCATAACTAAAAACTAGAAAACTTTAATGAAAGACAACTGAAGATACAAATAAATAGAAGGATGTTCTGTGTTCATGGATTGAAATAATATTTTTAATTGTCCATCATACCCAAAGGGATGTGCAGATTCAGTACAAGCACTATTAAAACACCAATGTCATTCCTTGTAGATACAGAAAAAACAATTCTAAAACTCATATGGAACCACAAAAAACCTCAAATATATAAGAAAATCATGAGCAAAAGTAGCAAAGCTAGAGGAATCACATTGCCTGATTTCAATCTATACTACAAAGTGGCAGTAATTACAAAAGCATCACACAGGCATAAAAATATGCACATCAACGAATGGAACAGAACAGAGAGCCCAGAAACGAACCCACACATGCACAGCTTGATCTTCAATAAAGGCGCTGAGAATACACACGGGAAAAGCACAGTCTCTTTAATAATAATCAAAGATTTACACATCAGAACTGAAACTGCAAAACTACTAGAGGAAAACTTAGGGGGAAAAGACTACATAATATTGGTCTGGGTGATGCTGGTTGATTTAATTCCAAAAGCGCAGGTAACAAAAGCATAGACAGAGAAATAAGACTGTATCCAAATAGAAGGCTTCTGCCCAACAAAGAATCAATGAGGTAAAGAAATAGCCTACAGGTTAGGAGAAAATATTTGCAAGCCATACATCTGATAAGGGATTAATATCCAAAATATGTAAGAACTCAAACAACTCTATAGAAAGAAAAGAAATTATCCAATTAAGAAATGGGCAAGGTACCTGAACACACATTTCTCAAAAGAAGGCACTTGAATGGCCAACAGGCACATGTAGGAAAGCTCAGCATCACTAATCACAGGGAGATGCCAGTCAATATCAAATCACGTATCAGCTCACACTTGTTCGAATGGCTATTATCCAAAAGACAAAAGATACCAAGAGTTTTTGATGTGGAGAAATGGGAACCCTGTTCGCTGTTAGTGGGAATGTAAATTAGCACAGTCACTCTGGAGAACAGTACGAAGGTGTCTCAGGAATTAAAAAGAGAATGATCCAGCAGTCCCACTTCTGGGTGTTTACTCAGAAACAGATCTGAAATCAGCATGTGGAGATGCCTGCACTCCCATGGTCACTGAAGCTCCATTCACAATGTCCAAGACATGGAATCAACCTGTGTCCATCAAGGGAGCAACGAATAAAGGAAGTGTGGTGTACGCACACAATGGAACAATATTCAGCCTCAAAAGAAGGAAAGAATGTCTGTCATTTCTGAAAACATGCATGGAATGGGAGGATATCACGCTAACTGAAAGAAGCCAGGCACAGAAAGACAAATACTGAATGTTCTCACTTAAACGTGGAGCCTAAAACTACTGAAAGCACAGAAGCAGTGAGGAGAAGGGTGGTCACCCGAGGCTGGGGGATGTGGGGAGGGAGAAATGGTGCCCAGAGGGTACAAAGCCTCGGACAGGAGGGCAAGTCTGTCTCTAGATCAATAGCACGGCATGCTGAGTACAGCTAATTATTGAGTATTTTACATTTAAATATTGCCAAGAGTAAATTTCTAATGTTCTCATCACAAAAAATGTTAAATATGTGAGGTAATGGATATGTTAATTAGCTTAATTGTTCTATGCTGGATTCATAAATCATAGCACCAGTTTATGTCCCATAAAGTATGCAACTATAATTTATCAATATAACATGATAAATACATAATGAATACATTTTAAAAAACACAAGGACTGAGCACTGCTTCTTGGTAGTTTGACAGACTAGACCTTTTGAAGAATCTTAACTTCACTATAAAAGACTTACTGATATTAAACAAAATAAATTTAAATGCTTTAAAATATATAATTGAGTTAAGAGTACATACAAATAATAAAATGTGACCAAACAATGAGATAAAATAAAAGTTTGTGTGTTAATCACACAGGGACATATGCCTATCAGGAGCTTACAATCACAGGGTCCTATCTTATTTTGAGGCACAATTTATATAAAATAAAATGCACCAATTTTTTAAAAAGTTATGATTTTGCATTTTGCTAGGAACACGAACACAGTTCTTTATTAGCCACTTAGACACATGAGTCACTTTCTATATTAAGAAAAAATTCATTGTGGTGCAAAATAAGACTCTTTTTTCATTAAGGTACATTCATAGTTTTGATATCTAACTTATATAACTCGTTGTAATTGCTGAATCGTGTACTGGCGCTTGCACATGAAATTAATGCTTTCAAATGATCTACTTTGGAACCGTGTGCCATAACAAAAGACTCATAAATGCCACCTAATTGCCCCAGCTCAGCCAACCATTAATATCTGATTTTCTCAACATTTCACTACATCAGTTAGCATAATTATGAGGGAAAAGGTTGTTACTAAATTCATACTTAAAATATTTATAAATGTATACTGTGTGGAATGAATAAGCTCAGCTCAAAATGCTCAAGAGCATAAATTTGGGCACTAAAAGGTCAACACAAACTCGAACGTCATAAAAGTTAAAATGACTTCAAACCCCCCGTAAGATCTGGTTACTTCCTAAAATCAAGAAAGGAAGATTTAGAAACAGAGAATGGCTACTCTTCTCCCCTGCCTCTCCGAAAGGCTGGGGCTCTGCCTTCAGCCCGTGAAGAATTAAAAAGCAAAGCTCATGTCCCACGCTTGGCCTTGGTCACTAGGAACCGGGGCTGTGAGACGATGCCCTGCCCTTGCTGGAGAGCTGACATTTGTGTTACGCGATGCCCCTGTAGAGGATCCACGTGAAAAATTCCTTTCAAAATTTACGATATTCCTCTCCAAAACTGGCCTCTGTTGAAGAAAAAATACTCCTCTCTCACACACAGATAACTGTGTAACTGATCACGTCTCTTGTTGGCTTGACTGACAGCAAACTCAGCATGGACTCTTATAACTAAGTAATTAACTGTGGTCCATATATATCTTCTTCCTTTTTAATAAAGTTTGACACGTATTTTAACATTTCAACATACTATAATTTCATAACAGATCCCTTCTAAAAAGAAGTTTTGTAAACTATTCCCCCAAAAGTTGAATAAAACTAGGAAATAATACCTTAATTTTCCCATCCTCATTTTAAATGGTTTCGGAAATAGCCTATCTTGAATTCTACTTTCCCAAACCAAATTAGTCACCACTGATTCTCTCCACAAAGTAGTGTTTTGTTCCTACCAGGTTTTTCAATCTAGATAAAATTTTTAACAAAGAAAAGAGTGCACACCCTCTTCCTGTGTGATGAATACCTCTGATCTCCCAGCAGTCCTCAAATAAGCCCTTCTCATCTTTCTCCAGGAGGAGCCCTGGATGGAGGCAGATGATTGACACAGCGTGGAGCCACCACCATGCCCAGCCCTGCTCACACCAAATGTGGGTTCTTTGACATGTGTGTTCCGAGGCGTGTGCCTCTCCTTCTGAGTTTAATTGTGCATGAGTTTGCTATCAGTTTCCTCTGAGAGCCACGGCACCCCCAATGTGGACAGAAGATTTTCTCCATTAGTATCCCGTGTTGGCTGCCCCCACCCTTAGCTAGATCCAGACAATATTTTGAAAAGGTGATTTTTTTAAAAATAAAGAAAACGTAGAAATGGGAAGACTCAACGGGGTAAAATAAGAGAGATAAAAAATCAATGTGTAAAAGATTTTTCCTGTTTTTGCAAAAATTTCTTGAAAACAATTTTCAAATTACAAACACAACACACTGGGGGATGGTTTTCCACCTGCCACTCGAGTTCTAGATCGACAAGAGATGGATCCAGACAGACAGAGATGTTCTTTAGGTAACAGGAAGGTGTCTATGTAAACTGCACACAGCCTCAAAACAGAGGAAGATATTACATGTAGGGCAGACATCACACGACTCGCCACTGCCAGGTGCATTTCTTCCTGCACAGAGGGGGCTCTGCCATTTTCAGAACAGGGAAAAGACAGTTTCGCTGTCTTCTTTTCTTGGAGATCTCCCCTTCTGATTTAATCTAGAACTTAGGGGGCATTTTCCTGGCATCCTGATTGGGGAGTAAGTGGCCAGGGGTAGGAGCAGCCGCAGCGTCGGCATCCACTCGCTGCTGGAGATGGAATATGCCTGCTTGACATTCTTTTCTTCTTTGTCGCTGTGGGTGAAATTAAGTTCAGAACATGTGAGAGTGTTTTAAATTCTCAAAGTTCCTAGTATCCTGGGTGAACTTTGGGTGCCCTGCCTATAGGAAAGACTCAATAAATCATGAAAGAACAGAATGGAATTAATAAGAAAAGGAACACAATCTTGAATATTTTTTCTCAAAACTAGCCAGGCGTGGGGGTCACGCCTGTAATCCATGCACTTTGGGAGGCCAAGGCAGGAGGATCACTTGAGGACAGGGTTTCAAGACCAGCCTGGCCAACATGGAGAAACCTGTCTCTACTGCAAGTACAAAATTTAGCTGGGCGTGGTGACGGGGGCCTGTAATCCCAGCTACTAGGGAGGCTGAGGCAGGAGAATCGCTTGAACCTGGGAGGTGAAGGTTGCAGTGAGCCAAGGCTGCGCCACTGCACTCCAACCTGGGCGACAGAGCAAGATTCCATCTCAAAAAAACTTTCTCTTAAAACCTTTCTTATGTATCTTATTATTAACCAGAAATTTAGCAACACAAATAGTAATAGCTAAGAATGAATTTTTATTGAGTTTTTACTAAGTGCAGGAACCTGTAAGTAGTTCCTATAGATTAACACTTTTAATACTGCCTTTAACCCGGTGAGATATGTGTTATTGTTATTATTAATATCATTATTATTTCAGAAACGAGAAAACAGTAAGAAAGGTGGCACGTTCAGCATTATTTCAATTGTAAAAAATGATGGAACAAATTAACACAAATTTAATAAGGTTTTATAATCATCACCTCAATAAAATCTTATTTTAAATTTAATATACCAAACACAATATATGTGTATGCTAATGAGGTAATATGCATATAATTTTGTATTGTTAAACTATCAAGATATCGATGGCTTCTCCATTTTCAAAAATATTTTAGTGCTAGATATGTAGAATTCCAGGCAATATATTCCTTTAAACCAATATTTAATACAGTAAATGTCCAGTATGAGAAAGTAGCCTGGACAACTCCTCAGAGCGCTGAGTGAGTGGATCTGACCTAGTATAATTTCAACACTTAAGGATTTAAATATATTAGTGCACAGGACTCACAACTGGAACAGAGACAGCCACTAGGATCCAGATGCATGAGCTGAACAAGCACCTGTTCAACAGCCCTTTACCGAGTAACTACTGCGTTCAGCACGAAGGACAGAGCGCAGGGCCCAGGTCCCTGTTCCGCCTGATGAGTCCCTTACTCAAAACTAGGAGCTCTGTGTCCCTGCAGCTTTCCCACCCCACTTCAGACGTGCGAGCACAGAGGCCAGGTCCCTATTCCGCCTGATGAGTCCCTTACACAAAACTAGGAGCTCTGCATCCCTGCAGCTTTCCCGCCCCACTTCAGACGTGTGAGCACAGAGTGCACAGGCTGATGGCGATTTTCTAAGTGTGAGGAGCATCCCTTCGTAACGCACACCTCTGTGAGGGCACTAAAGAGACGGCAGCTGCAGGAGCATTAACAAGGCACTTGAGGAAAGGCCGGCCCCCCGGAGGAGAGCACAGCAGCACGCGGGCGGCGGGGCGGGGGTGGCGCCCGCATCACACCCTGGAGACTCTACCAAGTGCCTGCTGAGTGCCTGACAGCAAGCTCAGTGTTTTGTGGAAAATAAAAATGCAAGTAGTTCTAATGTGGAGCTCCGCACCTGCTCAGTGGCCACTGCAACCCCCCAGCGAACCTGCAGCACGGCCACATGGCTGGGAGGCTGGGGAAGCAGGCCCGTGCCAGGCCCCCCATCATACGCTTGAGGACAAAACCCATGCCCTTAACCCACTCCTCTTTCAGAAGCCTCCACTTCCTCATCTCTAGAAGCAGAATAACAACAGTCACCAGGACCCACGTTAGAGAGGAGTGCATTCCAGCACTGTTACACTGCCACTTAACCAGCCTGTGCCCTCACAGGGCCGTGCGGCCCCAGCTGCCTGCCACGTCCAATCAAAAGCTGCTCTCCTGTGAAATCCTCACTGACGTTTCAGACCCAAATTGAGCTAATTTTCTCTCCTCTGCCCCATTGCTCTGGGCTCATCTTGCAGACACTTCTCATCGGCCTTGGATTGCTGCTATTTATGTCCATGCCTGTCCTCCCAACTGGATTATAACCTCGTCCAATCTATGAATCATATTTTAATTGTCTCTGTGTCTCCAGCACCTCGGAGAGTTCCTATTCATCGTTCACAGTCCATAAATGTTCCTAAGATAAACACATGACCATTAGAACTTATTCCTTTGTTGGGGAGCATAGCTGTATGACGAAACCACAAAACATAGAATAAGGGAGCTTATAGGGCCACATGAGCTCTTAAGATACCATCTGTTTCTCAGTAAGCAACCAATAAAGGCTGCTAATCTGACTTTAATTTTTTTTGAAAAATAGTTTAAACAAAATAATGCAGAAGAACTTAAGGCACTAATACATTTTAAAACAGCACACACACTCCTATTAAAATAGACTGAGACAAGGCATAGACTGAGAGAAAATATTTGTAAAACACAAATCTTATAAAAGGTGGATATTCAAAATATATGAATAACTCTTAAAACCCAACAATAAGAAAAACAATCCAATTAAAAAATACACAAAGATCTGAAGAGACACCTCACCAAGGAACATATGTAGAGGGCAACAAACATCTGAAAAGACACTCCACACCACTTCTCACCAAAGAAATGCAAAATAAATCAAGAAGACACCATCACACACCTGCTCAGATGACCACAAGCTAGACCCTGACAGCATGAAACGCTGGTGAGGACATGGAGCAACAGGAACTCTCCTCCCTGCTGGTGGGAGTACAAAATGGTGCAGCCAAATTGGAGAACCATTTGGCAGTTTCTTATAAAACTAAACATACTTCTACTAGACAATCCAGTAACTGTACTCCTTGCTATTTACCTGGATGAGTTGAAAACATCTCCATACAAAAACCTGCACACAAGTGTTTACAGTAGCTTTATTTCTAGCTGACAAAACTTGGAAGCAACTGCGATGTCCTTCATTAGGTGAATGAATAAACTATGGTACATTCAGACAATGGAATGTTATTCAGGGCTAAAAAGAAATGAGTTATAATGCCACAAAAAGACAAGGAAGAAAATTAAATGCATATCACTAAGTGAAAAAAGCCCATCTGAAAAGGTTACATACTGTCTATTTCCAACTCTATGACATTCTGGAAAAGAAAAAACTATGAAGACAGTAAAAGATCAGTGTTTGCTAGGGGTTAGAGGAGAGGGAGGGAGGAACAGGCAGAGAACAGAGGGTTTTTAGGGCAGCAAAACTCCTCTGTGTGATGCTGCCAGGGTGGGCATACGCCATTCCACATGTGCCAAAAATCCCCAGAATGTGCAACACCAAGGCTGGATGTGATATAAGCTGTGGGCTTCCATCAATAATCATGGATCAATACTGGTTCCTCAACGGTAACCAATGTGCCACCTCATGTGAGACGCTAACAGCAGAGAAATGGAATACAGGCAAAAAGAGTAGGTGGGAACTCTGTAATTTCAGCTCAATGCTTCTGTGAACCTAAACCTGCTCTTAAAAATAAATTCTATTAATTTAAAAAACAGTGCAAGCCACTGTTCTTTCCATTGTTAATAATGTTCTAGATGAATAAATGTTCTAAACCAGGAGAGCGTCTCTGGAGGGCCAGCGTGTTGAGGGAGCTGGAAGGGAAGGGACTCACCATCCCTCCCATCTCGAAATTTAGGAAAACCAGGGACAGAAGGTAACCCTCACCGGGTCCCGGTGGGATTTAAGTTCCTCTGTGCTTGACCTGGAAGCAAGTATTTATATTGTAGAGCTGGCAACAGCCACAGAGGACATGGCGTGGATGACACCCCTGGAGTTATGCACTAGACAGTGGTGTGGAGAGAATCAGGGCTGTGCGGCGGCCGCTGGAGAACTCGTGCACGCACACGGGCGTGTGCTGAGACAGCTGTGAGCTCCGCTGTGTCACCCAGAAGAGCTATGAAAAAGGACACAGGAAGCTAGCATCTTCTTGTGGAAAAGGGGAGTTTGATAAACTATGCCAAGATTTTTCAGTAACCACTGCGTGGGCTAATCTCTCTACAGAAACAATGGAGCAAAACACATAGCTCAAGGGCTTCTTAAGAACATTCTTAGTATAAAACTTAGAGATGTTATTTTGGCAGATTTCCCAGCAAATGTTGTATGGCCATTGGTGGTTTAAACAATCCCGAGCATACACCATCTCACCTTCTTGTTAGCACACCAGTTGATATTATGAAGTACCTCTGGTAGACAGTGGAGCCCAGAATGGAATTGGGGTCCAGTGATGTTCACCTAAAAGTCCAACATCTCAGTGGCAGCAAGAATAGGAAAGTGACTCACTTTAGAAGCTGAGGCCCTGACATCACCACCGCCCCTCTGCTCCTGAGAACCACGGATATGATGGGACTGCCGTGTGACGAGCTGAGTGTTTACTAACAGGTGTGGGTAGAACTGTGCCCTGCAGGGGCATGTGCTGAAGCCCTAGCCCAGGACCTCCCAACATGGTTGCGTTTAGAAACAGGGGCTGCTACAGAGGTGACGAGGTAAGGTGAGGTCATGCTGGAGTGGAGGATCCTGCCCCCACATGACTGGTGTCCTCATCAGAAGCAGAAACCGGAGGACAGACACACATGGAGAACACTGCATGAAGGTGAAGGCTGGGATCGGGACTATCAGGCCACGGAACCCCAAACATTGACAGCAAATCAGGAGTGTGGGGGAGCCCGGGACAGACTCCTCCACCCTCTTGGTCTTGGGGGGGCCCGGGACAGACTCCTCCTCCACCCTCTTGGTCTTGGGGGGGCCCGGGACAGACTCCTCCTCCCCCTCTTGGTCTTGGGGGGCCCGGGACAGACTCCTCCTCCTCCTCTTGGTCTTGGGGGGGGCCGGGACAGACTCCTCCTCCCCCTCTTGGTATTGGGGGGGCCCAGGACAGACTCCTCCTCCCCCTCTTGGTCTTGGGGGGGGGCCTGGGACAGACTCCTCCTCCACCTTCTTGGTCTTGAACTTCGAGCCTCCAGATCCATGAAGAAGGGGATCTCTGGTGTGAGGCCCTGTGTTATGGCAGCCCAGGACACTAACACACTAAGGGGAATGGCCTTTAACGATGAGGAAGACGATGCTTCATTCCTAAAACTCTGCCAACTGCTGGGAAGGAGACGTACAGACCGCAAAGTTTCTAACGTCATTCACAAGTGAAAACGGAAGGCGGCTCAAGAGAGGGGCTGAGCCGTGGCCCTGGCCGGAGCATCACAGCCCAGAGGCCATCTTCCGAGACCAACCCAGGTGTGGGCCATGAGCGGCAGATCTGCCTCCTGTTCCACAAGAACTTCGAAAGCATCCTGCCCTCTAACCCATCCGACTTTCCGCAAAATACCGTACGTCTCCTGCATGGAAACTGAGGCTCGGAGACGGGGAGCTGCGACTCACTGCCACGTAGTGAGCTGGGACTTGCAGCTCAGTGTCTGTGTCAGTGCCGTGTGAGCTGCGGACAGCCGGCGGGGGCTCATGCCATTCCCAACCACCAGCACGCGGTATAGGCTCATTCCTTCACAGGCAGGAAGGCGGGTGGCACAGGGGTGAGGGGAGAGGCGGAGAACGTCAGGTTCACCTTCATGGGACAGGCAAGCTTGTGCTGCCTGGAGCAGGCCCAGCCAGCCTGTGCTTTTAAATCACTTGTGGATTTTCTAGATAACGTTGTTGTGAAAAAATCCTCCTACCTTTTGCTAGTAGTATGAATTCCTCTTTCTCTTTGAGAGACACACCTCAAATGCATCTTCCAATTGCTCTCTCTGGAAAAACCCCATAGAATAACTATTAAGAACTCAGGCCCAGACCATCCTGTGATTTTTCGGGTCTTTTTTCTTTTTTTTTGTTTTTATTTTTTTTGAGATGAGGTCTCCCTCCGTTGCCCAGGCTGGTCTTGAACTCCTGGGCTCCAGCAATCCTCCTACCTTGGCCTCCCAAGGTGCTGGGATTACAGGCCTGAGTTGGGACACCCGGCCTCTGAGCTATCTTTACAAAGAACCATCTGCTCATCACTCAGCCCTGACATACAACATGCCCTGGGGTCAGATGCAACCTTGCTCTCACTGACGGGCCCTCCTGCTTCCACAAAGGACCTGAAGGAGAAGGGAGAGTTCAAGTGGTCATCAAGGACGTCACATACAAAGACCTCAACCAGTGCGCAGTATGTCTAACTTGTCCTCAGATTTCACTTGTGTGCAGAGCTTTTGGTACTTAAGCAAACTTCTGTCCCATCTCCCCTGCAGGGGATGAAAATGCCATCACAGAAGAGGACAGTAGAGGGAAAAATGTGACTGGAACACAGGCACCCCAGAGACCCACAGAAACAAGCCCATTGCAGGAGACAAAGGGGCTCTGGGAGCCTGACCAGCCGCTTCCAGAACACCCAGCCGCGGTTCTCCTCCTGCGGATTCCAGCACCCCACAATGCACGCCTCAATCCGCATCGCCTGCTCTCCTAGGGATCCTTCAGCTCAACTTTTCCTTCCCTCACGCTCCTCAACAAGAGGGTCCTAACTCGAAAAGGCAGCCGGAGTGGTCATCTGGGCAGAACCTCCCCTAGAGCTTTGCAGCAACTCCCACTCATCCGAAAAGGAGGGGCTGTTTGTCTCAGCCCCAAGTGGTGAACTCCATTGAGTCTGAGGACATCGCCAGAGGGCTCACCTGGCACAGCAGGTGTGTGCAGTGGGCACCGTGGTCCCCACCCCCCGCTGCACTGTTGTGAGATGTAGTCGCCATCCCCCACTCCACCCCTGGCTGCACTGTTTGTTGGTGAGACATGGTCACCACTCCCTGCTGCACTGTTTGTTGGTGAGATGTGCTGCACCCCTGCCAACTGCAAGGTGACCAAGGAGAGTTTCACTGGGTTGACCCCATGCAGGACCCTGCTGGTGATGACCCAGTGACCTCTTGGAGGCTGCGGATCCCTTTGTTGGGCAGTACTGAATTTTCTTGGACCTGCATCAAGTCTATATAATCTTAAACGATACACCAGATGACTTCTAAAAAATCACCCACGCCTTGACGACCTGGTCACTGGAAAGACGAGGAGTGGGAAATGCTCTCTTCCTTTCCCCAAAGTTTAATACCGAGGTCCATTTTCCACCTAATTCACAAGCGGATCAAACGCCTCATCTTCACCTTGCAAGTCTGTTACTGATCTAGGCTTGCTCTTGGTAAGAAGCAAAAAGAGGGGAGTGGAGAAGCCCCTGAGCCAGGGCAGCCTCGGCTGTGAAGGTGGGAGCTCTCTCTGTCCCCGGCATTCACTCACTTCCCTCTGTCCCACATGAAAGGGTTTCTGTATTCTGATGTTAGCTGGACACACTGTAGGCAGAGACTGAGCATGATGTGAACTGAAAGGCTGAAGAGAAATTCTGTGCTGCAAACCCTTCTGTGACAGTGAATCCTGAATATGTACCTGGGTGAGTTCAGCCTCAGTCTGCTGCAAACCCTTCTGTGACAGTGAATCCTGAATATGTACCTGGGTGAGTTCAGCCTCAGTCTGCTGCAAACCCTTCTGTTACAGTGAATCCTGAATATGTACCTGGGTGAGTTCAGCTTCAGTCTGCTGCAAACCCTTCTGTTACAGTGACTCCTGAATATGTACCTGGGTGAGTTCAGCCTCAGTCTGCTGCAAACCCTTCTGTGACAGTGAATCCTGAATATGTACCTGGGTGAGTTCAGCCTCAGTCTGCTGCAAACCCTTCTGTGACAGTGAATCCTGAATATGTACCTGGGTGAGTTCAGCTTCAGTCTGCTGCAAACCCTTCTGTTACAGTGACTCCTGAATATGTACCTGGGTGAGTTCAGCCTCACTCTGCTGCAAACCCTTCTGTTACAGTGAATCCTGAATACGCAGCCGGGTGAGTTCAGTCTCAGTCTGAAGGTAAATGTACAAAAAACATCAGAACTTACTCCCCTGGACTCTGCCACAGAATAGCAGAAGATAAAAATATCCACGTGTGAAAAGATAAAGCGTTTGGGAAGGAACGGCAGTTCTCAGGATTACTAACTTTCTGCATGGGAGCCGTGCATGGGAAATGTTTGTGGAAAGCACTGGCCAAATTCAAGTTCCAGGCCATCTACAAAATGCACACACAGCTCCTCTGTGCAGGGCTTTGCATCCCCTTCCACATGTCTGTGCCACGTTCCACCATTTCACTCAAGGAACTATGACACAGTGCTTCTAAGAAAACAAAAACCATCTTTGGAAAAGTAAGAGAACGCATGCTATTTATCCTGAATCAACCGTTTTGTTCTTTTAAATTCTGAGCTCAGGAGCAAGTATATTTTTTCTGAGTTACATATCCATGTCTGTATTTCCAAGGCTAATACAAAAATAGTTCTATCATAGAACCCCATGATCATTAAAAAAAATTTCAGAGTGACTATTTCTTAACGTATTAACTACAAAACTTTATAGCTCCCTGTAATTTAGTAAAACAAATGATTTGGCTATTTGTTTTATACCCAGTTTTTTTACAATTTTATTCTTTAGAGCTGATTTTGGAAGAATATATAAATTGATATGTTCCAATAGCAGAAGAGAAAGATGATCTCAAATGTTTTGCTGGTGTCATTTCTATTGAATAAATGATTTTAGAAGGTGGAAGACAGACCTGGAAGCCAGATCGTGCCTCAACTCAAAATAACAGCTACGAGACTGACTTCAACAGTGGGCTTTTATTCTCTTGGGTAAAGCACGGTGCTATAATGATTGTGACAACATAAGATCAGAGGTACAAATGAGAGGTACAAATGGGGAGTGATAATTAGTCGGATACAGCTAAAAATCCTAATGTGTCACATAGGAACTCCCTAATTAAATTAATACAGTAACAGCAGATTCCGTCTCAGCCAGCAGGGAGAAATCCCAGAGGCACAGGGTCCCCGGGCACACTCAGCCTCCCCGAAACCTTCCCGGCAGTGGAGCCCCACAACGGCCTCTTCTTCCACCCCAGGTACGTGCCTAACAAACGCTGGCTAAACAGAAAGTGTCATTCTCCACCCTAAACAGAACCTGCCAGTGTAAGCACTGTGTGCAGCTGATGTATTTTTAATAAGAAGCACATCTTCTCCAGGAGAGCATGATGGTGAACAGACTTGCTTGATCTGTTTTGAAAGGATAGCAAGGTCAAACCCACCAGCACCTTCACTGAACACACACCCAATGCTCTCGGGAACAGCCACAAGCCAGGCCGCACCTCCCTGCCAGGTGCCTGCACTACCGCGGGGAGAAACGCTGCGGTGAAATCAAACACGCGTCGAGTTCTCCAAGATAACGTGAATGAGGACTCTGCATTTCAAGTCTCCAAGAACATTCTTACATTGGAGGACACCCAGTAAAGATTTCTACAAATCAAACTCATCAAATTTTCATTGGATGACCACATGTGAGAACCAAGATTTATGAATTATATGGATGAAGAATTAATGAATAGGAAGCTTTTTTCTTTCCAAAATGTTATTACAATGTCTACCATCCCCGATGGAAGTGGAAAGCTGGAGAGAGTGCCCTGCATCTGAACACCATCAATCAGGAGGCTCCCGGTCCCCTCACAGTCCCTGGGGGAATGTCTCTCGATGTCACCAACTTTTCTGTAACTGCATCAAACCCGCACCCCCTCCACTGTGTGCCTTGACGGTGGTTGGTGGCACAACTAACTCTAAGCACGACTTCATGGCAGGACGGAGCCAAAGATCATCCACTCCCTGATCCGAGTGGTGTCTGCAGCCATTTCTGCCTTCAAGGCCCAGGCAGCGCTGGCCGGCCAATGTCCAGCACACTGACGAGAAACCACGTACAGCCAGCACGGCACCCAAACCACCCACTTAACCAGACTGACACGAGTTCCCTAAACTCACAGGCCAGGGAGCCTCCTGCAGCTTGCAGGGCCAGGTCAGAAGGACATGTCACTTTTTAAATGTTTGACTAAATAACTGGGTGATTAAGTATATTTCTTTTATTGACACACACACATATTCACTTCACTGACATTTATCTATACACACACATATTAGGAAAATAAATCAAAATTGCACACATCCTTGGAGCCAGTATTCCACTGTTATCCTAACAAGTTGTACAATATTCACAAATCCTTAAAAAAATAAGGCTTAAAAATCGGTATCACTAAATGAACCAGGTGGAAAATGGATATGGAAAAAATTAGACACAGAAAATAGAAAATGGAAAGAATCAGGCTAGCGCTGTTTTGTGAAAGGCACATCATAAGAAGGGAAATCTGGATCCTGTCTGGCACCGGGACGCCCAGGAGCAAGTGTTCTCCTGACTGGTAGCTGAGGACAGCTGCCCCAGCCTAGGCTAGCACAGCCCCACCCAGGAGAGACTGCACATCATCCAGGGTGGTGCTGGAGGAGGGAGGGGAGTCATCCAGGAAGCCACCCTTGAAAGTCAAGCACCGTGGAGGCGGCCGAAGTGGTTATTTCAGGCATTGTGGAAAGTGGTGGTTATTCCTCTCACCCACAAGAAAAAGGTGACAAGTGTAGTCTAACTTAATGCTGGGTTACTCTAGAAGTACAGTTTTTATCATCACACAAAAGCTAAAACTGGAAAGCACCACTCACCATCCTCTCCTCCCCAGCTTCCGCTCGGCAGCTGGGCTGCAGTCAGCTGCAAATCCGTGGGAGGAGCAGCCAGTGGGAGGAGGCCAGGAGAGAGAGGCCCGGGTCGCCCCCGAAACACAGGACCCTCATTCTGCTCAGTGAGGTGCCGGCGCTGAATCTCATCCACAGCACACTGTTTGCTAAAATGCCCCTTCTGATTTGGAAAAGCAGCCATCGGAACACAGGCTGAGTCTTCCAGGGGCTTCCCCTCTGCCTCCTGATCCTGGAGCCAACGGTGCTCAGTGCTTGTCGGCAATTGTGGGGTCTGGAGAGTGAGGGCGAGGGGCGAGTGGGAACAACCACAGCCCAGCTCAGAATACGCAGACGGCCTCTCTACACGGAAAAGCCAGCGCGTCCTTCTTCCTGTGCACAATCATTCATTCATTCCAAATACTAGCTGAGGGAAAACAGTTTTGAAGGCTAACTTTCCCCATGGTCTTTTCTGTAAGGAGGGAGTGAGTGTTTGTGTCTGTATGTGTGTCTGAACAGACACACTCACACTTTTCACATACGCGTATGTATGTGAAAGCTGCACCTTTCAAACTGTCTTTCTGTTTGGAACATGAGTAGACATTGGACAGTGCCGAAATCGCCCCTCACCTGTGAGATATTTCAGAGCCTAAGGACACGGATTTGACTTTCACGTGTTTTCACCACACATTTTGGGGTTGTATGTTGATGTTATAAATGGCAGAAGCAAGAGCATTTCTAAAACTGTTTGTGAAATCCACACACCTCCCTCAGGAACCACGAGATTTATTGGGCCATGGCAGGACGAGCCCATGTCAGCCGCTGCTCACCAGGCACCCGGGACACAGGGCCTCTTCTCTGCCTAAGTCCCTGCTGTGGCTTCTCGCAGCTGCCCTGAACCCACGCCATGAAAAAAGATCTCCTTCTCCCATTTAAGACAACACAGAACTCAGGAAAGGAGGCAAGAAAGGACTCGCCGAGTCTACAAATCAGCTGAAGTCAAAGAGCAGAGAGCAAAGAGGTGCACAAGATGCCCCAAAACCTTCTCAGGTTTTCCTCAAGTACAGGTTTTCAGGAAGTAGCGTAGTGATTTGGAGAAAAGAATGTTTGAATATGCACAGTGCCAGAAACACATACTTTTAAGTCCAAGAACAAAACATTTCCAAAGCTAAATGTGTGTTTAATGTACTCTGATCTAAAATCCCTTCCCTCTGTCCTCTGACGCAGCTTTGGGGAGGGGGTTCAGCCTGGCAAAAGGAGGACGGGAGGGGAAACTGAGGCCTCTCTAGCTTGGCTTCTGGCCTCTTCCGCAGACGTGAGGCAGCCACAGGCCCTCACAGCATCCTCCTCCACAAGACACGCATTGTGGCTGCACCTCATCTTGTTGTGGAATCCAAACATGATGTTGAATTCCAAGCCCTCAGGCCAGCACTCAGCATTTGGCGAGCACAAATAACTTTTATCGTAGGTACAGCATTATAATATCATATTAAGTATGGTGCTTATAGGAGTATATATTATACTCTAATGACGCTATTTTTAAGCAAAAGACAAGACATCTGAGGTGGGAGCCATGATAATTTCCACGGTGAAGGGACAGTAAAGCTCGGACTCTCGGATGTGCAGGTCCCACTGTTCTCCCCAGAAACCGTTATCTCAAAAAAGCAAAAATGCAAGTCCCCGGTTGCTGAGCCTTCTTTTTGTAGCATTCTAAAAATGTTACAGTTGACCTTAAGGGCTGAGAGGACAGGAGTGTGCGGAGGACCCAGGGCATGGGAGAAGCCGGCCCGTCCTCCAGTGAGACCTGGTGTCCTCGCGACCTGTCCACGGGCCGCAGGTCTGTCCGACCCGGCCTCCTCGCGACCTGTCCAGGGGCCCCAGCTCTGTCCGGCCCAGCTGGCAGCCCCCACCACCTCTCCCACTTCCCTGCCCACCAGCCCCTTCTTTTCAGTTTAAACAAGACTGCCTTAGCAAACACAATTTGGGGCCCAATTCGTTCTCCACAAATATTTGCCCAGAGTCCGTATCACTCTTCCAGCAACAAAGAATGCTGCTGCCGCGTCAGCTGCAATAAATGTGTGTCTAGTGCAGGGCAGTGCTACCCGCCAACTTCAGCCGGGGATTTTTAATGTTTGTTCTTGTTACCCAGACTGGGTTTCCATTAGGCACATTCCTGTGAGTCTTTCAAGGACTGGGTCCCACAGAGGTCAAAGGCCAGGCCAGAACCTGCCCTGAGCCCAGCCCCCGGGGCTGCCCAGGTTCACAGATTCCCTTTTTTATGCAAAAATCCTCACTCTAGAAGCATCTTCTTGATAAACAAGCTCAGGGAGAGGATGGGCTGGAGAAAAAGCCCCCACGAGGTCTCCCTGGGAACACTCACAGGAAAGCACTTGGGGAGGGGCCCATGACCCCAGGCATATCCCGGACCCACATGCGCTGAGCCCCTGCTGTGCAGCCCTTCCCTCCCTCTGTCCCACATGCGCTGAGCCCCTGCTGTGCAGCACTTCCCTCCCTCCGTCCTTGTTCCCTCATCTCCCCGCTCCTGTGCGTCCATCCTTTCCCTCCTCCTCACATAGCAGCAAAATAACAGCACAGGATGCACAGATAGAGCCACTGCTAGCCACCGGGACAGCCTTAGTCCCCACCGGGGAAGCCTCAGACCTCCCTGCACACCACTGAGCAAGGCCAAAACCCAGCACAGACAGCCTCAAGCGCCGCTGAGGACGTGGATGAACAGGAACTCTTATCCACTGTGGGGGGTGAACAACGCAGCTGCGTTGGAAGACATTTTGGTGGTTTCTTACAAAACTAAGCACATGCTTGTCATACAATCCAACAATTGCATGCCTTCATATTTACCCAGATGAGCTGGAAACTTACATCCACACGAAAGCCTGCACACAGATGTTTATGGCAGCTTCATTCATCATTCCCTAAACTCAGAAGCAACTGAGATGCCCCTCATAAGGGAACAGATAAACTATGAGCATTCAGACAGTGGAATAGCACTCACTGCTAAAAAGAAATAAGCAGCTAAGCCAGGAAAAGACACGAAGGCACCGTAAATGCACATTACAAAGTGAACGAAGCCCATTTGAAAAGGCTGTGCACTGTGGTTCCCATCAAATAAATGATGTTCTGGAAAAGGCAAAACTATAGAGATAGTCAATGGTCCTGTGTTTGCCAAGGGTTCATGAGGAGGGAGGGAGGAGTGGGCGGAGCAGAGGGGATTTTTAGGACAGAGAAACTCCTCTGTGGGCTGCTGTAATGGGGGGGTGTGTCGTCATCAAACACCTGCCCAAACCTGTGCAGTGACAATGCCAAGAGTGAGCCGAGGTGAACCACGGACTCCGGGTGAGGATGACGTGTCGTGTTGGTCCATCAGCTGCACTAAATGCACAGCTCTGGAGGGGACTGGGTCACGAGGGAGGGCGTGGGTGGGGCAGGGGCCATATGGGAACTGTCTGCACTTTCCACTTAATTTTGCTGGGTACCTAAAACTGTGCTAAAAATATTAAGTCACACACACACACACACACACACACACACACACACACACACACGTCACTCAACCACCTGAGTCTTGGTTTTCCCATCTGGAAAATGGGCATGGAAATGGTTGCCCAGGCGTGCGTGGGCCGGGCATAGCCCCGTGTGGAGGACGGCACGGCTGAGACAGTCTTCCCACACGGGCTTCCTCAGCGTGGCCCCCTCCCAGGAAGCCTCTGACCTCCCAAGTACACTCAGGAGCCTGCAGCTTCCCAGGCACCAGGTGATGCTCCTACAGGCAGGGCCCCTGCTGGGTAGGCACCACAGCGGGAACACCAACAGGTCAGAAAACCCAAAGCAAAAGCGCTAGGAGGGTAGAACCTCCTGACCAGAGCATACCCTTCAGCCTTCTCAGTCTCTCCTTGAAGAACAGGGAGGAAGCCCAGGAACTGGGGGTCAGATGGGACTTGGATCCAGGCCAGCAGCACGAGGTACAGGGCACATGGACAACGTGGCCACAGCCCTGGTCACAGAAGAATGGGAAGATCACAGAGGGGGCTGTGCGGAGAGGCTGGGTCAGAGCCACCCACCCACCTGGGATCAGACGGAACCTGAAGGAGGGAAGGAGACCAACCCCTCTCTGCAGCAAACCAAACACCACCAGTCAGAGTCGGGCATCAGGGGGGCCCAGGCAGCTTGGGCTGGGGATGCGGCAGAAGCCACTGGGCCGCCTGCTGCGACCAGGAAGCCCCTGAGGTCCGAGGCAATGGGTATCGTGGGCTCTGACGGTGACTTAAGAAGAAATTGGGACTGAGACTATACTGGGCCGCAGCTCTCCCACGTCCCATCAGGGTCTTTTTCACCATGAAGACCTGCCCTACAAGCACAGCTTTGCCATCCAGACAGCAGGGACGGAGGTGCCGCGTGTGGAGGCCAAGGACAAAGACAGGCCAGTCGTGGTGGAGCTGCCCTCCTCACTCAGACTTGACCATGGTGGGGAACTGTCCTCACTCAGACCTGCCCATGGTGGGGAACTGTCCTCACTCAGACCTGACCGTGGTGGGGAGCTGCCCTCACTCAGACCTGACCATGGTGGGGAGCTGCCCTCACTCAGACCTGACCGTGGTAGGGAACTGCCCTCACTCAGACCTGACCGTGGTGGGGAACTGTCCTCACTCAGACCTGACCGTGGTGGGGCTCTGTCCTCATGTCCTCACCCAGACCTGCCCAAGGTGGGGAGCTGCCCTCACTCAGACCTGACCGTGGTGGGGAACTGTCCTCACTCAGACCTGATCCTGGTGGGGAACTGTCCTCACTCAGACCTGACCGTGGTGAGGAGCTGCCCTCGCTCAGACCTGCCCATGGTGGGGAGCTGTCCTCGCTCAGACCTGACCGTGGTGGGGAGCTGTCCTCGCTCAGACCTGACCGTGGTGGGGAGCTGCCCTCGCTCAGACCTGACCATGGTGGAGAACTGTCCTCACTCAGACCTGACCGTGGTGGGGAACTGTCCTCGCTCATACCTGACTGTGGTGGGGAGCTGTCCTCGCTCAGACCTGACCGTGGTGGGGAGCTGCCCTCACTCAGACCTGACCGTTGTGGGGAACTGTCCTCGCTCAGACCTGCCCCACAAGCCAGCGAGCGGACCTAGCCCCAGCAACTGCACAGCCTGGACACCACCACGACGTGGCCACGCTCAGGCTGGACAGTGTCCAGCTCGGCAGTGTCTCCTCTGAGGGCTCCTGACACTCAAGTCAGGCCCAGAGCATTCTCCCCACAGACCACGCGGGAGAATGACAACTCGAAAGCAAATAGCTAGGAAAGATTTCCCGGAATTCCTGGGACCCAGGCCATCCCTACAGACAGACCATCCTACAGAACTATTTGGGGGCTTCGACAGTCAGGATTCTGTCTCTGAACTGCCCCCACAAGGAGCAAACGATGTACTTAAATGGGATAACCAGAAGTGCCGACGTTCAGCACAGATGAATCTCAGGAGAGTATCGAATTGGAAGGAAGACGAGCATAAAAGTCTCTGATGATCCCATAAGAAAGGAAGCACACGGGCATCTTTTAAACATTTCATAATTAACAATGTCATTCTTAAGGCACAGAGCCACATTTTACAGAGGTCACTGGTTTAGAGGATGTTGTACTCCCCAACCACAGAGTTACAAGCAAAACGCTCCGTGTTGTGTGATAAGAGACAGAAACTGTCGACTCCAGCATGAATATGTGCTTTCAGTCTCTACTGAATACAGTGCTGTTTTAACAAAGATGTGTGGTCAGGAAAGTCATTTCACAATAACTGTTCTCTAAATGAAAATGTGATGACTTTTTTCCTGATGCTAGTCATATGAAAAATGCGAATTTTACTGCCAGTTGTTATCTTGAAATAATCTTGAATAAAATCATGACCTAATAATCAAATTCCTGGCAATGGCTGTATCTTTAAAAAGACCTTACTGAGTCAGAGGTTTAGACACAGCTTCAGCGAACACTGGGTTGTGTGCACAGAAGCTCAGGGGTGAATAACTCTGTATTTTAAACTGAGAGAGTGAATAAAGGCAGGCGCCCTGGTGCGTGGAGACATATTTTCTCAGAAATCCCCTGGGCACGCTGTTTGGTGGGTGGGAATCAGCCACTGTGTGGAGGTGTCTGGCTGTATCTCCAGACTCACACAGCAACAAACTGTGAATGCACAGCATGCCTTTCAAACCACCTTTCTACACCTCTCATGATACCGCAATGCTCTTCCATGCACCCACCCTTCACTGTTCCTTAAACGGATTCTCCACATTAGGTGTGTGCAGGGGCCAGGTGTGTGCATGTCAGGGTGGAGGGGGGTGAAACGGACCACGCTTGTCTTCCTAATAAGCATTTGTCCCTCTGCCGCATGCAGCAGGATAAAAGGAGAGAGGAAATACTCACTTAAAATGTTATATATAATTGGCAGAGCTTAATTTTTATGTGTTGACTACGTGGAGAGGTCACATTCAGCCCGTGTTGACAGCGAATATTTTAGAGAATGTCAAATTTACTAAAGACCTCCTTGTTGAAGAAAAAAGAAAGCCATCAAATTAAATAGTGTTTAAGTAAAACAGATATTGCCTTAGAAAACAACAACTGCAGGTGGTTTTGAGGTTATCAATGCCAGTTAAATAACATTTGAGTGGATGTCATTAATGCTGGTTTGAAGTTATTAATGCATTTGGTTTGAAGTTATTAATGCTGGTGAAATCACATTTGTTATATATCCATCAAATATACAACATCCCCAAACAGCACCCTGGTTTGGTTGTATGAAACAGGTTGCCTGACATATTTGAGGAATTGTGTGTACCTCTTGCAGCTATATTTTTCCAATCTGAACACTGTATATACACACAACTTATTTTCTGGTTATCCAGTTTTGTTTTAACCATAAATAAGTTGACTTGGCTTAAAAAAGCAATATTCATTACTTGCAGGTACTTACTGTTGAGTAATTGTTGCAAATTGGGAGCAAGAATTAAACTTAGTAAAATAGTCCCACACCGCCCCACCAGCCATTGGATTGTCCCCATGACCTAAAGCTTTCCCATAGCTGCAGTTGTTCCCAGTGAAACTCTCTGCCCTGGGCTGCAAACCCCGTTAAAGGCTGGCATCTCCTAACTGCTCTTCTGGAGAACCATGTCATCCTGCGTATAAATGTATGAATGGCATGCATGGCAGACGACCCTGGCTGCGGAGGCCAGCACTTGTTGCTAAACAGCAAGTGTGATTCACCAAGCTGGAGAGAGTCCCACTGACTTGCTCTGCTTCATGAGCAAATTAAAGGCCACAACAGACACCATTTTAACACTAAACCTCCGTGTGGAGAGGCACCGAGCTCTGGGAACAAAATTATGAATGAAATAGTCGATACCCACCTAAATATGCACAAACCAATAACATCTTCCTATTGGCCATGCTCAGTCCTGTACAGAGTATAACATTTTAATGTAAGATATTTTGGTCATTGATAACAGGAACTTTTAAAGCTAGCAATTACCTAGATGCCTAAGCTAATACATCCTTTTACTGACATTCTATTTCATCAGAAAGAGGCTAGACAATACCATTTAAAGAGGTGCATATTTTTGCACGAGGTAAAGCAAAAGCAAAAAAAAAAAAAAAAAGCCAGTATACTAAGGCAAGAAGCACGAAAAGAAAAACCCTCCCAAAACACACTGGACCATCGTCTTGTGGATTGCACAGGTGCCCGTCACTTGTTACAAAGTTCCCCACTGCTAAGGCCCTTTGTGGACGGTACAACCCCGAGACCTCGGGGATCGCAGAGACCCTTGTCAAAATGTGTGCACTCAGAAGCATGCTTCCTCTAAAATCTCAGCAATTCCCATCACACTTAAAACACTGTCTCTTCAGACAGAACAGAGGACAGTCCACTTGGTCAGCTAAATCTTGGAATCTCTGCTTTTGAAGAGGTTGTTGGTCTTAATGACAAATATATGGCAGCACTTTGCGGCGTATCAGTCAAACATCTTCCCTCTTTTCTTTTTATCCTATTTAATGCAGCTGATAAGAGGCACCCAATCTTTCACTGCACTCAGCATTACAAAGGAAGCCGTTTCCACAGGCTTCTCACTCCATTGCTTGCATAGAAAAACACAGGTCTTAATAGCTGCAGGTCCCTGGATTTACTCATTCCCAAAGGAGTACTGAAACCAGCAGCCCGGCTGCTGCATCTTTGCTATAGCAAATGGAGAATAAGCTGGAACAGCTCCTGCGTTACAAATTGCTCCAGTACTCGGTGATTATTGGGAAAATGGTTATAGCTGAAGACTGAACTTGCCTCCTTAGAATTACAGCACCGTAGTTCTGGACAGCTGTGCAAGAGCTTTTCCCCCAAAGCCTCCTGGCAATTAAGATGCTCCCTGGATTACAGTCATACTAGTCTCCCCCCAACTACCCCCAGCTGCTATCACAACGACTATCAAGAGATGAGTGCTTTACTTATAAGAAAGGCAAGACCTATGGCCAGGAGGGAGGGAGGGCAAGGGAAAAACATGCTGCAAAGTATCGAGGGAAAGCGGCTATTGGGATTAACTAGTTGAGTGCTACCAGCTGGCTACTGTCTACCTGATGCCACCGCACCAGGGGAAGTGGACGTTCCAGGTACAGAAAGTCAGAAATGAGTCATCCTTGACTTACCGAGGAGAGCCTCCTGCCACTCCGTCTGCAGCATCCAAACGCCGAGCGCAGGAGGCGTCTGGGTGGACGGGGAGACCTACACTCAGGGAAGCTTCCACATCCTTGCGAGAGAAGCAGGCCAAGACGACCGAGTGTGCCTCCGAGGCTCCAGTCAGCCACAGCCCGGACCAGGCTGCCACGGAGCTCTGCAAACCAGGCACTGCAGCAGCGTGGCAGGCACAGGACTGCGATGCATGGCCCATATAGTCAAGCATAATAGAAAACATGGATCTGGAGTCGACTCCATGTGGATGTGGGGGCTGCTTGGTGCAGAGCAGGAGAGGCAAGCTCCTTCCTTGTAACAGAGTTAGCCATGGAGATGGACACTTTAATTACCATGCACGGCTCTCCTCCAGGATATCAATTACAGAAAGCAGGTGCCTCTATCTCCTGTTTTTTTTTTTCAGATAAATGTCTATAATCTCATTTCACAAATGATCCCTATTTAGACAGGAGCCACCTATTGTGATGATATCATTTGCTCTAGTAGCCATAAATGGGCAACTTCCTAGGGAGCGTCACAGTGCTGACGACATGGGTCTTTATAAGAGTGAGTGGGCAGGGTGCTCGGAGGGGCCCCGTCCACACAGAGCAGCTCCTCCCAGCGACGTCTCGTGCTCCCTGGTGTCTGAAAAGTTACAGAGGAGGAGGAAAGCCCTCCACGGAAATGGCTCAGTGCAACCTCCGAGAAAGTCCTCACCGGGGAGGGAGAGGGAAGGGAAGCAGTGTGGAGCTCGCTGATTCTGTAGCACAACGTGCCACTCACCTGGGCCCCGGCTCCCTGGAAAACACCACAGGGACGCTCGCTCTCTGTGACAGCAACAGTTTGGGGCGTTTCTGCTGCTGCTGCTCTTGGGAGTAGCGAGACTCCAGCTCTGCTCCACCCGAGTCCACACACGTCTTACCCCAAACAAAATACATGGCTGGAGGGGGGGATGCAAATAAGAAGGGGTCACGGGATCCTTCCACAGCTCATGGGCTGCAGAGTTATAACTGTAAATTCTAACTGGCAGCGTGGTTTTCCCTCAACGAACACGTGGATGAGCCGATGAGCTGGGACTCATTTCTACACACATTTCAGCTTCCACACCGCCCAGGCCTACAAAGAAAGCTGATGGTAGAAACCACAGTTGGGCCTACATTGGAGAGAGTAAGGCAGGTGTTCGGGCATATTTTCATCATAAAATCTTCTAAAATTTCCCCGCAACTATTCCAGTGACCCAAAGAGTTCACGAGGGATGGGCGACGATTCCACAGAATGGCTCACCACGAACAAGGCTGGCTGGCAAAGGACAGCGCCAGGTCTACCAAATCAGATGAGAATCTTCCTGGAAAACAGACCTGGTGGATGGGTTCTTCATGCTGGAAAGGTGTAGGGTGCATCAGGGAATTCGTTCCTCTGCCCACGTGGGGGAACTGCCATGGTTGCCCAACATAGAGAAGTATCCATGGTTCACCAATGCCTGTGTTTATTACACAACATCGAAATATCAACACATTGAAGGCTGGGAGACACACTCAGAATGCAAGTAAGTCTCCCTTCCCTAAGATCCCTTGACTGTGAGGGGGCAGAGCCCACCTCCTCTTCCTCAACAGCATCCCAGGCTGCCCTGGCTGTGGCCTCCTGCCTCCTCCCAGGCCCACAGGGAGGTCAGCATGTGGAACCCGCAGGCCCCTCTCTGAGGAAAAGGCAGCCCACAGGATGCCCTGAAATGTGGGGCAGTCATTCAGTGAGGACACCACCATCACCAGGAGTTACGGGATGAACATCATCCCCCAAAATGTAGGGCCACTGGGATCTTCAGAATGTGATCTTACTCGGGAATGAGGTCTTTACGGATGTGATTAATTAAGGACCTTGAGGTGAGGTCATCCTGGATTAGAGCAGGCCCTAAATCTGATGACAGGCATCCTTTTAAGAAGAGACGCTCAGGACACAGAGACCCACAGAGAGAGGGGGCCGTGTGAAGCAGGGGCAGGGGTCGGTGACGCGCTTCCATGGGCCTGGATCACCAAGGACACAGCAAGGACACAGCGGAGGGACCAACGCCCTCAGGGCCTCCAGAGGGAGCCCGCCTTGGGAGGGTATCTATCCACAAGCACTCAGCGGAGGGACCAACGCCCTCAGGGCCTCCAGAGGGAGCCCGCCTTGGGAGGGGATCTATCCACAAGCACTCACCACCTTGGTTTCGGGCTTCTGGCCTCCAGAACTGCGAGACAGTACATTTCTGTTACCTTCAGCCACCCAGTCTGTGGTCTTCATGACGGTGGCCACGGGAAACGGATGCAGCCACGCACGCCCTGAGGCTTTTCCAAGCACCCACTCCGTGGTTCACATCTGACCCTGGGAACAGTTCGCATCTGACCCTGTGGAGGAACTTGAAGCCCCAGACTCAGGTCCTGAGATTCCACTTCCAGTTCACCCAGCCATCCCAGCGACCACTTGCTTGCTGTCAAGACGTCCCAGCTACCATTTTTCTGGCCCTCTGGAGCCCACTCATACTTCAAAACCACCAGCTGTGAATACCCCCGATCCATGCCCCCGGGGCCACACAGAATGCGATTTGCATCGCGACCGCCCCCGACTCTCTGCACTGCCCCATATGGTCGGTCCCACTGCCTGGCTGCCTTCCCAAGAGGCGTGTCTCTGTCTGTCCTGGTGGTTCCTGCGGTCACCACTGCGCCTGCACAGACGTGGAATTCCCTCACCTGCCTCACGCCCCTCAGCCTTCCCACAGCAAAGAGGGCGCCTTGGTCCAAGGAGGCTGACCACAGCATATCTACCCACAAGCATTCACCAGGCATTTGTGAAGTGGTGGGGACACAGGAGGGAGCAAACCAGAACAAAAGCCATGAACACACCCCTGCCTCCGGGAAGCTCACAGCCTAATGGAGGGGAGGCAATGGGCACTGAACAGCCCACACTCGCCACACACCACGTGCTCTGCTCATTCAATCCTCTTGCAGCCCGAGGCTGGAGCTCCTGGGGTCTCTGTCTCATGGAGGGAGAAACTGAGGCACAGAGCTGAGGGAGGAGCCCAAGCCTTCGGGCTCAGGAGTGCGGCTCCAGAGCTGTGTTCCTAAGGAATATGCCACCCCTCATGCCTTCTCCACGGAGAAGGCAGGGAGAGTCCATACCCAGGGGATGCAGGGGTCCCAGGAGGCCCTCGGGGATGGAGTATGCTGGGACCCCGAGGGGTGAGTGGGCAGGGGATGAGGCCCAGCTGGTGATGGAGCCTCTCCCTATAAGTGAAGCCAAGAGGATCCAGGGCCCAAAGAGAGCTGTCACAGAGCCCCAGAGCAGAGAGCAGCACTGCTGGCTTTAGGACTCCCACTGGACACAGAGAGATGGGCGAACCTGAGGTTTACCCATGGACACATGGACACATGGGGGGAGCCCTGGAGACTTCCGTTTATGTCTTCTCAGAAGCAGACGCTGCTATGGCCAACATCCAGCCCAAGGTACAGCCCTGAGATGCTAAATAAAGGTTTGCTGAATTGCATTCCACCTCAAGCTTCTAACACCAGTTTTGATGAGGTCTTTTGAGGTAGGCACAGGTGGGTGTGGCCATCAAGGGCAACGAGCACGCACAGGTGTCCAGGAACTCACATGAAGTCACACCACAAGGTGTTTCCTGATTCCTAATCCAATAATCTGGGGTGGGCCTCAAATATCACTTTTAAGATCACTTGATCTTTGTAGCTTGTCCATATAATATAAGGCCAATCTGTCTTAAGAGGTGACAACCACAACTCTAATTTACCAACCACATACATGACAACAGGTTAAACAACCTACTTGGTAGATGGCTAGAAACTTGGATTTTAACCAGCCGTGATGAGCCAGGCTTCCCCCTGCTCCCTCCAAGTTGATCTCCTCTTTGCCAACACAGTGCTCCCCATTGCTGAACCACATTAGCCAGCTACGTTGTTGCATGGCCCCTCGAGGCTGACCTGAGAATGGGTGCATGGGCAGGTATTAGAAGCCACCCTTAGAGTTCTATTGATGATTGAACTGGACGATGCAAAACTTTGAACCCATATCACACCGCATCTCACAGCAGAGCATGGCCTGCAGCAGTCAGGTCGCCCGTCGGAGCCGTGGCAGGTGCTGGGTTCCTACAGAAATTCGGGCTTATTCTCTCAGTGCCAAGTGAGTGATTATCTATTTGTAAAGCAACATCTCCAAAAGAAGGTCTTTAGCAAAATGCTGAAATCAAGACTCACTGCTAGTCAATCCGGCCACACCCCCAGACCCGCCGCTAGTCAATCCGGCCGCGCCCCCAGACCCGCCGCTAGTCAATCCAGCCAAGCCCCCTGTGGGAATACACTCGCATGCAACCCCACGTGATCCTCACTCGGGGAATTTGGCAGAGCAGGGTAATATCTTTTCTTCTCAAAACTGTTAAGTTCACCAGAAGCAGACTATTGATAGAATGTTTTCCCATAATCTTAGGTTCATGTAGAGCCACAAATAAAGCAAAACAAGTTTTCTTGTTTATGCAGCTTGATGTCTCTGGGTCCTAATGTAAAATGAAGGATTTAAGAACTGGAAAATAAGAGCCAGAAATGCAACCTCTTTTTTTTTTATTTCTCCAGCCTTAAACATCAAAGCTTCAACAAGTACTTTGTTTTGCTACATTGAACTAAAGATTATCTCCCTTTTGTTCTCTTGGTAACACATTTTAACCTCTGGTGTTAGTATCAATGAACATAGTCACAATTCTCAAAGATGAAAGGCCACAAGCTGTTCGCAAACAAATCTAATTCAGAGAAAATTACACCGGAGGTTTTCTTGTTTGCCTGGTCCCTGCTTACATTCTCCAGAAAGACTTTGTCGGTGTTTAGAATAGAGGTTTCTAATCTTCTTCCATAGATAGACATAAGAAATCAAGAGATAGCACAGCCAGTAAGTTAGAGAGACAACAAACGAAGAGCTGAATTCTTAGGCAATGCCATTTATATCCATAGAAGGAAAGAATTATCAATTAAAGACTTAGCCCTTGTGTGCATAACCCTAATGTGAATAATGATTTAGTAAAATGGAAAATACGTGCAGCATTTGAATGTTTGGATTAACATGAACTGTATGTAATTCAAATTTTCCTGTGTTAAAACTCCTGTTTCTTAATAACCTGTTAATACAGATGGCTAACTTCAATGTAGGTAATTAAATTTACCTGTGCTAAAACTCCTGTTTCTTAATAACCTATGTTAATACAGGCAGCTAACTTCTACGTGTAGTAACCGATGCATATCTCAAGGGAACTGTGTGTCCTAGGGTAAAAAGTATTCTCACACTGAAAGGTTTCACAGGTTTCAAAGGTAAAACTCTGCAGTAATAATTTTACAACTCATTTTCATGCAGAAAAATATGTATCTCACAGTAGTTCCTCAAACTGCGGGTGTGGATTATTCTGGTGGGTCCATGAGTTCTTGGGGTTAACGAAAACTAACGAACACGGTCTGTCTCTGTCTCTTCGAGGTGATTTATCGTTAGGAAATTCTCACCTCCCTATTTGGGTTGTATTCACCAGAAAATGCAGGTAGAGGATTAAGGGGGAAATGCTATTTACTAAGTTACCTACCAGGTACAATTAGAAATTCAGGGGCACAGTTGCATGTACTCATTGCAGCTGGTCTGATGTAAGTGCTGGAATTCCCATTTTACAACTGAAGAAACTGAGATCAAAATTAAGAAACTTCTGGAGCGATGATCTGGCAGGGTCAGAATTCAAATCCAGCTCAGTCTGACTCCAGAGCTGATGCTGACAGCAGCACAGTGCTAACGCATCCCTGTATAAATCCACATTTTGGCACGGGTGTGCCGGTGTCCTGGCACCTTTCAACCGGAGCTGTGTTTCATTACACACATTTTGGAAGTCATTAGTTGGAGTCCTGCTGGCTTAGGGGAAAAATAAAATTTTCTTTAATAGTTCTACAGCAAACAAGAGACTAAAGAATGGCTCTTTGAAACACAGTTCCAAAACATGAAAAAAAGTTCCAAAATTAAGACATGTAAATAAGCAAACTAGGAAAAAGAGATGGGAAAAATGGGAGAAGGCTGAGGTAAACCAGGACAGAGGACACACAGAGCTGGAGGAATTCCACCCTCCACCACATGCACGGAACAGTTATGTGAAACTATGGGATGCGTTAGAGGGGCCACAGATGCCACGAGTGGAGAGGCCCACGTGACCAGGCCCTTGTAAAACTATGCCACACAACACACTCAACTGAGGTCGTTTGATCAAAAGTTATAACCAGGAACAAACGGGTATTTTTTCCTAAAACGAGAATTACATTTTTCTCTAAAAGCCCTCCAGTGTTACACTGAATTGCCTGAGGAAGTCATACAACTGAATGCTTACTCAGTGGTGAAATATTGCTACCTGGGAGCTACCAAGCCCTCTCTGCTCTCAACTCCCTGAGCTGCCTCCATAAGGAGCAGCTTCCTGCATCTCAACACCCCCCAGGGCACACCAAGGTGACCACAATCCAACCCACTCTTTTCTTTAGCTGGCCAGGTATTATTATTCCTGACATCTGAAGATTGAGAAGCAGAGATCCATAGAGATTAAATATTGTGCCCAAATCCTTGAAGTAAGAATCAGGATTCAAGCCCAAATGAGCCTGACTCAGGTGCCCCTCTCTGCTGGCGAGGCCTCCTCAGTGGAATGAGCCGTGAAAACTCAGCATGGCAACGGTGCTGGCTGCCGATTCCCGGGCTATTATGGCAGGGGATGCAGCTCTGGAACCTGCTTTGTGGAGGAGCTGGAAGACGGTGACCAACGGCCTATCCGACGGCTGTTTCCAGCGTCCTACCCGGAAGTCCAACAGTGAGAAGACGAGCGTCCTTGGCTTTAGATATTTGATGGAAAACATTAGTAGGGCCATTAAATAAATAGTCCACATGTAAAATCTCTTATAAGTGATAACAACAGACTTTAAGTAGAAAAATATTTTATCTCATCCTAACAGTAAACCAGATAAAGTCCTAACACATTCATAGGTAAGGAACCTAGATATCTTATTACATTAATATTTAGAGCAGGAAGAAGAGACTTACAGGGGACGGATGACTCCAAATCACTGTGACTCTGATTTGAAATGGAAAACAGAAAATCAATTTGCTAGTTTGATAAGTTGAAGCTACAGTTCTTAATGCACTCATCTTCTGTTTCAAGAAAATAGAGCTCATCAGGCCGAAACCACCAGCAAAAGCGCTTTATGTTTAGAGAATGTCATCACATAATCACACAATTGGACAATTGAGAAAAAGTGGTCTCAAAACACACACTGATAGCATCCATCTTTACAAAACGTCTATTCCATAGATTTCACTCTTGGTAAAATTTTTAAGAAGTTGATCCTTATAAACATCTTAAATGTGCGTCGTAACATGGAACTGTTTTCTGACCATGTGGCCTCAACATTCCTTGCTGTGGAAGTATATTCAATTTGCTATATGCGATTATTGCTTCATGAGGAAAAACTATTTTTGTGTGCCACTGTCTATGAAGGCTGTTATTATTTTGTTCTAGTGCTTTTTATAAAACAAACACAAAGCATTAATGAAAACAGTTGATAATAAAAAATGTTTTAGATAAGTTATGGTTTTTCCTTACAATTTGATTGAGAGTAATTGAATCTCAGCCTCCAAGAGTTTTTTTAAGGTCTTGTCCAGTGCAACAGCGTGACACCAATACAATGCAAAAACCATGAATCAAACCTTCCAAATAATGTTAATTCCTGCTGAGAATAGTGCATTGTTTTATTTAAATTAAGCAGTCAATTGTTATCTGATCATTCCTAGGTACACAACCCAAGAGAGGGATGATAAATTACTGGGCATGTTTTATTTAATTTCTATATTAATAATGAACGCCATAGAAAATATAAATATTTGCAGAAATATCATATATTCTAATATACAGTAAGTTAGACTACTTTAATGACAGCACTTATGTAAAAACTTATGTTGACAATGATAGACGTCTACAAAGCCGAAGTGTAACTGGTGACCACAAATCTAAGATGCTTGGAGCCAAGAGTAAAGTCCAAGCCATTTAATACGGACACTGAAACAGGGACACAAAAATGTTTTAATGGGTTTGAGCATAGACATGACTGCGAATGACTTTTATGCATGGATGGTGTGTGTGTGTGCGTGTGTGTCCGTGTGTGTGCGTGTGTGTACGTGTGTGTACATGTGCATACATGTGTGTGCGCATGCGTGTGGATCTGTGTGTGCGTGCGTGTACATGTGTGCGTGCATTCATGCCTGTACTCAAACCAGGAGAGGAAAAATCTATAGGAAGCTTCCCAGAAACGCCGGGTGCCGCACACAGGCTCAGAGGCTCCCATTTCAGCACTCATGATGATGAACAGCACCCAGCAGCGGAAGGCTGAATCTGACCGGGAAAAGGAAGCCGGTGTAACACATTTGTTGTACTGCTAACCACAGATTTCTTTACACAAAAAGACCCAAATAAAAGTGAAATTCATCAAAGGGATCATTTTTAATCTTTTGGAAAATATAAACTCAACAGTACTTGCTCTAAAAGCACTGCAGAAAAGGTTACCATAACTAGCACAGGAATCCATTCTGCTAGGAAGGAAAACCAGTGACGGTAATGAAAATAAAATATTAAAGTTTTGGTTCTTAAATATTATAATGATTTTTGGCTGCTTGCTAACCTGCCACAGTTACTTGCTTGGTTGTTATGGCAACATTCTGCTAGCACCCAATATGTCAGGCAGAAAGACTGGGTCCTTTGCAATTAAATCCAGGAATTATCCCGTCTCCAAACACGGTACACATCCACGGAATTCCTCGCAGTTATCGGGCCTCTGCTTGGTGTGTTTCTGTGTCAGTCTTCATCACTCACGCGTCTGTCTCTTCTTCAGCTGCATGCACACATTTCACTTCCCAGGTTTCAAAACCCCTGGCCTCGGAGACTGCGAACTGACTGGGATGACGGAGCTGACTGGGACACACCTGGTCCTTCTGGTTCCTTCTCTGTGGAGATCAAGCTTGCACAAGCTCCTTCCCTTCCAAGGGTATGAACTCATCACTTGTACTGCCTGTGTAGGAAGCACTTCATTCTATGTTCCCCCAAACTTTATAACCATCTTATGAAGAAGGCATTTTACAAATTAGAAGGCTGAGGTCTGATAGCATTAAATAATTTGCCCAAATAGACTGGCCAGTCACCAGGAGAGAGAAGGTTCCGAATCTGATGGATGCGACTCCACCACATCCGCGCTTCTATTTTGATTTCTTTTAAATAACCCAAAATTACAAAGCAAAACGTACAGCACCTCTTTTCCATTGCGAAATTGCAAACGGCAAAGCACATTACATATGCTTCCTTGTTTGTTACTCCACATGTAAATTCAAGGGGCAGCTGAACATCCTACAGCAACTCCGCAGTGATGAGAAATGTTAGCAAATTTGTTAATTAAGGAAGGTCACATTTACATTTCTCTTGAATATTTGCTTAACCTGGATATCACCTGGTTCTCTATATAGACATTTGGGGGAAGATTAATAATGAGTTTGAATATTACAGGTATGGATTGCAGCCAGTTCTATCCTCCTTACAGGTTGTCATTGCCCTGTGTTTCTATAGGCCATTTTTCAGAAATGCTCCCAGCCTCTCTTATATGTTAAAAACAAGTCCAGTGTGTGTAACCGAGCCCCTAGAAAACCCCTCCCTGTATTACCCAGATGAGTTATTCTGATGACCAGGCCAACCAGAAAAAACAAACTGCCCCCCTACTAGGCCAATGCAACATCTATGGGGTTTGTTCCTACAGAAGCTAATGATCCCCCAGCCATCTTTCGAGGCCAAAGCTAAATGCCACCTCTTCCAGGGACCCTGCCTGTGAGTCCCCGTCAAAGGATTCCTCCTACACAATGCCTGGAATATAGTAACTCCTCCAAAGATGATACTCCCTCCTCTCCCCACTGCCTTTTCCACGCCTTACAGCAAAATTTCCCCATTCCTAGTGTATGCTGTGATGCCATGTGTTAAAACTACCTGCAAAAATTATTTCCTTTTTACTGCCTTTGAGTCAGGGATTACAGGCTACTGAGCTTTAAATACCCCATGGCATTTGGCATGGTTTTGCATGTAAAGTATGTCCTCAGAGTTTGTAGAAAGGAGGAAGAAACAGCTGAATGAGGTAAAACCCCCTGGGCTATGTATGAACTGTCTACATGCATGAGAATGGGGGGAAGGGGTGGTCAGAGGCAGGCCCAGGAAGGGCGGCCGGGCCCAGGCCCACCTCATGACACGGGAGTTCAGTGCCCACAATAGGCACTCTGGGGCTGCAACACCAGGCACAGGAGAACAACGTCAGTGTGCAGTTGGCAGGCGCGTGCTGGCGGCAGGCGTGTTGAGCCTGGTTTCTCCCTCTGCATCCTTGTGGGGCATCCCATTGTGGGTAGAATGTGGGCAGGTGGCACTCCTCTGGTGTGCAAATTCAAAAATTAATAGGCTTATAGATGGTGCATTTAAGCTCATTTGCTCTCATGAATCCATGGCATGTTGAAATTGAAAGGAAAAAACCCGTAGCAGACTCCCAGTCGACTTCTCCACTTAGAGAGGAGTAGAGCTAAGCCCTGAGGGGCCCAGGCAGGAGACTCAGCAGGTGACTGAGCAGGCATGAGACAGAGGTGAAGCCCCCCAGCCTCATACAGCCACTGTGCTGAGCGTGGCGGGATCTGCATGAGAAGAAGCAGCTTCCGTGAGTCTAAACTGTGATGTGGACCAGACGTGACTTTACTCTGGATCCCAAAATCAGTCCATTTAAGACCCCAGAAAATGCTCTATTAGATAAAATTACATAGTAGCAAGTCTATTTCTATTTGTGCATGTGTAAATTCTCTGTTGTGTCTTTTTGACAAAATACTCTGCGTATGTCATCTTTATGCTGAGTGGTATTAACATCAATATAGTCTGTGCCTTCACTTCAGAAGTGACAGCACACTCCCCACGTGCTGACGGTATTGGATCATTTTGCATCTGAGGGTAAACAGCTGACGGTATTGGATCATTCTGCATCTGAGGGTAAAACGATCTTGTATGGAGAGAAGATGCAGCTGGATCTGAGACAACACAGCCCGGTGCCCCTCCCAGGTGAGTGCTGCTGAAAAATGCTCCATCCAGAGAGCCTGGGTTCCCTTCAATGAGGCCTCTGGAGAAAAGAAAATTTCTGGGATAAAGTCAACTCATGCAGTTGTGCTTCGAGGTGGTGCTGACAATGTTGCCCAGGAAGAAGCTGCTCCCCTTGTGCCCTGTCCCATCCAGGGCCATCATGGAATGACCCCACCACAAAATGACCCCCTGCCCACAAAAAGACCCCACCACAAAATGACCCCCACCCACGAAATGACCCACCACAAAATGACCCCCACCCACGAAATGACCCACCACAAAATGACTCCCACCCACGAAATGACCCCCACCCACGAAATGACCCCACCACAAAATGACCCCCCACCCACGAAATGACCGGGCACGTGACAGCCTCTCTCGATCTAAGGCCCATAGGTCACACAAGCTCATCACACACTGCCGCATGGAAATCTATGGGGAAGCACGTAAAAAATTCAGGTCCTTTTCATCCCTCCACAGACCTCCTGACTCAAGGTTTCTGAGAATCTGCCCTTCAAACTAGTTCCTGAGAAAACAGCCAGGCAGTTTAAGGAGAAGATACTTTAAAATGTGTTACGTGTGTAATGAAATGGAAGCTACTTAAATGTCAAGATGAGGAGACTGGGTTGGAAGAATTATCCCATGTACATGGGATGCAATTAGCTATTCCTGTAGTCTAAGAACACCAAGTTCCTGCATTCAGGGACAGGCGCTCCTTGGCTTATAATGGGGTTACTTCCTAATAAACCCATCATGAGCTGAAAATGCCGTAAGTCAAAAATGCATTTAATACACCTAATCCACATAACATCACAGCTCAGCTTTGCCCAGCGTGAATGTGCACAGAACACACGCATCAGCTTACAGTGGGCAAAAGCCACCTCGCACAAGGCCTGTTTTATACTAAAGTGTTGGATATATATCTCATGCAACATTGAGTACTATCCTGAAAGTGAAAAACAGAAGCAGAGGGGCACTCGTATGGCATTCAGGAAACCTGTATCATGTTTGAACCATCCTAAAGTCAAAAAATTGTGTGTCAAACCATGGTTAAATCGGGGACTGTAGGTATTTACAATTTATAATGAATATTTAAAAGCTGGTTAAAACTGTAGGCATACAAAGTTTCTGCTCTGAAACTATAGGCACACGTGGCTGTGACTGCCTGCATATCCGTGAACACATATGTATGTGTGTGACTGCCTGTGCATGTGTGTACACGTATGTACATGTGTGTGACAGCATGTGTGTACACATATCCGCATGTGTGTACATATGCATGTGCCTGCCTGTGCATGTGCATACACGTAGGCACATGTGTGTGACAGCATGTGTGTGCATATATCCACGTGTGTACATATGCATGTGTCTGCCTGCCTGCACATGTGTGTACACATATGTACTTGTGTGTGACTGTAAATGCGTGTGCACATATCCACACATGTGACTGCCTATGCATATGTGTACACGTATGCACACCTGTTACTGCCTGCACTCATGTGTGCATGTGCCTGTGTCTATGCACCGTCTGTGTGTCTCTGTTCATGTATGTCTGTGCCTCCATTCATATGTGCCTGTGTCTGTATCCACGCATGCATGGGTCTGTATTCATGGAAGGATGTCTCTGCTTGTGTGTGTCCTGAAAGTAAATCCAGCACACTGTCAATAGTGGTTATTTCAGAGTGGAGGAATATGGAATAACTGAATATTTTCTTTTTGTATACGCCCTACCTTTTATAACATAAACAATATTTATCTATTGCAAGGAAAGCACAATAAATTTTTACAAATAAAGGATAAAAGGGTAAATTGTATTCCCGTGTGACGTTAAGCAGGGTGTTTAGAAAGAAACATTCCAACAGTGGCCGCTGACCAAATGTTCCTACCCAGGTGGCACTGGTTGGGGAAGCCTCTGAGCAAGTCACGGGAAGAAGGTGTCTGTGTCTTCGAAGACGTTAAAATTATAGAAGTAGAACAGGCCTCCATCCTAACATTGATATTTGCATAAAACTCGCCATTTTATTATACATTTCCCCCGTTTGCATAAAACTTGCCATTTCATTACACATTTTCCCCCGTAACTCGAGAGACAATGAGGATGAAGTCTCGTGGAATCGAGGCTCAGAGACACCAGTCGTCGTCTAAACATTATTGACAGTGCCCGCCACAAGATGCTTCCCCTCCCATGTATTTTGCAGGAATGCAGGCTAAACGGGAAGTAACTGGTCAATGACAGACACATAACTTTGTCAATCTCTTATCAATGTCATTCTGAAAACTCTACAAATTATCATGCTTCCTGGAAAACCGAAAGCTGGTGTGGCTCAGTCAAATCACTGCTGTTTTTCTACCCGTGAGTCTGTTCATGCAGTTTTAAATATAGTTGTGAAATCACTTAGTCATATTTATAGGCACACTGAATTTTAAAGTCAGAGTGTACCAGGAGAATATGCAATCCCGGCTACTCATTTTACAGAGAAGAAAGGCACACAGGAGAGGGTGGCTGTCCCAAGACTGCAGCTTCGGCGGCAGATGTGGGGACAGGCTAGGCCCACCGCAGCCCCAGTTCCAGGTCTAGGGCCTCGGGCGGCATCTTCTTCTCATTCAAACAACATCACAGCACCCACATCAAGGCATGTGGTTTGAGCCCAGCTTATTCAAATTATTTGGCCCAAGGAAACACACCAAGTATTCACCATTGTACTTTGCTAGTTAAACATCATTTCAAGCAGAAGAGACGGGACATTGTCTTGCACAGCAGGGGCCTTGCGGAGTATAGCAGGGCCCACCCCACACCTTCCAGAGATTCACTGAGCACAGACGCACAGACGATGCCGTCGCTACCTGTGAACACCCGGTGGCAGGTTTTAGAATCAGCACTTACTGAGACCAGGAGAGGCCCTAATAACTGAAGTAGCAACGGCTTTGAAGTCAGATGGAACTAGATTCACATTTCACCTTGATTTACTTCCTGCATGTCTGTGAGCCTTGGGGTGTCCTTTGTAAAATGGAGACGACAGCCTCACAGGACTGAGGCTGGAATGAGAACACGCGCCGGGCACAGTTCTGAGCGATCTACGTGCTCTTCATAGATGTCTCACACTGCAGGCCAGTTCTATCCAGTTCGTTTGTATTCTGTAGATTAAAAATCTGAGGCTTAGGGAGTTGAACAACTCTCACAAGGTCAAATACTTTCCAGCGGAAATTCGGACTCAGGCAGGTTGGTCCAAAACTTGAGCTACACACAGTCGGGTCAAATACCACAGTGTCCGCACCCTTGCAGGCCTTAACGGTCTAAGGTTTTCAAACATAAAAGAAAGACTGAGTTACAACTCTGTACCTAGGCTAGACATATAGATCAACGGAATAAAACTGAGAGCCACAAAATAAACATTAATATTAATTTTTAACAAGGATGCTGCGATAGATTGAATGTTTCTGTCCCCTCAAAATCCATATGATGAAACCGAACCTCCAAGGTGATGGTGTTAGGAGGTGGGGCCTTTGGAAGGTGATTAGGGCATGAAGGCTGATCCCTCATGAATGAGAGTAGAGTCCTTAAAAAAAAAGGCCACAGAGACCCGCCTTGGCCTTCTGTGGGACACAGTGGGACACAGTGGGAGGCCATCTAGGGACCAGGAAGTGGCTGTCGCTGGACACTGACCCTGCCAGTGTCTTGATCTTGGCCTTCCATACCCCAGAACCTTGGGAAATAAATACTGTTGTTTATAAGACACTCGATCCAGGCTATTCTGTGGCAGCAGTCTGAGTGCACTAAGATGTGAGGAGACTCACTGGGAAAAGTATATTATTTTGCCAACATAATGCTCAAAGGAAATGCTCACTGGAGCATTTTGGATTTTAAAATATGGGATCATTAACTGGTAAGTGTAATGCAAATATTCCAAAATCCAAAAAAAATTCCAAAATCCGAAAGACTTCGTTTCCCAAAACTTTGGGATAAGAGATACTCAACCTGTATATCATAAAATATAGAAGCTTGACAACCTTGCTAAGTGAAAGAAACCAGACCGCAAAGGTTGCATATTGTATGTTTCCTTTCATATGAAATGCTGAAAGCAGGCTCCCTATAGAAAGAGAAAGTCTGCTGGTGTTTTCCAGGGTCTGGGGAAGGAGATGATGGGCAGTGACTGCCAACCAGTTAGGGGTTTCTTATGGGGATAAGAAATATTCTGCAATTAGATAGTGGTGATGGCTGCACAACTCTGTGAATATATTAAAACCACTGAATGTTTACTAGAAATGAGTAAATTTTATGGTATGTGAATTATGTCTCAATAAAGCTGTATTATTAAAAAAAACCTATTATTTTAATAAAACAACAAAAAAAGGATGCATTTCAGTCCTTTCAAACCTGGCGTGCATTTACCAAGCACTGACAATGGGTGAGGCCTTGACCCCAGATGGCTAGGCAGAAAAAAAAAAGGGGGGTTGTGGTGAAATTCAAATTCAGCAGAAAATTTAATAAATCACAAATTCCTCATTCCACAAGCATCTCTGTTAATCAAGAGCTGAAGAGAGATCATACTATATTTGCATTTGTAAAACAACTTCATATTTGTAAAGCAGCTACATATGCAAGACACTGATGCTAAGGAGAGAGTCAATTCACTTATCCCCCTTTTCAACGTGTACTAACACATCTCCAACAGCATCTGGGTTATGGGGATGAAGGAAACACAGATATTAGGTGAAAAAGCCTCAAACACGCCCACATGCAATGTGGATTCTTACTTAGGTCCCCTTTAATGTCTCTCTTTAATATCTCTTTTTATTCCAGCAGAAAAGGTTTGAATCAGCCAGTCCCATTCATGTACACATCCACCCCTGCAAAGTCATATATGCACGGCAGCCGGGGAAATGGGAGGGGGAATTTAGATCATGAAGTACAAGCAAAATAAAAACAACCTCCAAACTAGAGGTAAAGTGAAGCATGGCCCTCGGTCACATGCACACTTTGACATTCTTGATCCCAAACTGGCAGAGCAAATGTCCTATGGCATGGATTTCATTATGCCAAATTACAGATTGCATTCAAGGCAGAACAAAAATGAAGGCAGTAGGAAAATAAAAGTGATTAAACCCACATTAGCCTTCAGAAATATGGTTTCTGCTAATAACTGCCTGACTTTATTCTATTTACCACTAATTTACTGGTAACTGGGCAGCTTTTATATTGCTGGGCTGCTTTCCGTGACTCAATAGAAAAATCTTCGACAAAATTGAATTGCACATTCCTAGCATTCTCTCACTTTCCCCCTCTCACTAATTAAAACCCAAAGGCTTTACCTCTTGCCCCCTTCACTTTGAAATTACTGGGACCCAAGCCCCGTTAAACTTGATTACAAACGGCAGGTCTGGGAGTCAACATTCCAACCTTGTGCAGACATCTGAGCAACCAGGGGGCGCCGTCCTATGGCGAGTCACCTAGAAATGCACATTCCTGCTTACTGCCAATGTTTGCTGAGCACTTACTATGTGCCAGGAACTCTTCTGGGTGTCCCCATCCAAAAGTGAACAAAACAGACAACACACACACACCTGTCCCTAAAAAAGGACACCTAAACAAGAGAACTCACAGAAGCAGCGAATAGAAGGGTGGTTACCAGGACCTGGGTGGGGGCGCGGTTGGGGAGGTCAAAGGACACAAAATGCCAATGAGACGGGAGGAGTAAGTCAAGAGACTGATGCCCAGCATGGAGACTGCAGTCCACCAGGCACTGCATAGTGGAAAACTGCTAAGAGGGCAGATTTTAAGGGTTTCATCCAAGAAAATGATAGTGTGTGAGTAATGCATACGTTAATTAGCTCAATTTAGTCTCTCCGCAGTGTTTACGTCTTTCAAAACAACAGGTTGTATACCATAGACATATACAATTTGTATTTATCAACTTTAAAAAATGAAAACATTTAAAAGTAAGGGGTGTTGAGTATACGCTGGGCACTGTGTGTGTGAAGTGCTTTATATACACTCACTCATTTAATGCTGACAACCAAACTATTAGGTGGATACTACCGCTGTCCGCTTTCATAAACAGGGAAGCTAAGATGCAGAGAATTTTGGTGAATTGCCAAAAGCCAAACAGCCCTTAGGCAGCAGACTGGACATTGCAGGGAAGTCTAGACCAGGGTTTCTGCGTTCAACCTCTGTGGTTCAGGGAATGGACCGGGCATTCAGCTGAGCTGTCTCCGGAAAGAAGAAAGAAATAGGCAGGAGGTTCTCTCTGCTCACTTATCATGTGTGCTTATGAGGAAATGACAAGGACCTTTTAAGTCTGTAGCTGAAGGTAAGCATATTCCTCTGAAAGATGGAGGGAATGCTGGCCTCACCATGGGGTGATGGGGATCATGTGGTCAACAGGGAAGGTTTGAATATTCAGAACAAGAGGGAAGAATTATTGGGGTTTTGACCCTGAGGAAGCACGTGGGTGGGTCCGTTCTGCAGGTCGAGAGGTGACCCGAGGTAAGATCTGGGGTAGCTCTTCCATAGCGAGGGGGTATGGAGCAGCCACAGGCACAGACACAGGGAGCTGAAATGTGGCAAGGAGTAGCTCAGCAGAAACTTTCCTCCGATAGCTTCTAGTCTTTTAGTGCAATGGGAATCGAAGTCATCTACTGAGAAAGGATGGGAGAGGAGACCCTGGGATACATGCGGGAGAAACAACTGTCTGGAGGCCTAGAGAGACGTCGTGTCCTGCCAGGTCACATGCACACTTTGACACTCCTGATCCCAAACTGGCAAAGCAAATGTCCTATGGCACAGATTTCAGCGCTAGGACTGCGTTTAAGCCAGGTGGTCACGCAGGTGCGGTGAGACCAACTCACCCAGCTGTCTGTGGCCCTCCAGCCTGTGCAGCCACCTGGGCAGGTGGAGGAGAGATGGAGGCTCTGTGTACAGGACAGGGCTTTGCCAAGGCAACACAACAAATTCACAGACGGCTGAGTTTTGCCCAGGGAGAGTTTGCAATCATGAACCCCCATCTTTTCATTTTCTTACATATTCCATTTATCTGGGATAACACTAAGTGACAACTTGCCGTATTTTGGGTTTTATGACCACCAGTTCCTCTCAACAGGGCTTTATTGGGCCCCTAGTCTGTGCCAGGCTGTAAGGGGATGGGTTACAAGGAGGACTGTGGTAGTATCTCACCATCCTGAGCTTCACATCCAGCAGGAGTGGGACCGGTGAGCCATAAAACACAGCGTGGCGTGGCAGGGCAGTCACTGCTGTGAGAAGTGTCACGTTTGTGCTCCGTCCTTTGGGAAGTCCTGGGGGCTTCAGAGGTGATGCAAAGTCTCTAACCCAGAAAGCATCACAAGCAACTGCACCCCAGCTGAGATCTCACTGCCCGTCTCTCCACACCTGCCTTCCTGGAGCCCAGCAGCGAGGCACGCTTGCTTCTTGATTGCTTCACTGCCTTACTGTGTCCTTCTAACAGCAGCCAAAGAGGCATTGCCCACCCCTGAGAGCCCAAAACACAGGTGATTAACTTACCCCATGCACAGAAACCTGGGCATTATTACTATTTGACAACCTAACAGGCCAGAACACTTCCTTCCCTTCACACCTGGTCCAAATCCACATGACTGACCAAGCCCTCCCTGAAAAGGCAGCACAGCTCATGTTCCCCCTTCATCCCCCTTCCCCACTGCAGTCCTCCTAGTTTTCGTTATCACTCACCAACACTGTCACAGGGGTCTCTCAGCCACCTACTGCTTCCTGAAGAATCCTTTGTCCTACGAAGGCCAGGGGGAGCTTTCCACAGAGAAGCCCCAGGGTAGACACATCCACCACCTACCAGCCACCACCTACATCCACCACCCGTGAGCCACATCCACCACCCACATCCACCACCTATATCCACCACCTACGTCCACCACCTGCCAGCCACGTCCACCACCCACACCCACCACCCACACCCACCACCCACACCCATCACCCACGTCCATCACCCACACCCACCACCCACACCCACCACCCACGTCCACCACCCACATCCACCACCCACACCCACCACCCACACCCACCACCCACATCCACCACCCACACCCACCACCCGCATCCACCACCAACACCCACCACCCACACCCACCACCCACGTCCACCACCCACACCCACAACCTGCCAGCCACATCTACCACCCACTTCCACCACCCATATCCACCACCTACATCCACCTCCCACATCCACCACCCACATCCACCACCTGCCAGCCACATCCACCACCCACATCCACCACCCACACCCACCACCCACACCCACCACCCACATCCATCACCCACATCCACCACCCACATCCACCACCTACCAGCCATATCCACCACCCACATCCACCACCCACACCCACCACCCACACCCACCACCCACATCCATCACCCACACCCACCACCCACACCCACCACCCACATCCACCACCCACACCCACCACCCACACCCACCACCCACATCCACCACCCACACCCACCACCCACACCCACCACCCACATCCATCACCCACATCCACCACCTACATCCACGACCCACATCCACCACTCACATCCACCACCCACACCCACCACCGACATCCAACACCCACATCCACCACCTACATCCAAGCCCCCAGGACTTCCCAGAGGATGGAGCTCCCAGGGTGGAGGCCTTCCCTGGCCACTGGCTCCTGGGGACCTGGTCTGTGACCTCACATGCTGAATGCATCACTCAATACCGGCGGTGCTTTCCTGGGCTACGCTTCACGGCTCTTCTCACCACCATTTTCCACACACATCTCAGGCAGAACACGACTGCAGGCCTACGGCTTCCTTTGAGGGCTCACGTTTACAAGATAACAAGTGATCTGACAGATTCAAGGTCAGATGTTAAATCCTAAGCCACCTCTGCGTCTAACATGTTTTTCCTGAAACCCCTAAGGAAGCCCCACAGATCTGCTTTCTGTACTAGGCACGTTGTTGATTTTCTCCCTCATGGATCATGATCTTGGGAACAGCTCAATCCAAAACAAGGCTGTGCCCCAAGAATGTCCCTGCTTCCACTCTCCACAGCCAGGGGGTGAGCAGCCTCCCTGGGAAAGCCGGACAAGGCATCACTCAGGTGTGAGGGACTCACTGGGGTTGCTGGCTTTCCCCAGCCAGGCAGGTGCTGGGGCTGGGGGCTCTCCTGCCTGTCTGTGTTGGGGTTTGCAGTCTGAGGACACGGCCCAGAGACACTCCCTGGCCGTTCTGCTCTGCAAATCAGGTCGACGGCTCCATCTAGGGGACACAGAATTACCTCGACAGCCGAGCCAGAAGAAATCCCCGCAGGCTCCTGAAACAGCCGGGGAGAAAGAGAGAGCTCACTCCAAGAGAAGAGCAGGCACTGATGGTTACCCGACATTCTTCCGCATGGTGAGAGTCCAGCTGACCCACGGCAAAGGGCTCGGAGAACGCTGACCCACGGCAAGGAGCTCGGAGAACACTCACCCACGACAAGGGGCTCGGAGTACACATTTCCCGCAGACCCACGGCAAGGGGCTCGGAGAACACTCACCCACGGCAAGGGGCTCGGAGAACACTCACCCACGGCAAGGGGCTCGGAGAACACTCACCCACGGCAAGGGGCTCGGAGAACACTCACCCACGGCAAGGGGCTCGGAGAACACTCACCCACGGCAAGGGGCTCGGAGAACACTCACCCACGGCAAGGGGTTCGGAGAACACTCACCCACGGCAAGGGGTTCGGAGAACACTCACCCACGGCAAGGGGCTCAGAGAACACTTTTCTCAGAAACAGGAGAAACAGGCACAGAAATACAGGAAAGGAGAAAATGCCACATCCTCCCTCACCCCAAAACCTGGGCTTTGAAACAGGCTCTGTCTCCTCCCGAGTGCCTCTGGCCAGGGCGGATGTCGACACGGATGCCTCGGCCATGTAGGTTTTAGCTGCCAACTCCAAAGAAAAAGGCTGAGAGTAGCTGCGAGGGGCGATCTCCACGCACCTCCAAGCTAACTCGCTGGTTACCATTTATGACTGTTAACATAAGATCGCCATCACAAAGTGGGTTTGGGGTCTGTGGCAGATACAACATGGGTGGGGACTTATTTCCCAAAATTTACATAATCCTGCTATTACAGATTATATTTAACTGTTATTTAAAATTAACCATATCCATTGCCGAGGACAGATACCTCCCCTTAGGAAAGAGGAGAGCAGTCTGCACCATTTCTGGTAACTCAATTAAAATCAAGATGCCATCCTCACTCACACAAAGTAGCTGAAAGTAGAGGTTTTGGTATGTCCTATGTATGTTGTTTCTGGAAACACCCTGCACCTTTACAGACTAAAAGTAAGTCACCAATCCTGGTTTACAGCCTAGATCAAAAGAGGGCAGCTCCAGGAATGAGGGTGCGTGCTGAGGAAGAATAAGAGCTCACCTCGGAGTCAGTGATGAAAAATATCCTCCCACCAGGAAGGGGCCACGACTCTGCGCTCCTGCTGGATCTGCATTTTCACAGCCCAAAGCATCATGTCCCCTCATATGCACCTCTTCTGAACGGAGCTGACCACAGAAATCTAGCTGACCATGCACACCGAGCCGACCACGGAAACCGAGCCGACCACACACACCAAGCCGACCACGCACACCGAGCCAACCACGGAAATCGAGCCGACCACGCACACCGAGCTGACCACGCACACTGAGCCGACCACGGAAACCGAGCCGACCACACGCACCGAGCCGACCACGCACACCGAGCCGACCACGGAAACCGAGCCAACCACGCACACCGAGACGACCACGGAAACCGAGCCGACCATGCACACCGAGACGACCACGGAAACTGAGCCGACCACGCACATTGAGCCGACCACGCACACCGAGCCGACCACGCACACCGAGCTGACCACGGAAACCAAGCTGACCACGCACACTGAGCCGACCACGCACACCGAGCTGACCACGCACACTGAGCCGACCATGCACACCGAGCTGACCACGGAACCCGAGCTGACCACGCACACCGAGCTGACCATGGAAACCGAGCTGACCACAGAAACCGAGCCGACCATGCACACCGAGCTGACCACGCACACTGAGCTGACCATGGAAACCGAGCTGACAACACACACCGAGCCGAACACGTGCAGCGAGCTGACCACGCACACCGAGCCGACCACGCACACCGAGCCGACCACGGAAACCGAGCTGACCACGGAAACCGAGCTGACCACGCACACCGAGCCGACCATGCACACCGAGCTGACCACGGAAACCGAGCTGACCACGGAAACTGAGCAGACCATGCACACCGAGCCGACCACGCACACCGAGCTGACCACGGAAACTGAGCCGACCATGCACACCGAGCTGACCACGCACACCGAGCTGACCATGCATACCGAGCCGACCATGCACAATGAGCCGACCACGCACACCGAGCTGAACATGCACACCGAGCCGACCATGCACACCGAGCCGACCACGGAAACCGAGCTGAACATGCATACCGAGCCAACCACACACACCGAGCCGACTACAGAAACCGAGCTGACCACAGAAACCAAGCTGACCACGGAAACCGAGCTGACCACGCACACCGAGCTGACCACGCACACCGAGCTGACCACCCACACCGAGCTGACCACGCACACCGAGCTGACCACGCACACCGAGCTGACCACGCACACCAAGCTGACCACGCACACCGAGCTGACCACGCACACCAAGCTGACCACGCACACCAAGCTGACCACGCACACCGAGCTGAACATGCACACCGAGCCGACCATGCACACCGAGCCGACCACGGAAACCGAGCTGAACATGCATACCGAGCCAACCACACACACCGAGCCGACTACAGAAACCGAGCTGACCACAGAAACCAAGCTTAGCACGGAAACCGAGCTGACCATGCACACCGAGCTGACCACGCACACCGAGCTGACCACGCACACCAAGCTGACCACGCACACCGAGCTGACCATGGAAACCGAGCCGACCATGGAAACCGAGCCGACCATGGAAACTGAGACGACCACGCACACCGAGCTGACCACGGAAACCGAGCTGACCACGCACACCGAGCTGACCACGGAAACCGAGCTGACCACGCACACCGAGCTGACCACGCATTTCCACATGGGTCACTTCCTATGAGTCTCCCTCAACGCAACCAACCAGGTGAGTTTGCTCCAATGAGGTGATTGTTTCCATTTTATAAAGGAGGAAAGTGGGGCTGAAAACTAAGTTTCCGAAAAATTACAGAAATCAACTGCATCCTAAAATCTTTCTAACAGGCTATATGATTTCAGTGCATAAGAATTAAATACAACTTGGAGAGACACGAAAGCATCCAATTCAAATGGATGGGTTACCCGAGAAACTGACAAATAGTTGATGTAATATGACACTGAGTCTCAATGAGGTTCCTCACACAACTTGATTTTCCGACTGAAAAAAACATGGATGTTTCCATGAGCAAATGTGGGGTCGTAGTTATACATACATACATAACTCCCAACCACATATTAATTTTGACCCTCACCTACTGTCATATTTTGTTTGAGTCCTATTATTCCTTTCAAGGTTCAAATTCTACATGCTTTTACAGAAATAGAAACCACAGGGAGGCACATTGTGAAATTAAAGTGCTAACCAAAAGAGGGCTTTCAATTTATCCAAATTATCTAACGCATAATGGGGCTACTTCTTGAGAATTACTCCTAACGTTTAATATTTATTTCTAGCCCATAAAATGTTGCTCAAGAATTATTCCTTCCTGCCACTTGATGTCCAATTCAGTACTGAACAGAGGCTCCAGGGGATACCAACACCATCATTTTACCCACAGCTGCAGGTGTTTTTCTTGTTTCCTGGACTTCAGAGGACATTTGCTGGTGGGGTTGGAGGTTCCCTGCCAAGGTCAATCACACAGAGGCTCCCACAGTCATTCCTGGACCAAATTGCCCATAATTGAGCCCAAGGACACTTGGAAGGAAAAAAGGTTCTGGAAGAATCATCCAAAAAGCTGTAACTCTTCCAACCAGAGGAGAGATGCAAGCTCAGATGAGGGACTCTCAACCACAGACACTGACTGCGTTAGCACAGAAGACACTTTGTCTTCCTGAGAAACACACAGGTAGCGACTCCAGAGGGACGAACACTTGTATATGAACACACACACTTAACACACACAGCCTACCTACAGCATCCGAGGACACCAACGACAAAGGGGTCCAACTGCCCACGCAGGCTCCACACCAGCTCTCCCAGCCTCTAGTTACACACTATGGACACCAACCTCCTCCGTGTCTACAAAACCTCAGCTTAGCGCAGAGGTTCTCAAAGTGTGGTCAAGCCAGGGCCTCAGAAGCACAAATTCTCGGGCTCACACCAGGCCTGCTGGATCAGAATTGTGGAGAGACCGGCTGTCTGAGCTTTGATAAGCTTTCCCAGGGTGATTCTGACACATATTAACGCTGGAGAGCCCCTGGCTGAGACAAGGCAGAGGGAACCAGCCTGCTTGGATATTTTAACGGCCCAAAGCGGCTAAAAGGGGGCTGGGTTTTGCATGTTCCTCTTTGGTTAAACTTCTTCCCGATAAGGACAAGAACCCAGCAAGGGCAGAGCCACTGCTCACTAAACACTGTGTCAGCATTTTAAAAACTACATTTTGTAGAGAACAAAAGCGTAAAATTAACCCCTTAGAGGATAAAGTGCAGGTGATGCCGGGAGGGACAGCAGATGATGCAGCTGACACGTCCACGTGCTCCGTCCCTCGGACAGGTGAAGGCAGCACTGCCTCTTCAGTGCACAGCAGCCAGGCCACCGCCAGGCCCTGGGGGTGCAGGAGCTGTGGAGAGAGGCCCCTTCACAGTCTGAGTCAATGATAACACCGAGGGAAGCCCTGGGCCCGAGGCGGAACAGCAGATTCTACTGAAGGGGCGGGAAGAGCTTGAGATAAAAGGTGTCCTTCAGGTTGAGCCAGAGCCTGAAGTCAGGGTCACGCCAGGTGATAACAGAGAGAGAAAGGCCCGAGGGAAGGTGGAAAGCTCGGGGCGCTCGGGCCGGGAGGACAGGACGGCAGGGGACGCTCAAGGCTGTTGAGCTCCCTGGGTGCAGGCGGCAGGAAGGACTGAATCCACCTCGGATTCCTCTCTCTCTACGTGACCATGGGCAGGAGCCACACTGCCCACTCTCCAGGGACACAGCATGCCTGTCCGCCATGAGGGAGCTCCTCCATCTGGCCAGCAGAACAGCAAGCGTCCAGTGCATTCCCCAGTCACTGGCTCAGGAGGCTCCACGGCCCCTTATTCATCAGGAGAAGGAAACCAGGAGCACGGACTTTAGGAACTGTGCCGGGAGGGGGTCACACCTTCTGGTATCCTAAAAAAAGCAGCTTATGTTTCAAGGGGTAAAATCAAGAGCAGGGCATCACCTTTTATTATTTTGAGGGCACCCAGGATTCTGAACCATGACTGCCTATTGACACTTTTCTTAGTGACGGCAATTCCCAGCCTGCGGCACCTCCTGTTCACTCCACGCTCCGCTACAGCTGGGAGCTGTTCTGAGCCGGAGCCAGCACCCTCCCTGCCATGTACACGACAGCTGCTCTCTAGGGTGCACGGTTCAAGGCCCTGCCTTGACCAAGCACTGGTCTCTATAGCCTGCCAGGCCTCCCCTTATAACCCCCAGGCCCCATGAGGCCCATTCCAGGATCCCCAAAGGCCCCAACACTCTCACCAGCACCTGAGGGACAGCGCCTTCCATCCACAAAGCAGAGAACCTCCCCCGACCGTCCCCACGGCCGCCAGACTGACAGCTGCCACCCACACCCCGTGTAGGGTCCCCTGGACAAAAGCCTTTCCAGCCCTGAGGAGCTGAGCTCTCGCCAGCCCCACCTCACACCACACGTCGGGGGGTCTTGTGTCCTCCCCAAGCCAGCATCCACTGCAGCAGATGGGGTGCTGTGGCATGTTTACTGCTGACCTTCTAGCACAGTGTTCATTAAACACGTGAACATGTGGGGTCGGGATGAGCGTGTGAATCCACTCGCGGTGACACGCGGGGTCGGGATGAGGCTGTGAACCCACTCGCGGTGACACGCGGGGTCGGGATGAGCGTGTGAATCCACTCGCGGTGACACGCGGGGTCGGGATGAGCGTGTGAATCCACTCGCGGTGACACGCGGGGTCGGGATGAGGCTGTGAACCCACTCGCGGTGACACGCGGGGTCGGGATGAGCGTGTGAACCCACTCGCGGTGACACGCGGGGTCGGGATGAGCGTGTGAACCCACTCGCGGTGACACGCGGGGTCGGGATGAGGCTGTGAACCCACTCGCGGTGACACGCGGGGTCGGGATGAGGCTGTGAATCCACTCGCGGTGACACGCGGGGTCGGGATGAGGCTGTGAACCCACTCGCGGTGACACGCGGGGTCGGGATGAGGCTGTGAACCCACTCGCGGTGACATGTGGGGTCGGGATGAGGCTGTGAACCCACTCGCGGTGACACGCGGGGTCGGGATGAGCGTGTGAATCCACTCGCGGTGACACGCGGGGTCGGGATGAGGCTGTGAACCCACTCGCGGTGACACGCGGGGTCGGGATGAGCGTGTGAGTCCACTCGCGGTGACACGCGGGGTCGGGATGAGGCTGTGAATCCACTCGCGGTGACACGCGGGGTCGGGATGAGCGTGTGAGTCCACTCGCGGTGACACGCGGGGTCGGGATGAGGCTGTGAACCCACTCGTGGTGACACGCGGGGTTGGGATGAGCGTGTGAATCCACTCGCGGTGACACGCGGGGTCGGGATGAGGCTGTGAACCCACTCGCGGTGACACGCGGGGTCGGGATGAGGGTGTGAACCCACTCGCGGTGACACGCGGGGTCGGGATGAGGGTGTGAACCCACTCGCGGTGACATGCGGGGTCGGGATGAGGGTGTGAGCCCACTCGCGGTGACACGCGGGGTCGGGATGAGCGTGTGAATCCACTCGCGGTGACACGCAGGGTCGGGATGAGGCTGTGAACCCGCTTGCTGTGACACGCGGGGTCGGGATGAGCGTGTGAGTCCACTCGCGGTGACACGTGGGGTCGGGATGAGGGTGTGAGTCCCCTCGCGGTGACACGCGGGGTCGGGATGAGGCTGTGAACCCACTCGCGGTGACACGCGGGGTCGGGATGAGCGTGTGAATCCACTCGCGGTGACACGCGGGGTCGGGATGAGCGTGTGAACCCACTCGCGGTGACACGCGGGGTCGGGATGAGGCTGTGAACCCACTCGCGGTGACACGCGGGGTCGGGATGAGGCTGTGAATCCACTCGCGGTGACACGCGGGGTCGGGATGAGGCTGTGAACCCACTCGCGGTGACACGCGGGGTCGGGATGAGGCTGTGAACCCACTCGCGGTGACATGTGGGGTCGGGATGAGGCTGTGAACCCACTCGCGGTGACACGCGGGGTCGGGATGAGCGTGTGAATCCACTCGCGGTGACACGCGGGGTCGGGATGAGGCTGTGAACCCACTCGCGGTGACACGCGGGGTCGGGATGAGCGTGTGAGTCCACTCGCGGTGACACGCGGGGTCGGGATGAGGCTGTGAATCCACTCGCGGTGACACGCGGGGTCGGGATGAGCGTGTGAGTCCACTCGCGGTGACACGCGGGGTCGGGATGAGGCTGTGAACCCACTCGCGGTGACACGCGGGGTCGGGATGAGCGTGTGAGTCCACTCGCGGTGACACGCGGGGTCGGGATGAGGGTGTGAATCCACTCGCGGTGACACGCGGGGTCGGGATGAGGCTGTGAACCCACTCGTGGTGACACGCGGGGTTGGGATGAGCGTGTGAATCCACTCGCGGTGACACGCGGGGTCGGGATGAGGCTGTGAACCCACTCGCGGTGACACGCGGGGTCGGGATGAGGGTGTGAACCCACTCGCGGTGACACGCGGGGTCGGGATGAGGGTGTGAACCCACTCGCGGTGACATGCGGGGTCGGGATGAGGGTGTGAGCCCACTCGCGGTGACACGCGGGGTCGGGATGAGCGTGTGAATCCACTCGCGGTGACACGCAGGGTCGGGATGAGGCTGTGAACCCGCTTGCTGTGACACGCGGGGTCGGGATGAGCGTGTGAGTCCACTCGCGGTGACACGTGGGGTCGGGATGAGGGTGTGAGTCCCCTCGCGGTGACACGCGGGGTCGGGATGAGGCTGTGAACCCACTCGCGGTGACACGCGGGGTCGGGATGAGCGTGTGAATCCACTCGCGGTGACACGCGGGGTCGGGATGAGGGTGTGAGTCCACTCACGGTGACACGCGGGGTCGGGATGAGCGTGTGAGTCCACTCGCGGTGACACATGGGGTCGGGATGAGGGTGTGAGTCCACTCGCGGTGACACGCGGGGTCGGGATGAGGCTGTGAACCCACTCGCGGTGACACGCGGGGCCGGGATGAGCGTGTGAATCCACTCGCGGTGACACGCGGGGTCGGGATGAGCGTGTGAACCCACTCGCGGTGACACGCGGGGTCGGGATGAGTGTGTGAACCCACTCGCGGTGACACGCGGGGTCGGGATGAGCGTGTGAATCCACTCGCGGTTCTCATTCCCTAACTTGGGGTAACACGGTCTCCCTCTGTCACCCAGGCTGGAGTGCAGAGTGTAACCTCAGCTCACTGCAACCTCCGCATCCTAGGCTCAAGCTATCCTCCTGCCTTGGCCCCCCTAGTAGCTGGGACTACAGGCATGCACCACCATGCCCAGCTAGTTTCTGTATATTTTTGCAGAGATAGGGTTTTGCCATGTTGCCCAGGCTGGTCTTGAACTCCTCAGCTGAGGCAATCTGCCCGCCTCAGCCCCTCAAAGTGCTGGGATTACAGGTGTGAGCCACCACCACCCCCAACCCCCAGCTAAGCCTTTATTCTTCATTCATCCCATTTTTCTCCCTTCTTGAGACAGAGATAAGAAGCTCTTGTGTTTTCTAAGAGAAGCAAGTTGTATAAGAGGATTTTAAGATCACGAGGCGAGGGGCCTGTTTGTCATTTCTGTTCCAGCAGCTCTGACCATTGCTTAGATGCTCAGGCCTGAGCTGATGGCCATGATCAGTCACAGCATGCATCTGTCTGTGCAGAGGAAGGTCAGTGCCTGAGACAGAGAGGGATGGGGGGAGGGAGAGGAAGAATCTCTGCATCCTTGGATCAGCTTAAGCTGCTGCACTTGCTACAAAAGCATTAGAACTGCTATCATTTGCAGATTTACTGTCCCACCTTTTAAACCCATCCAGTGCTAGTTACCCACGATCACCCTTTGGGTATCTGAACACCAGCACCCAGCTGTCAGGCAGAACACATGGAGTAAACGAAGACACAATAGTTTAATTGTCATACACATAGTCATTTTAAAATACAACACCGTGAACAATTCTTTTGTCCATCTTTAACGTCCATGCCTTAATGCTGTCATTCCTTAGGGCCACGGCACTCCGGTGACAACGGGATGCGTCACAGGCAGCACACAGGAACACATCTCATTTCTACAAAGAGCTCTTTCTCTGCTCTCAGTAGTGATTTAGGAGTACAACAGAAGCCAAAATGCTTAACATAAAGAATAACAGACTCAAATATTCATAAATATTTCCTCCTTGTCCACTTCCAACATCTCACTTTTAGGGCATGGTAAAATATTTTGGCACACAGCAGACCTAAAAAGAAAAACAGACCAGAAAATGTTTAAATCAACAAAGGAAAACAGCTGTGGGTGGACTCCCTTAGTCCTGTAATATGTAGCCAACATGTCAGCATGTCAAGGTCATTTTTCCCTAGGCTGGCTTGGAATTATTCTCAGGTGTCCAAACGTTTCTCCATCGTGCGCTGGCTCAAGATGGATGCTTCCACCTGTGGAGAAATCGCTGGGAGCCAGGTCCTGCCGAGTGACAGGCAGGCAGACGGCACTGTCCCAGGGCACCAACTGGAGCGGGTGCAGCTGTGACCCAGGCTGCCCGCCGGCCGCCCACTGCCTCCACAGCAGAGCCACGGGTGGTGGCGGTGGGGGAACACACCTTTGCTGCCCCTCCTACTATGAGCTCTGGAAGGCGAACAGCTCCCAGCGTCGATGGATGCGCTAACTTGCGCCGTCCTGGCTGACTCTGAGCAGACCCCTGAAGCATACTGCAGACCCAGGGGCAGATGTGTTTTCAGAAACGTGGACATTTTCACAAATGCTCCTTGAATCATAAGCCGGATGGAAGATGTTGACGCCATCAGTAATCAGCTCCCACGAACCACACAAGGGCCCGGGAAACACCCCTGGGGATTCGCTAGAATGCAAACCCTACATCCCCAGACAGACTCGCTTGTTCAGGACCAAAGATCCAGATCTGAGAGACCAGCGTAGCATGGACTTATGGTGGCCACAGGTGAATTCATTTCTAACATAAACAGCATTTCTGCTTAATGCACTGAAGAGATCTTCTAAGAATCATAATGATTTTTATTTTTTGGTAAACTCATTCTTAATAAAAATGTACTAAATAAACTATTTCCATACTTCGGCATCAGTGCTCTTTTTGAAAGGGGTCATTATTTTTTTTCCATTGAAAGTGATCTCAGAGGAACATCTAATTTAATCCTGTCACTTTATAAAGTGCAAGAAGTTTCACAACCGGCTTGGGCAACATGATGAGACCTCGTCTCTACAAAAAATACAAAACAGCCGGGCATGGTGACATGCACCCTATAGTCCCAGCTACTTGAGAGGCTGAGGTGGCAGGATCACTTGAGCCCGGGAGGTTGAGGCTGTACTGAGCTGTGATTGTACCACTGCACCACAGCTTGGGTGACAGAGTGAGGCCCTGTCTCAAAAAATAAACAAACAAATAAATAAAATTAAAAAAAAAAATAAAGTGCAAGAAATCTCGATGTCAGTCCTCAGGGCTTCCCAACTGTAACTAACATGCTTCTAGCACAAGACCTGGAGCCATCAAACCCATGACCTGCAGAGCCTCTGATTTTACACTTTCTCCTCCATCCTGAACTTCAAGGAAACGGGAGCCCTCCTCTCTTGCCACCCTGGGATTCTTCCATAAAGGACACTGAGTGTGTACGTATTGGGTGAGGCACAGGCGGCATCATGACACAAAAACAAAATTGGAAAGTGGAACTCGTAAGACGCAATACCAGCACCTGCTGAGAAGCTTCTCCCGCAGACGCCAGGCAGGCTCTGGGAACAGAGTGGAGGCAGAAGACCCGCAGCCACCAGGAAAAACAACCTTTTCTAAAAAATATTATTTTCTAAATACAATGAAAACAACTGGCCAGTTTCCCGGGAAGTCGGTGTGGATCTGACACTGGGTCAGGCACCGACCTTGCGCCCTTCTCAGAACTGACCTCGGGGGTCTGGTGGCTGCGGTCTGAGAAGTGTTTTGTCTCTTTCCTCCAGGAGAGGGAAGGTCCCGCCCGCGGCCCCGCTGGCTGCCTTCAGTGCCTTTGCTTTAACTTAGGTCAGTTCACAAAACCTCAATAACCTGGGTCTCTAGGAAGCATTCTGGCATCTGAGGATATCAAGAGTACAGCTGCTTCTCTGAAGCAAAACTGCAAAGCAACCAAAAGAAAGGGTAGAGCCCACATTCCGGATTGTTCTAAGGACAGACTCTGCAACAGGTTAGCTAATCCACTAAGAGTCCAGCTTACTAAAGCTTAAACATGAAAAATATTTCAGAGACCATTTTATGTTAAATGTTTTTAAACTAACACCTCTTCCCAATATTTAGAGCAATAATAAAATACACATTACAGCCGAGTCCGTGAGCACCTTTGCACCCCACATTGCACATCCATTTCAGCCCAGGCACCTTTGGATTCTGTATCCTGCAGCTGGCCTTGGAGCTTCAAAGCCTTGGTATGTTTGATGAAGAAATCTAACTTTGAACAGAACTGTATTTGAAAAAAATACACAAAGAGTTTCACAACACCTCAGAAACAAAACACAATGGGACCCAAGAGTCTTGAGAATAAACTCCAGCAAAACAGATTTTCACTATTTATTTAATTACGAGGCTGAACATCTGGATCTCAGGTACGCTCATTGCTTTCGGGTCTGTTAGCAAGAGCTGGATCTCCCACTTAGACTGTTGTAAGAGGAGGAGGAACTAGGGCCTTAACCATTATTTCCTGGTGTGAAAGTATGTATTTTAAGATTTACAAAGTTAACATTTGTCTAATCCTGAGGTTGAAATAGTAATGACATCCAGGTAATAAGCCTATTCCATGGCTCCTCCCCTGGGTGCAGGGCCGGGCCTCCCAGCTTCCTCTCGGGATGAGCTCCTCTTCCCTTAACCGGGTCTCTGCACCAACCACACCCTCCTTTTCCACATTGCCCACATGTTTGTGTCTGCAAGAGTCTTTCTGTCAAGATTGAAATAAGCTCTTGCCTTCCCCAGCTCGAACAGTAACCCATCTCTCCTTTGACCCCACCTGCCCCTCCCAGACAAGGACGCATTTTTGGTGCTCATGGCCTTCTCTCCATCCCCCTTTGACTTTCCATCCCCTGTAACTGAGGCTCAGCCCCTCCTCCATTCCTCAGTCAAGGTCACCCGCCTTTCTCTAACCCAGTTACTCTTCTCAGTATTAAAACACAGATTCACCTCTCAGCACTGCTGGACACCCTAGGCCATCCTGCCAGAACCTGTTGGCACCACTGGACGCCCTTGGCCATCCCATCCAAACCTCTCAGCACTGCTGGACACCGTTGGTCGTCCTACCCGAACCTCTCGGCACCGCTGGACGCCCTTGGCCATCCCCCCAGAACCTCTCAGCACTGCTGGATGCCGTTGGCCATCCCACCAGAACCTCTTCCATTGATTTCCCTGATGCCTCTCGCTCCAGTTTCCTCTGTACCTCGGCCACTCTTTGCCCACTTTCCTCACTACTCTGCCCACCCTAAATGCTGGTATTCCTTGGAAATTTGTCCCAGGTTGTACTCTTCTCGCCCTAATATCCCATCCAAGACAGCCTCAGCCAGAATTACGGCTTCAGTTGACATCCAAATCTGGAAGAATCTTTCCCAAGCGGTTCCAGTGCAGGCTCTGTGGACTTTCTACAGAGCCCTCCCGCTGCCTGCTAGACTCAAGATCACAGGCACGCCCTGGGGACCTGGCCGGCCACGCTATGTTATCTCCTCCCCCTGCACCTGCAGCCCTTCACAGAGCCTCACTACCTGTTTCCAGCTGAAAGTGCAGAGTCCTTCCAAGGCTCAGGGGAAGCTAGGACAGCTTGGATCCCTCGCCCTCACAAGCCATGTCCAATTCATCTTCAGTGATCCTCCTCCCTCAGGGCCCACGTCCCTCCTGCCCTGGCTGCCCCTCGGTCAGGCCGTCCTTCACAGGCTCACAGTGGAGGCCTCCACATCCCGCCATTGTCCTCCCTCCAGACTGCTAAGCCATCTCCATGCTGCAGCCTGAGGGAGCTTCTGAAAATGCAACTCTGATCAAAAGACTTCCAGCTTTAAAAAATCCCAAGGGATTCTCACTGCCTTTAAAACTCCAAATTCCCCGCCATGGTTGACAGTAGCAGTGACCCATCTTAACTCCACCAGCCTCCTTTGTCTCCACACCCTAGCTCCTGGATGGCTCTCCAGCCCCGTGAGCATCCTACAGCTTCTGAGGAACATCTGTGTCTGATACCACATCCACTGCCAGGGCAGCCACGCCTGGCACATCTGGAGCATCACGGGCACCTGGCACTGCACCTGGAGAATAACGGGTGCCTGGCACCGCATGTGGAGAATAACGGGCGCCTGGCACCCCACCTGGAGAATAAAGGGCGCCTGACACCCCACCTGGAGAATAACGGGCGCCTGACACCCCACCTGGAGAATAAGGGGCGCCTGACACCCGACCTGGAGAATAACGGGTGCCTGACACCCCACCTGGAGAATAACGGGCGCCTGACACCCGACCTGGAGAATAACGGGCGCCTGACACCCGACCTGGAGAATAACGGGCGCCTGACACCCCACCTGGAGAATAACGGGCGCCTGACACCCCACCTGGAGAATAACGGGCGCCTGACACCCCACCTGGAGAATAATGGGCGCCTGGCACCCCAACTGGAGAATAACGGGCGCCTGGTACCCCACCTGGAGAATAACGGGCGCGTGACACCCCACCTGGAGAATAACGGGCCCCTGGCACCCCACCTGGAGAATAACGGGCGCTTGGCACCCCACCTGGAGAATAATGGGCACCGAGCACCCTACCTGGAGAGTAACCGGCACCTGGCACTGCTCCTGGAGAATAATGGGCGCCTGACACCCCACCTAGAGAATAACGAGCGCCTGGCACCGCACCTGGAGAATAACAGGCACCGAGCACCCCACCTGGAGAATAACGGGCGCCTGGCACCCCACCTGGAGAATAACGGGCGCCTGACACCCCACCTGGAGAATAACGGGCGCCTGACACCCCACCTGGAGAATAACGGGCGCCTGACACCCGACCTGGAGAATAACGGGCGCCTGACACCCCACCTGGAGAATAACGGGCGCCTGACACCCCACCTGGAGAATAACGGGCGCCTGACACCCCACCTGGAGAATAACGGGCGCCTGGCACCCCAGCTGGAGAATAACGGGCGCCTGGTACCCCACCTGGAGAATAACGGGCGCCTGACACCCCACCTGGAGAATAACGGGCCCCTGGCACCCCACCTGGAGAATAACGGGCGCTTGGCACCCCACCTGGAGAATAATGGGCACCGAGCACCCTACCTGGGGAGTAACCGGCACCTGGCACCAAACCTGGAGAATAATGGGCGCCTGACACCCCAACTGGAGAATAACGAGCGCCTGGCACCGCACCTGGAGAATAACAGGCACCGAGCACCCCACCTGGAGAATAACGGGCACCAAGCACCCCACCTGGAGAATAACGGGCACCTGGTACCACACCTGGAGAATGGGTGCCTGGCACCCCATCTGGAGAATAATGGGCACCCGGCACCTCACCTGCAGCACCACGGGCGTGTAACTAATATGTGCTGGATTAACGCATAATTCACAAATATGCTAACTTTGTTATAATCCTGTTTCATAACAAGTTGTTATATAACTGTGAAATATAATGAACTTCTTCCATTTCCCATCTTGTGTTTATACCTTTTCTGTAAAACAATTTACGTAAAAAAAAACCCTTCCCTAAATACTAGAAATAAAGAGGCACAGCCATTATGGGCACATATTTCACCTGCCACAAACAGTGTGGTAATTACTTCTAACTTTTCAAATGTGATTCTTATTTGGTTAACTTTTAAGCGTACAATGTAAATGATATTTAAAAATTTATAGAACAGGCATATCTTAAAAAGATACATATTCCCAATGTTTAGCGATAACCTTTAGAACTTCAAAGATCAGAAGAAATTAGAATAAATGTGTTGGGGGTCAGTTAGAATATCATATAAGTCGTTAATCTCATGGGTATTTTCATAAATATTTTACCTAAAGCATAGAATACGTAGCACTGATAACACTCAATGCTGTTTTGCATGAGTAAGAAACCTGAGCCATGTGCAGTATTCCATATGTTTAATTTCAGTTTTCAATATTTTCAATTCAAAATGACAAAATCAATGTCTACAGAGTAATATAACTTCTTGTCATCTATTATTGTGAATTTTGTCAGTTTCCAGATGTGGACATTAATGCAGTGACAAATTAAGAAAATGTTCTCAATATAAGACAACCTGCAAAGAAAAGGAAAAAGATAATTAGAAAAACTGGCAGCCCAGCCAGCAGTTTAGATCACAGCAGGAGCAGGTCGGAGCAGGCACGTGCAGCCGGGGCCCAGTGCAAGGCATTCCAGGGTGCAGCCAAGGCGGCGGGCGTCCTCGTCCACAAAGCCAGACAGTACAACACCAACCGTGAAGTGGAGCTTCCATGTGAACGGCAATCTGAAGTCACAGTGGTTTGTCAAAGGAGACGTGAAGAGCAAAGCGTTGGGGTCATGGGGCAAGCGCGCCATCTCAGAGGGTCTGGTGCAGAGAAGCTTCGGAAGACGGCAAACGTCTCCACCAACGAGACAGCACGATCGTGAGGCACGTCCTGGATGAGGTGACAACGATTCCATTTTCACAGCCATGGGCACCAACGCCACTCGCAGCATGTTCGAGGACGCCAGACTGGCAGCTGAGCTCCGTTTCTGCCAGGGCTCCTGGAAGCCGGGACGAAGTGCATGGTGGTGCTGGAGGCGGCCTGGACGGGCCGGAGCCTTCTGCCGGGAATCCCTGGTGCAGCTTCAGGGCACCGTCTCAGCCCTGCTGCTGGAGCCCAGATGTGCGTCCCAGGTGCTCCCTGCTCCCTAGAAACTCTACGGAACTTTCCCTGCAGCGTGCTCTGTCCCTGTCCCTCACTTTGTATATTGTCTTTTCTCAGTACACACAGAAGCCAGGGCACCATGCTCACAGCTGGAAACTCCCAAGGCTGACAGGCCTCAGAGCCATTGCGACCGTGTCTCTCAGAACCCCCGTTAGGCTGGTCCCTCCCTGCCTCCCCTGTCATTTGTTCCTTTTGCTTCTTTCAAATAACCTAAAATTTATAAAGTAGCACTTTATCAGAGCCAGGCATGGCTCTAGGGGAGGGTGGGCAAGTACAGAGAAGACCAAATGTGGAAGGTTCTCCAGGCATCGCTCATCCTCACCGAGCGGCAGAATTCCACACAGCTGCTCTCCGCCATATCGATCACTTAAAACCAAAAAAGACATTTGACTTAACTATTCTGGTAACTCTTTGTGCTTCTTTTAGTGTATTTATTTACATTATAATTACTTTGTAGTCATATCTTTTCCAACCAGAAAATGGGCTTCTCTGGAAAGAATCCTATTTTATTAATCTTTGTCATCCCAATGCCGGGCTCAGTTAAGTTTATGGGAAGACGTGCTGGACAGAGACCAAGAGAACAGCCTTGAAAACAATCTTCAGACACGTCATGAAGTTTGGATTCAGGATCGGGGATCCAGGTCGGGGGAGTGTGAAAGAGGGCGGCACCGTGTTTGCTTGTTTGGAAGTTGCTCAGGCTATGATTTAAGAATGTTCTAGGGCAACCCAAACAATGCAACTAATTAAGACACACACACGTGCGCACACACACACGCACACACACATGCACACGCACATGCACGCACACACATACACGCACACACATACACGCGCACACACACATGCACACACATGCACATGCACGCATATGCACACACACAGGAGAGGGGGGAGCAGAGACACAGAGAGAGAGAGAACGGCTACTCTTGTGGAAAAAGGCAGCCGCTCCCGAAAGGGAGAGACCCACACCAACACCTCTGTCCGTCATTCCAGACTCTGCCACGCCAAGGTTCTATCCCAGCTTCCCCTTATTACAAGGATCAAGGGCTGCAGTTGGGAAATGGAGTCACATCTCGGTTCTTCAAAATGAGCTTGAGACGCCGCTGGCCTAAGCCCCTCACGCGTGTCCCACAGGAGGCTCCATAAGAAGGTCCGTTTCACCCAGAGGACCCTACGTGACCGTGACCCAGCCCTGCTGAAGCGCCTGTGAGTTCTTCACGAGCAGAGAGAACAAACCCACCGCACTCCTCCTCTGTTGCCTCCTTTTAGTTTTAGTTCTGTCTCCAGTCATACAACAGAGCATGAGGGAGTAAAGCTCTTCAAAGGAAGCAAGGAGGCACCCCCACCACAGAGGGCACAGCGGGGGAAGAGCCGCCCCCAAGCTGCTGTGCCAGGCAGAGGTGCAGGCACTACCTTGGCATGGGTGGTGGTTGGAGCGTCTCCTTCGGCACGGGACTGTCCACCCCCAGGGAGGGTGGGTGGCGGCTGGGGTGTCTGCCTCGGCACGGGACTGTCCACCCCCAGGGAGGGTGGGTGGCGGCTGGGGTGTCTGCCTCGGCACGGGACTGTCCACCCCCAGGGAGGGTGGGTGGTGGCTGGGGTGTCTGCCTCGGCACGGGACTGTCCACCCCCAGGGAGGGTGGGTGGTGGCTGGGGTGTCTGCCTCGGCACGGGGCTGTCCACTTCCAGGGAGGGTGGGTGGTGTTTGGAGTGTCTACCTCGGCACGGAACTGTCCACCCCCAGGGAGGGTGGGTGGTGGATGGAGCATCTACCTTGGCATGGGACTGTCCACTCCTCCACTGGGGATTCACTTACAGCCCAAGCCGGAGGCCTCGTCCTGCAGGAAGAGGTCTGAAACACCCCACACCGCACATGGCACCTGGACAGAGGCATGAGGAAGACAGGGGCCCTGAGACACAAGAGGTGGAGGCTGAGAAAAAGGGGAAGGTGCAAACCCACAGCCACCCACACTTAGAAAGCAGCAGCCGGGATTTTGCAGAGCATCGGAAGCAAACTACACACACACACACACACACACACACACACACACACACACACATATATAAAGTTTGAGCACTTGCAGACGGAAAGACCAAGCATTATTTGAAAATATCAACACAGACAGACATTGAAACGGGAATGCCCCATCTCGCTGCAGAATGAGGTGGGGCAAGACCTCACAGGTGCACTCTAAGGAAAGCAGGGCTGGGCTGCGATGGGGAAAAGGTGCTGGTAAGAAACAAGAGCCGCTAATGATATTTGAGCCACACGTGGGGAACAATGATCACCAGGTCCTGAGCAGGAACAAACGGGGCCTGCCGACACTGTTGCGCTGAAACACACGCACACTGAGGTTCACACACACAAAGGTCATTCTCATTCTCAGTAACTCGCTTGTTGCTGGACCTCAAACAGGACTCCAGCCAGGTGCTGCGGTGTGCAACTACAGTGCCCGCTACAGGGGAGGCTCAGGTCATGGGATGCTGCTTGAACCCAGGAGTTAGAATCTGGCCTGGGAACATCATAAGACCTCATCAATCCATCAACGAACACCCCCTCTACATATTGCTACAGAGAGAGGAGCGAAGACAGCTGAACTGATCCAGCTTCAGTCACAGATGTAGAGCCCAGCGAACAGACCTACGTGATAGCTCCACTTCTGAACTGCTATATCTCAGGCACGCTGAGAACAACCTGACCAGATACTCTTTGAGTCCCTTGGCCCTGGGCATCTGAACAAAAGAAAATATTTCTATTAGCGACAGTGTGTCCTTTGAAAATTTGAAAATCGGCATCACGCCAATGCCTGGGGAGAAAAGGTCACCATCTTGACCATGGTGCCAGCATCACACACGGCATGTGGCTGGATGTCTGCAGATCGCAATGCTCCTTCCCTCTGTACAAAGATACATGCGAGTTTAATGTTCTTCATATGTTCCCTGTGAGGACATTCACATGACAGCCTCTAAGATTCAGATCAAGATTGTTTAAATCCACCAGTGTTTCTAAAGCTGCCAATTTCAGTGCAAAGACAACACTCTGAATACCCTGAATACCAACAAGGAAGGAGTGTCTACCTCGGCACGGAACCATCCACTCCCGGGGGGGATGGGTGGCGGCTGGAGTGTCTACCTCGGCATGGGACTGTCCACTCCCAGGGAGGGTGGATTGTGGTTGGAGCATCTACCTCGGCACGGTACTGTCCACCCCCAGGGAGGGTGGGTGCTGTTTGGAGCGTCTACCTCGGCACGGGACCGTCCACTCCCAGGGAGGGTGGGTGCTGTTTGGAGCATCTACCTAAGCACGGGAGTGTCCACTCCCAGGGAGGATGGGTGGCGGCTGGAGTGTCTACCTCGGCACGTGACCGTCCACTCCCAGGGAGGATGGGTGGCGGCTGGAGTGTCTACCTCGGCATGGGACCGTCCAATCCCAGGGAGGATGGATGGCGGCTGGAGTGTCTACCTTGGCACGGGACCGTCCACTCCCAGGGAGGGTGGGTGCTGTTTGGAGCGTCTACCTTGGCACGGGACTGTCCACTCCCAGGGAGGGTGGGTGGTGTTTAGAGTGTCTACCTCGGCACGGGACCGTCCACTCCCAGGGAGGGTGGGTGCTGTTTGGAGCATCTACCTCGGCACGGGAGTGTCCACTCCCAGGGAGGATGGGTGGCGGCTGGAGTGTCTACCTCGGCATGGGACTGTCCACTCCCAGGGAGGGTGGGTGGTGTTTGGAGTGTCTACCTCAGCACAGGACTGTCCACCCCCAGGGAGGATGGGTGTGTGGCTCGGACATGGCCCTCAGACGGGCATTGGGTGCTGTCTGGGCTTCTCTGCACCTGTTCGCTGGTGACAACCAACATGCTCTTTGCAGGACTTTGTACAACTCACCCCTTTGCAAGGCCAGTGGCTTTGTCCATGATGCTTTCGCACATGCAACTTGGCCATGATGGTCTCAGGCCCTTTCCTAATACTGGCGCTAACATCAAGAGAGAAGATGCTCCCAGGAAGTGGGGGGTGGAGATGGTCGTGGAACAAACAAGAGGAGAAGCCCAGGGAGAGGAACACGTCACAGGCAGAACCCGACGGTGCCTGCCTCCTCCCACCACTGACAGTGGTGTGCACATTCCAACCCCACAGCATCTGGGTTGGGGTGTCCCACAGGGAGATGGGCAGAAGATGTGGTGGGAGGAGACACTGGGTCCCCCACCTTTCCCAGGGAAGTACTCACCTGTAAAATTATGTGAGCTGAAGTCTCATGGAGTCTTTAGCTGAGTTCTTATTAACTTAGTGAATTATCTGTGGTCTCTGACCTCTTATATCAATAGTTTTTCCAGGACTCTGACTGCCTGAGATCAAGACAGCCAAGACAGGTGTCTGCCTGCCCACAAACTGTTGATCTATAATTAGGGGAAATCACTCCCATAATTGGTCCAAAAATGCTAGCTGAGCTCAACATGGCTAATCTGCCCCTGCCAATAATGGAATGCCTTTGCTCGAGTCAAACAAGAGAAATGCCACACGCCACCCTCATGGTTTCTGCTCTCACCTTAGAGCATTTTCATCCTCAGGGAATGAAATGGGTCATTTCAATTGTTCTCTCTGAGCACTTTCCAAAATATATCGTATTTTAGGGCTGGCAGCTTATAATCTGTACACCTGGAAAAATCAGCAAATCTATGCGTTCCATCCTTCTTATGTTTCTGATGTCAAGGGTAACAATATCTTCTTAAGATATTTAAGCTATATCACTTTTACTAGAGCTATTTACTCCCAAGAATATACTCAAATTGATATTAATTATCTGTAGGCACAAGTGACCATCATAGGAACAAAACTGTGGGCTAATCCAGTACCATGAGTCTGCATCCCAGGTGTGACACGTGCATGGTAATCTTTGGAATGACTATTCCTTTTAGTTTATCTATAAAAGGTGCATAACACTTTGTCCTACTGCAGTGGGATATTGATTAATTGCTTTGCCTGCTCTTAAGACCTAGATGAGCATTTGTATGAATGGGGGATGAGGCAGGGATGGTCCCAGCTGTGCTGAGCTGGCCAGAGTCACTCTTGTAGGAATCCCAAGACTGTTCAGTCTCTGGAGCCGTAAAGCCTGGGTCCCAAACCCGTGGCTGGAGCCCCAGCTCTCCCCTCTGTGCCCTGGGTTCTGTGCGTATTCTCCTGACACACAGATGGCTACTCTTTAATGTTTACCAAAGACAGTCTGAGTGGGTGTTGGTTCCCCTTACTCAGTGAGTCCTAAGATCAGGGTGCTCACAGGTCCCAGTGTGCTCACCACCATCGCTGTTAATGACTGTTCTCCTGACAATGCTGTCAATGCGTTCACTCTCACTCTCAGACATGCCCTGATGTGCTCAACACATTGTGTGAGCACCATCTCTGAGACCTCAATCCCTTCTTCAATTCAGTACAAAATCAGGTGCGATAATACATGTAAAAGATTTCTGAAGACTGCTAAGCTATAATGCCTCAGCCCTTACTACATGGAGTAAGAAACAGAGGGCTTGGATTAGAGATAGGAATCAACCAGAACCATTGAATAAAATAATCTGTCCTTAAGCCAGTCAGGGGCTTCATGACAGCCTGGAATACAAACGTTCTCTCAGGTTAGCAATTAACGGTCACTTTCTAATACGCTTCAGGGTTTCATACCCAAATTGGTCCCTCTGGAGCTGAAAACTTTTTAAAGCAGGATGGCTTCCTTGTAGAAACAAATAAGTAAATTTTACTTGTAAGGCAATCAATAAAAGTCAGGCCACTGTATGGATACTTGAATAATTGTATGATTTATTTTATACTTGATATATTTGCTTTATAAAAATTATTTAATGGCCATCAAATTTTAATGCATGTATCTACTTATTTGTTGACAGTTAAAATGTTAAGCAACTTAACTTCTTTGACAAATAAAATACTGAACCAAAGTTCACAAAGTGATTTTATCGTGCTGCTGGGGAAACAACTTTTGTCCCTCCCCACGCCCTGCATTCACACACACACAGGCCATCCCGGAAGGGAACGCTACCACTGCTGCCTGACTTTGTCCCTGCAAGAAACCAGTGGCTCTGCCTCAAGCTCAAGACTTCCCTCGGTTTATTTTACCTGAATCCCCCAGTCTGACATAGGTGCTAGGTCGGCGGGAGGGCAGAAGTGGGTACACCTCAGGGTGAAAGAATCAGAGTCTGATAGAGACATGAATTCTAGACATATCTTTATATGTATAATCACACCAAAGCAAACCCTGAAAAATATTCAAGCTCCAATGAATAAGCCACAGTCCCCACAGAGATCACGAAATTCCAGCATGAATAACTCACCTTCAAACCTAGAAGTGGTTTCCACCACCAGATGACGACAGACGGTGAAGTCGCTCTGCCCCTCTCTTTAGAGGGAAATGTGCTCCAGAAGCAGATGTGGAATTCTTTCTATGTGCGATTCTCGGTGAAAATCTTTCCAGAAGCAGATGTGAAATTATTTCTATGTGCGATTCTCGGTGAAAATCTTGCTTTGTGAGTTGCCACGGGGTGGTGATATTATGCAGCAGAGATTCTCTGGTCCTGGTACTTCCCAGCTGGGTTCAATTATCCCGAGATGAAAAACCACCACAGAGAGAGGCTTCTGAGCTCCCAACAGTAAGAGGTGCAGAGCTGCGTGCCAGCCACCTGTGTGCATGTGGGAAAGCCAGCATGGGAACCGGCACAGTGCCCAAGTGTGAAAGCTGTTCACACTCACTCTAGAACAACGTCTGCATGATTTTAAAGCACATGCCGTGATAATGCTGGCGTGGCTGGCGTGGCTGGCATGGTGCATGACCAGAGATACAGCTTCCAGATGAGCCAAAGGGCATTTTTAATGGGACTGACCTTCTCAGTCGCTGCCTCCTATGGCCCCACGGTGTCAGACGAGTGGACAAGCGCCCGTCTCACTGTCTGCTGACCGTGCTGTCCATGTAAACCCACATGGTGAAGGCTGTTCTAATGCTCTTGAGCAACTGCCGTTTCAGCCACACCAGCTTGTCATTGCACAAACTGGATTTGAGCGACTGGAAATCGATTCATGCAAATTAAGGTGCCAAACAGTTTTTTAACAGACAAGAAGATAAAATCTCAAATAGCAAAGACTTTTTAGTTAAAGTGACTGCTGAAATGTGTTTCCTTTGAATTAACAAAATATTTCCAGTTGATAAGGAATATGACCTAAAATAGTCAATTAAATGTAAAAAGTATGAACTTTGTTTAAATATCACAGATTACTTAATGTAGGAGACCTCAACGTAATTATGAGGACAGATAAACTTTAATTTCTGCCAAGAGCAATGTGTGCTTAAAGCCCAGCACAGGCAGAGCCAGGAGGACAGAGTCACTGCTGCCTCCAGGCCTTCAGCCACTGGGACTGCTGGTCAACTTCAGCAGGGCAGGCCTGGCTGAGCCTGGCAGTGACTGCCATTCATAGGGCAGCCAAGAGCTAGGGCACTCACTAATAAGACAATAAACCAGGTTTGCTTGCAGGAGGACTTCCCAACCTAATGCGAAATAGAATCCCAGTAAAACATGCTGTGGTCAAATCAATTGAGTTTCTTCACAGCTCAGTTTAGTCACACACTGAACATCAGCCGGAATCAATGTTCAAAGAAGGAAGTCCTATGGTGTCAGAGTCTGGGATAACGCATCTGATTGAGCAGGGACAAGCTGAGGACGGAGGGCCTATAGGGGCAGGGATCATGTGAGAGTCTAGGATAATGCATCTGACTGAGCAGGGCCAAGCATGAGGATGGAGGGCCTGTAGGGGCAGGGGTCATGTGAGAGTCTTGGTCAATGCAGCTGACTGAGCAGGGCCAAGCTGAGGACGGAGGGCCTGTAGGGGCAGGGGTCAGTGAGCGCTTTCCACAAAGGGATGGGGTGGGAATAGTTCAGGTTGTGGGGTACACTTGTTCTCTGCCACAACTAGGAAAGTGGCCCCAAGCACTACAAAGCCATAGGTGTGGCTGTGTCCAATCAAACTTTCTCTGCAAACTCAGTGGCAGGATGCAGGCCACAGTTTGCCTGCCCTGAACTAAAGCAGCTGGAGGCCTGGGACAGGGATGAACCCAGTAGCGTGGAGAGGAGTGAGGTGGCCACTTGCACTCAGACGAGTCTACCCGCCCACGGCAGGCCCCTTGCAGGCTCAGTCAGTCCCCGTCCTGCTTCTACAGCCCTGGGTATGGAAACCCCACAGGAAACACAAGCCAAAAGGCTCCTGGTCACACACAGTGGAGGTGTCATCTGTCCCGGTCACACACACAGTGGAGGCGCCGTCTGTCCTGGTCACACACAGTGGAGGCGTCGTCTGTCCTGGTCACACACACAGTGGAGGCATCGTCTGTCCTGGTCACACACAGTGGAGGCGTCTGTCCTGGTCACACACACAGTGGAGGCGCCGTCTGTCCTGGTCACACACACAGTGGAGGCACCGTCTGTCCTGGTCATACACACAGTGGAGGCGCCGTCTGTCCTGGTCACACACACAGTGGAGGCATCGTCTGTCCTGGTCACACACAGTGGAGGCGTCGTCTGTCCTGGTCACACACACAGTGGAGGCGCCGTCTGTCCTGGTCACACACACAGTGGAGGCATCGTCTGTCCTGGTCACACACAGTGGAGGCGTCGTCTGTCCTGGTCACACACAGTGGAGGCATCGTCTGTCCTGGTCACACACACAGTGGAGGCGTCGTCTGTCCTGGTCACACACACAGTGGAGGCGCCGTCTGTCCCGGTCACACACACAGTGGAGGCGTCGTCTGTCCTGGTCACACACACAGTGGAGGCGCCGTCTGTCCTGGTCACACACACAGTGGAGGCGTCGTCTGTCCTGGTCACACACAGTGGAGGCGCCGTCTGTCCTGGTCACACACACAGTGGAGGCGCCGTCTGTCCTGGTCACACACACAGTGGAGGCATCGTCTGTCCTGGTCACACACAGTGGAGGCATCGTCTGTCCTGGTCACACACACAGTGGAGGCGCCGTCTGTCCTGGTCACACACACAGTGGAGGCATCGTCTGTCCTGGTCACACACAGTGGAGGCGTCGTCTGTCCTGGTCACACACACAGTGGAGGCGCCGTCTGTCCTGGTCACACACACAGTGGAGGCATCGTCTGTCCTGGTCACACACAGTGGAGGCGTCGTCTGTCCTGGTCACACACAGTGGAGGCATCGTCTGTCCTGGTCACACACACAGTGGAGGCGTCGTCTGTCCTGGTCACACACACAGTGGAGGCGCCGTCTGTCCTGGTCACACACACAGTGGAGGCATCGTCTGTCCTGGTCACACACAGTGGAGGCGTCGTCTGTCCTGGTCACACACACAGTGGAGGCGCCGTCTGTCCTGGTCTCACACAGTGGAGGCATCGTCTGTCCTGGTCACACACACAGTGGAGGCGCCGTCTGTCCTGGTCACACACACAGTGGAGGCATCGTCTGTCCTGGTCACACACAGTGGAGGCGTCGTCTGTCCTGGTCACACACAGTGGAGGCATCGTCTGTCCTGGTCACACACACAGTGGAGGCGTCGTCTGTCCTGGTCACACACACAGTGGAGGCGCCGTCTGTCCCGGTCACACACACAGTGGAGGCGTCGTCTGTCCTGGTCACACACACAGTGGAGGCGCCGTCTGTCCTGGTCACACACAGTGGAGGCATCGTCTGTCCTGGTCACACACACAGTGGAGGCGCCGTCTGTCCTGGTCACACACACAGTGGAGGCATCGTCTGTCCTGGTCATACACACAGTGGAGGCACCGTCTGTCCTGGTCACACACACAGTGGAGGCATCGTCTGTCCTGGTCACACACAGTGGAGGCGTCGTCTGTCCTGGTCACACACAGTGGAGGCATCGTCTGTCCTGGTCACACACACAGTGGAGGCGCCGTCTGTCCTGGTCACACACACAGTGGAGGCATCGTCTGTCCTGGTCACACACAGTGGAGGCATCGTCTGTCCTGGTCATACACACAGTGGAGGCATCGTCTGTCCTGGTCACACACACAGTGGAGGCATCGTCTGTCCTGGTCACACACAGTGGAGGCATCGTCTGTCCTGGTCACACACACAGTGGAGGCATCGTCTGTCCTGGTCACACACACAGTGGAGGCATCGTCTGTCCTGGTCACACACACAGTGGAGGCATCGTCTGTCCTGGTCACACACAGTGGAGGCGTCGTCTGTCCTGGTCACACACAGTGGAGGCATCGTCTGTCCTGGTCACACACAGTGGAGGCGTCGTCTGTCCTGGTCACACACAGTGGAGGCATCGTCTGTCCTGGTCACACACACAGTGGAGGCGCCGTCTGTCCTGGTCACACACAGTGGAGGCGTCGTCTGTCCTGGTCACACACACAGTGGAGGCATCGTCTGTCCTGGTCACACACAGTGGAGGCGTCGTCTGTCCTGGTCACACACAGTGGAGGCATCGTCTGTCCTGGTCACACACACAGTGGAGGCGCCGTCTGTCCTGGTCACACACAGTGGAGGCGTCGTCTGTCCTGGTCACACACACAGTGGAGGCATCGTCTGTCCTGGTCACACACAGTGGAGGCGTCGTCTGTCCTGGTCATACACACAGTGGAGGCGCCGTCTGTCCTGGTCACACACACAGTGGAGGCGTCGTCTGTCCTGGTCATACACACAGTGGAGGCACCGTCTGTCCTGGTCACACACACAGTGGAGGCGTCGTCTGTCCTGGTCACACACACAGTGGAGGCGTCGTCTGTCCTGGTCACACACACAGTGGAGGCATCGTCTGTCCTGGTCTCACACAGTGGAGGCGTCTGTCCTGGTCACACACACAGTGGAGGCACCGTCTGTCCTGGTCACACACACAGTGGAGGCGCCGTCTGTCCTGGTCACACACACAGTGGAGGCGTCGTCTGTCCTGGTCACACACAGTGGAGGCGTCTGTCCTGGTCACACACACAGTGGAGGCGCCGTCTGTCCTGGTCTCACACAGTGGAGGCGCCGTCTGTCCTGGTCATACACACAGTGGAGGCATCGTCTGTCCTGGTCTCACACAGTGGAGGCGTCTGTCCTGGTCACACACACAGTGGAGGCGTCGTCTGTCCTGGTCACACACACAGTGGAGGCGTCGTCTGTCCTGGTCATACACACAGTGGAGGCATCGTCTGTCCTGGTCTCACACAGTGGAGGCACCGTCTGTCCTGGTCACACACGCAGTGGAGGCGCCGTCTGTCCTGGTCACACACACAGTGGAGGCACCGTCTGTCCTGGTCACACACACAGTGGAGGCATCGTCTGTCCTGGTCACACACAGTGGAGGCGTCGTCTGTCCTGGTCACACACAGTGGAGGCGTCGTCTGTCCTGGTCATACACACAATGGAGGCATCGTCTGTCCTGGTCTCACACAGTGGAGGCGTCTGTCCTGGTCACACACACAGTGGAGGCACCGTCTGTCCTGGTCACACACACAGTGGAGGCGTCGTCTGTCCTGGTCATACACACAATGGAGGCATCGTCTGTCCTGGTCTCACACAGTGGAGGCGTCTGTCCTGGTCACACACACAGTGGAGGCACCGTCTGTCCTGGTCACACACACAGTGGAGGCGTCGTCTGTCCTGGTCATACACACAGTGGAGGCATCGTCTGTCCTGGTCTCACACAGTGGAGGCACCGTCTGTCCTGGTCACACACGCAGTGGAGGCGCCGTCTGTCCTGGTCACACACACAGTGGAGGCACCGTCTGTCCTGGTCACACACACAGTGGAGGCGTCGTCTGTCCTGGTCATACACACAATGGAGGCATCGTCTGTCCTGGTCTCACGCAGTGGAGGCATCGTCTGTCCTGGTCACACACACAGTGGAGGCGCCGTCTGTCCTGGTCACACACAGTGGAGGCGCCGTCTGTCCTGGTCATACACACAGTGGAGGCATCGTCTGTCCTGGTCTCACACAGTGGAGGCGTCTGTCCTGGTCACACACACAGTGGAGGCGTCGTCTGTCCTGGTCACACACACAGTGGAGGCGTCGTCTGTCCTGGTCATACACACAGTGGAGGCATCGTCTGTCCTGGTCTCACACAGTGGAGGCACCGTCTGTCCTGGTCACACACGCAGTGGAGGCGCCGTCTGTCCTGGTCACACACACAGTGGAGGCACCGTCTGTCCTGGTCACACACACAGTGGAGGCGTCGTCTGTCCTGGTCATACACACAATGGAGGCATCGTCTGTCCTGGTCTCACACAGTGGAGGCGTCTGTCCTGGTCACACACACAGTGGAGGCACCGTCTGTCCTGGTCACACACACAGTGGAGGCGCCGTCTGTCCGTTTGCTGGGCCAGGTCACACTAGTGCTGTCTGGAGACCTCTGCGGCAACATCATCACCCACCCCCATCACGCCCCCACAGAGACCCTGTGATGCTGCCCGTCCTGGGAAAGGCTGGCTCATCTGCCTCCTATTCCGATTCCTGCTGGTCCAGCAGCACCTCCCATCTTTCTCCCTAGAGAGTCAGGACACCGGCTCTACAAACAAGCGTGAGGCTCTCCCCTCTCCTCTTGTCCTTTAATCTGTGCCTGTGGCTTTTCCTTATCAACCTACGAGATGCTCAAAGCTCTACTGTATCCTGCACAGGGCAGTACATGGTGGGCACTTAGTTCACAAATGCTTAACTTTTCACACCAATAACGTAGTTCAAATGCTGAAAGTCTATACACATAGCCCTTGACTATTGATACGTATGAAAGGAATTAGCAGCACAGGCCTTTCAGTAACTAGATCAAAAACTGGAACAGGGAAAAGACATAATAATGGACCACAAAGAACATAGGTGCCCAGGGGCCGGAGGGCTGGAAGCATGGAGACCCCAGCATCTGTGAGCTGCAGGAAGAAGGGAAACACCTTCCTAGTCCACAGTCTCAACTTCCTCATCTGCAAAACTGAAGCCACACTGGCAGGGACCCCCTCTGTTTGCAGAGAGGTTAAACAGGAACACACAGATGCAATCGCCAGGCACACGACACATACTCATGGGACAGTGGTCTCAGCAGAACCTGGCGTGCTTATCGTGATGGGTGGAGGCGGGGGAACACTGGAAAGTAGGGGGCTGGTCAGAGGGTGTCCACACTGCCGCTGAAGTGGGGGGCTGGTCGGAGGGTGTCCACACTGCCGCTGAAGTGGGGGGGCCGGTCGGACGGTGTCCACACTGCCGCTGAAGTAGGGGGGACTGGTCGGACGGTGTCCACACTGCCGCTGAAGTGGGGGGCTGGTCGGACGGTGTCCACACTGCCGCTGAAGTCGGGGGGGCCGGTCAGACGGTGTCCACACTGCCGCTGAAGTGGGGGGCTGGTTGGACGGTGTCTACACTGCCGCTGAAGTGGGGGGGCTGGTCGGACGTTGTCCACACTGCCGCTGAAGTGGGGGGCTGGTCAGACGGTGTCCACACTGCCGCTGGAAGTTCCCGCAGAGGCAGCCACACAGAGACTACTGGAGATCCTCGCTCGCGCAGCAGCCTGTGGGTCCAAGAAGCATTTGCCGCGGGCGCTTTCTATCACAGTACAGTATCTGTGTGGCAGACGGGCTTCCGAGAGTGCGTTCTTCGTCTTCTATTTTAACTGTAATCCGTGCAACAGACAGGACTACAGGAAGAGCGAAGGGATGGGGATTTAAGCCTGTCAAAGATGGAAGTCAGCAGGGGTGTCAGACATGTCAGGCCTGAGTGAGGACGAAAATTAAAAGGCAGAACTTCAAGGAGAAAATCACACAGCCTAGCAAGGGGATACCGCTGCACCTGGCTGAGTCTGCAAGTGGGGAACAGAGTCTGGTCTTCCTGCGACACGGGCCATGCATGTGAAGGACCTGGCATGTGTTTGCAGGGCCTATAAAACATCTTCTGTGAAAGCCATGCCCCTGGACTTGAGCCACTCAGGCAACCAGCCTGAATTTAGAGTGAGCCGAGACATCCGTCTACACGCCCAGGTGGAGCAGAGGGCAAGAGAGCATCCTCGGTAAAACACAAAGCCCTGGGAAAACGTCCATCCACAACTCCTGGTTCCACATCTGTGCCTCAGACTGACACCCTCGCCCAGGGCCCACTGTGCAGACTGAGGACTCTCATTCCAGGGCCCACTGTGTAGACTGAGACCCCTCATTCCAGGGCCCACTGTGCAGACTGAGGACCCTCGTCCAGGGCTCACTGTGTAGACTGAGACTCCTCATTCCAGGGCTCACTCTATAGACTGAGACTCCTCATTCCAGGGCTCACTGTGCAGACTGAGACCCCTCATTCCAGGGCCCACTGTGCAGACTGAGGAACCTCGTCCAGGGCTCACTGTGTAGACTGAGACTCCTCATTCCAGGGCTCACTGTGTAGACTGAGACTCCTCATTCCAGGGCTCACTGTGCAGACTGAGACCCCTCATTCCAGGGCCCACTGTGCAGACTGAGACCCCCCATTCCAGGGCTCACTGTGTAGACTGAGACCCCTCATTCCAGGGCTCACTGTGTAGACTGAGACTCCTCATTCTAGGGCTCACTGTGTAGACTGAGACCCCTCATTCCAGGGCTCACTGTGCAGACTGAGACCCCTCATTCCAGGGTCCACTGTGCAGACTGAGACCCCCCATTCCAGGGCTCACTGTGTAGACTGAGACTCCTCATTCTAGGGCTCACTGTGTAGACTGAGACCCCTCATTCCAGGGCTCACTGTGCAGACTGAGACCCCTCATTCCAGGGCTCACTGTGTAGACTAAGACCCCTCATTCCAGAGCTCACTGTGTAGACTGAGGCCCTTCGCCCGGGCTCACTGTGCAGACTAAGGTACCTCATTCCAGGGCTCACTGTGTAGACTGAGACCCCTTGCCCAGAATCACCATGCAGACTGAGGCCCCACATTCCAGGGCTCACTATGTAGACTGAGGCCCCTCGCCCGGGGCTCACCATGCAGACTGAGGCCCCTCGCCCGGGGTTCACTGTGTAGACTGAGGCCCCTCGCCTGGGGCCCACTGTGTAGACTGAGGGGCCCCTCGCCTGGGGCTCACTGTGCAGGCCCCTGCCTGTGGCTGGACCCAGAGGAGAGGAGCCCCGTGATGCTCCCTGGGGTTTAGATCTCTGAGGTGTTTTTAAAGTTTAACTAAAAACAAAAAGTCTTCAAGACACTTAGGAATTCATTTCTGAGGGCAAAAATCAAGCATTACGGCAGGAAATTGAGAGGAAATTATTCTTAGGTTCCTGAAATGACACCACTCAGGTGGCTAGCTATGGGAAAAGCCTCACCCATTCTTGCAGGTTTTGTTTATATCATTAAGCTCCATTTGATGTCGTAAGTGAAACTGGACTTGCAGATTACCAGTAAAATGGCTCTACTCTTCACTGCCCGAACTCTGTATGTGTGTGTGGGCGTATGTGTGCCCATATGTGGGTAATGTGTAGTATTTTAGAGTGCACATGTGTGCACACATATGTGAGAATATGAGTATGTGTGTGCATATGTGGGCACATGTGTGTATGTGTGTATAAAACTGTGATATCTGACTGTGCACACATGTGAGAATGAGTGCGTGTGTGCATGTGTGTGCATATGTGGGCACATGTGTGTATGTGTGTATAAAACTGATATCTGAGTGTACACACATATGTGAGAATGTGTGTGTGCATGTGTGCGCATATGTGGGCACATGTGTGTATGTGTGTATAAAACTGATATCTGAGTGTGCACATGTGCATGCATGTGTGTGCATGTGTCTGTGTGTGCATAGGTGTGTGTGCATATATGTAGTTAAGTAGCTTGTGATTAATTAAGATATTTTAAAAATCTTTAGTTTGTTGAAGATGAGTAAGTCCTTAGCTCACTGATACCACGATATTAAAAGCAACAACAGTGAAATACTGACATTCTTTTTAGCATAAGGTGTACCTGGAAACTTCTTCAGAAAGATAAGTTGTGCTAGCAGCTTCCATTGTTTCAATCAACTGTGCAAAAACACAAGACCTTACTGGCTTGTTAATGAAAAACCAATTCCAAACACAATCTCCTATGAGGTATTTCCAACAGATAAATGGGCATTTGATATTTTATCTGGTTTAGATAATAATCTGCAAAATTACCACCTCCTTCCTCTGCAAAGCGCCAGGATTATGTGAGCAAGGTCTAGGCTGTGGAGACAAATGAGAGGTGGCCCACTCTACACACGCAGCAGGTGAAAGGAAAAGGTTCCATTTCTGGTTCTTCATCATGCAAGTTCCTCGAAGAATGAAAACCAACATTGAGCTAAGTCAGTCCAGGTAATGGACTCTGCTTCCAACTGAAACAAGACATAATCACTGACTCCATCCACTTCCACTATGAACAGTGTGAGCTCAAAAAAATTCCCACGTGTAAAGCTAATTCCCACATTTGAATTTAGAAATTTCACTTCATCATTCAGTCAAAGAAAATGTCAGAAGCAATACCAAAAGTCTGTCCTAGGGTATTAACTCTGAATAACAATCTAATTCTCAATATTTAGAATCTCCTTCCAAAAATCTATTATGTGTTCCTTAGGTCAAATAAACCATTATAGAAAAAGCCCGTTATCCGATATGACATCTATGAAATGTTCTAATAAAATGGAAACTGGGAACATTCTAATGTCTGTTCTGCTGGGACTTGACGAACAAAAAGAAAATGCATTCCACTGAAGGAGGGGAGGAAGGAGAGTTTTGGGGGACAGAACTGGGAGGTGGGTGTCCAGGGCCTTAGGAGATTGGAAAGCAGGAGGCAGAGCTGACCAAGCATTGCAGGAACACCACCCTCGGCCACATGGAAGAGGGTCCCCAGGCTGGGCTGTGCAGCTACACTCCTGCCTGCCCCCCATCAGGGCCCCCACCCAGCTTTTGCCAGGGAAATCCCATGGGTGGGAAGGGGTACTGGAGGCCTGCGAGGAAGGGTCTGGCCATGGCAGTGCGATTCTGCATACCCAGGAGCCTCTGGGTGCTGCTGACCTGACTCCAGCTCCTCACAGGGTTGCATCTGGGTGTCAGAAGGGGCCATGTGGTCTCACCCATGTTCGGAGCTGCCTGGGCGGAATCAGGACTAGGAGGCCCGGGGCCCCTCTCCCAGTTCCCATGCACACCAGTGGGGGCGCAGCACCATGCAGCAGGTGGAGGTTGCTCCCTGACGGACCCTCAGTGCTGGGGTGGGGGAGCGGGGAACCGGCCCTGGCATGGCGATGTAGTGAGTACCAGTCCTCCTGCAGAGGCGGACAGCTGTTCTCCAGCTTAATTACGGCACAGTAAGAACCATGCAAAGGACATTGGCTTCCACTGACAAAGGCAGCTCTAAGCATTTAAGATTTTATATCAAGTTTTCATGCAAGTCTTAACTTTTTCTTGTTCAGGAACAGCCATCGGAAATTATAATGCATCAATAAGAAAATATGATTTTATATACAAATGTTAGCTTTGTTTCCTTTCCAAGAACACAATTACTTCTTTTTAAAAGTTGAGTTGCCTATTACTAGAATATGATAATTATCTTAAAACCATATCTGCAAAATCAATACCAGTTTTCACTATTTCCTGGCTTGGGCTACATTATAGACACTCGTTGTGCAAAGGAAGGTAAACAAAGCTGAAATGTTTTAACTTCTTCATAGAAACTAATGGCAAGCCAGTTTTCAAATGGCCTGTTTTTGTCTTAGCATTTGTTCTACGTAATAACTACTGACATTTATCTTTTATCAAGATCTTGACCTTGAATGTTTCAACTAGTTCCTGATTTCAAACAAAAATTATGTCCAAATGGGAAGGTAGATCAGGATCTTTCTTCACTAATCAATTTGGATGAAAAAGAAAATACTTTAAAACTTATTCTAGCCTGGAGAGTGCACGTCATTTTCAACTAATAACTTGAAGGTGCACATTCAGGGCCCTGCTCATCCATCACAGGAAAAGAACACATCCCCTTCTTTATGGAGGGCGTCCTGTCACCAGCGAGACGGACCGGGCGCCATGGAGTGGGTTGATTCCCTCCCCTACTATGGGACATTTTCCCTTTTAAAATGACCTTGCCATAAAAACTGAGAAGTTTATAAATTTTTATGTTACTGGGCACAAATTAACCAAAAGCATTGTCCTTAAAATCAGAATGAATTTCACAGCAACATAAAATACAGTTCACTATACACCCAAATCAGCTGCTTCCTTATATGAAGGTTTCCATCACTGCTGGCAGGTATTGCTACTGCTGACTCCTAAAGAGATGGACGACAGAGCCAGTTGACTCACAGAAGATCCCCCCCCCAAAAAAAAAAACTACCCATAGAGAAGACCACCACTGGACCACTGGTGCCTTCAGCCTTAAAGGGAGCATGCCAGACTATGGCCACATGGCTTCGTGTACATCCGCTGGCCTTGCCTCCCTAGGATTTAGTTAGAGACACATCTTTCCCTCCTGGGATGTAAGTCAGCTGACTTGCTCTTGCCTGAAGGGCTTGGTAAAATGGGCCATGATGGCCAATATTCAAAGGTAGCAGGAAAATGCTGGTCTTCCTTCTGCTTCACTCCCCCTTGGTTACAGCACACAGAAGTCACCAGAGTGAGACGTGGGCACCTGAGAGCGGCTGGCCAGGTCCTCCAGCAAACCCCTCCAGGAAATCACAGCAGTCACAGAGACAACCCGTGCAGACACGTGAAGAGTGTGGGACTGACCGTATCCTAAGACTTGAGATGCACGGTGTCCCCGACATGATAAAGGACCACATCCCGAGACTTCATATACACGGCATACCCGACGTGATAAAGGACCATATCCTGAGACTTCAGACACACGGCGTCCCCGACATGATAAAGGACCGTATTCTGAGACTTCAGACACAAGGTGTCCCCAACGTGATAAAGGACCACATCCCGAGACTTCAGACACACGGTGTCCCTGACGTGATAAAGGACCACATCCTGAGACTTGAGACACACGGTGTCCCCGACGTGATAAAGGACCACATCCCGAGACTTGAGACGCAGGGCGCCCCCGACGTGATAAAGGACCACATCCCGAGACTTCAGACACATGGTGTCCCCGACGTGATAAAGGACCACATCCCGAGACTTGAGACGCAGGGCGCCCCCGACGTGATAAAGGACATCCTGAGACTTGAGACACACGGTGTCCCTGACATGATAAAGGACCACATCCTGAGACTTGAGACACACGGTGTCCCTGATGTGATAAAGGACCACATCCCGAGACTTGAGACGCAGGGCGCCCCCGACGTGATAAAGGACCACATCCCGAGACTTCAGACACATGGTGTCCCCGACGTGATAAAGGACCACATCCCGAGACTTGAGACGCAGGGCGCCCCCGACGTGATAAAGGACATCCTGAGACTTGAGACACACGGTGTCCCTGACATGATAAAGGACCACATCCTGAGACTTGAGACACACGGTGTCCCCGATGTGATAAAGGACCACATACCAAGACTTGAGATGCAGGGCGCCCCCGACGTGATAAAGGACCACATCCCGAGACTTCAGACACATGGTGTCCCCGACGTGATAAAGGACCACCTCGCGAGACTTGAGACGCAGGGCACCCCTGACGTGATAAAGGACCGTATTCTGAGACTTCAGACACATGGCGTCCTCGATGTGATAAAGGCACAATCCTCCCCAGAAGCATAGCACAGTTGTCCATCTTTTTCAGGGGTTGGGGGATGGTGGGGCATGAGATTTCTTCTTTTCTTTTTGAGATGGTGTCTCGCTCTGTTGCCCAGGCTGGAGTGCAGTGGTGCGATCTCGGCTCACTGCAACGTCAGACTCCCTGGTTCAAGTGATTCTCCTGCCTCAGCCTCCCGAGTACCTGTGATTACAGGTGCCCGCCACCACACCCAGCTAATTTTTGTATTTTTAGTAGAGACAGGGTTTCACCATGTTGGCCAGGATGGTCTTGATCTCTTGACCTCGTGATTTGCCCGCCTCAGCAGACGTGAGCCACCGCGCCAGACCAGGGTGTGAGATTTCTTTGATCTCCCTCACTCCCCGTTACGTAAGTTCTGGTTCTGCCAGTCATGGGACATCTGGAGCACATTCCCTGAAGGTATTATTTGGGTCATTGAATTTCAACAGGGACACTCAATACAAGTACAAGAGAGATTATCCAGATTGGTGTCTGCAGTTCCCAGGGCACAAGGCATGGCTTAAACACTGGGGATGTAGGGCTAGGAGCGGTGGCTCATGCCTGTAATACCAGCACTTTGGGAGTCCAAGGCAGGAGAATCACTTGAACCTAGGAATTTGAGACCAGCCTAGGCAACAAATTGAAACTTCATCTCTACCAAAAAAAAAAAAAAATTAGCTGGGCAAGCTGGGCATGGTGGCACACACCTGTAGTCCCAGCTATCTGGGAGGCCAAGACAAGAGAATCACTTGAGGCCAGGAGGTTGAGGCTGCAGTGAGCTGTCACTGCACCACTGCACTCCAGCCTGGGTGACAGAGCAAGACCCCATCTCAAAAAAAAAAAAAAAAAAAAACAAGTGGAGTTGTTTTGAATACAGGAAACAACATGGGCATCAACTATTTGACGGGCTGCCTTGCTAAGGACGCGGCTCCCTTTTCTATGACATTCTCTGCAGACTTTCTGAGTAGAAGTCACAGGAAGGCTGATTCACTCCAAGAACACAAGCTCCACAGCTGTTCCCTCAAGGCCAAGCAAATGTATTTTGGGAAAACAGAAAGGGCTCCAAACTGTAGGTGAGGTCAGTAGCCTCAATCAGTGGGCCAGGAACTCCACATAGATGCACCAGTGACACTACTTTCGATCTTTTCTTTGGAAATAACGATCCATCCACAGGAAGACACAAGGGCAGTGGAAGACAGAGTTTCTGTGTGCTCTTCACTCATTGCCCTCCATGGTCACATCTCATTCAACCACTACACAAGACCCAGCCAAAAAGCCAGGGCCCTGTGTGTGCCTGTGACCATCCCTGCTGCCACGCAGCCTTCCTGCATGGTGCCGGACAGCAGCCCCCTCCTGCCTGAGTTCTGCCCACTGCATCACATTTTCATTTTGCTACAGTTGAGGATACAAAACATATGATAATGCCTTGACATGGACACTTCAGCTGCAATACTGGGCCACGGGGGTCTCTCCACCAAGGGCAGAGCGCAGTGAAGACAGGGCTCGACCTACTGGTGTGAAGCCGACCTCCCAGCTGAGAAAGATGCCGCACATACTGGAGACACTCCCACCTTCCTAAGAAAATGAAATTAAGTTGGTAACCACTTCTAAGCTGTGACTGAGCCAGAGGCTCAGTGTGCGAGCTGTGGACACAATCCGATCCCTTCACAGGCACTATACAGGAGGGTCTGAAACTCAAGAGAGTCGTGAGGCCAAAGGGAGATTCCAGATGACAACTTAGGTACTTCCAACCCTGATTGTGGCCGACTCTATTTTGAATATAATACTCCAAGTCAAGCCAAATCTGGACGTGTATTTGAAAAAGTAGAGCTCACCTATTTGAAACAGCAGGTAATAATCTCAAAATGCAAATTAAAGCAATAAAATGTCACTGTAGCTTACCAAATTTATGAAGATAAAAGACAAAATTAAAGTGGCCAAATGCTGGTTAAGCTGCTTGGGAGGTTTCTGTCACGCTTGCCAATGGCAACATAAATATGTGTGGTCCCTAGAGAAAAAGCAGCTTGGAAGTGTGTATTGCAAGTCTACAACATTCATATACTTAGAGCCAGTGTTTCCATTTGTAGGAACAATTCTAGGGGAATTTTAATTTGTATGGAAAAAGCTTTAGGAAATTAAATTTTTGTTTTAATACTATAAAAGCCAAAAGATCGGAAACAATCCAAATGTCACTTCTGTCCTAACATGTATCGGGCAATTATTTTGTGCCAGGCAACATCAAGAGAATAAAAAAAATGGTAAAAAAGAATTGAAATAAATATATTCCTGGCACTGGAATAATTTACAATCTTTTGGGAGGGGGACACCAAGCTAAAACAAGCTGAAACATGATGACAAAAACACAAGTAAGAAATGTCTGTATGGCTTGTGGTATCATCTCTTGATAGAATGTCATGTCATCATTAACTCAATGGTTCCCACTTAGGGCCGAGCCACCATTCTGGGGTATGGGGGGACCAAGGTGCTGGACAGGTCTCATGAGAGAGAATCCAGGCGCTCAGACAACAGCCCTAGATGAGCTACAAGCTGACAGCCAGCCCCACCTGCCCTGTGTGAGTGAGTGCCTGACTGCCCAGTCAAATCTCCAGATGCTCAGCCCCAGCTCACATCACAGAGCAGAAGAGCCGCCCAGCTGAGCCTGGGCAACCTTGGCCATCAGGAACAGTGGCTTCAACCAATGCTCACTGCTTACTAAATGTTGAGATGGCTTATTATTCAGCAATAGATAACCAAAACCAATGGATTGTTAGACAACAATTTGGCCAAATAAATATTCCATCCACCCATGGATATATTAGCCTTTAATCTAGTGACCTGTGACAAAGACACATGTGGCAGGATCACTGCACCTTACACTGATGGGTGATGCGATGCATGAACTTTCTGCAGCCCCCGTCGGGCCACCCATGAAAACTAGGAGCACAGATGCCCACCTGATAGTGAGGCCATAGCGGGGGATGGGATGCAGGAGTGAAGGAAGAGGGCAGTGCATTCGGTTTGCTCTCCTGATTTAGGGTAAGCAGAGGAGGGCTTGAGACCCACCCTTTAGAGTCCTCCCATAGCGGTGGCCCTGCGCCATCCTGAAGGAGCAGCCAGGGCATGGTGGGGCATGTCCACATGAGTGCTCAGGGGTCTCTGCATTTGGGATGGAGCAGGGGGTAGACAGTGGCTCAGGGACTCAGGGACCCCGAACCGCCGAGTTCCACGCTGCACACTGCTGTGGAGGACAAGGGAACAGGGACTTGAGCTCGCGTCCCAGATCGTTATAAAGGATTTTTATCCCAGGAGGCACAGACACTTCTTATTTAATGAGTGTTAACCTGATTATTGGTTCTAGTCGTTGGGACATGGGGTGCCTGGGCCCCACTAGCGCCATGCTGGGCATGCTTTGGGGGTCCCCTCCCTAGTCCAGGACTCGGTCAAACTAACTCCACTCCAGCCACTGGCTCCGAGACCCCCCAGGCAGTCTCTTCCTGTCAGCCACTGTGCGCCCCTGGTATCATCCACGACTTCTCAGTTTCAGTTTGGTTTGCTTTTCTATCTTGTCCCTTTCAGAAGTACTATCAGGGATGCTGCCACTACAAAGTGGACCCATTTCACAGCCACCCCACAGGGCGTCCACTCAGTGTCCAGCTGGGTAGATTCTGCTGACCACAGCCTTGACACCTCCTGTGTCCAGGAGGGGAGGCCAAACAAGCTCGTGAGCTTCCAGGTACCCAGCCCAGAGCTGTGTGTACAGCAGTCATTCCACAAGTTACTGCAGAATAATATTTTACTGAATGTTTTCCCTATTAAAACCTGGTCTTCTTTTAAGGCTTGGCTCTTTTTAAATAGTCAATTGTTCATTTCTTGAAAACAGTTTTTGCAGCATGCATCTAGTTAAACAAGTTAAATGGGCTAATCTCAGGAAGATCTCTTTCCCTTTAATTATAGATGAGGTCACAGACCCCGGAGGAAGTCCTGGAGATGTTCGTTGAAAGAAGAATCACGTCTGTGCAGCAGTGCCTTTGAACACAGTGACAAAAGGGTCTCGGGTGTGAGCACCAGGAAGGAATCCCAGGCTCCCCCTCCTTAGCTGTGAGTTCTCAGCCAGTGATCGAATTCCCTGGGCCTGGGGGTCTTCATCTGCGGAAAGGGATAGGCATCATCGTTCATTTAAGCAGGTGGAAGACAATTGAGGAAATCTATGTAAACAGGTAGCACAGTCCCAGAATATGCTAAGTGCCCGTATCGTATATTGTGTAGGAAAATTAAAACCTTTCAGAAAAGAGTCAATTCGCCCGGTTCATATGACCATTTTTAAGCTCAAACACGCTTTAACAGGGATCACTTTTCAAACCAAGCCCTTTCTTGAGCCTCAAAGCATCAGCAGCATTATCCCCCAGACCCTCAGGCCAGGATCTGTTCTGAGTGTCAAGATTTCTTCCTTGTTCCTTGTTCTTGAAATTGTAATGGAAATTTGGGGGAGTGGAGGAAGGACATTCAAATGTGTGTGTACGTTACAGCAATAGTAGAGAAAAAGATAAATGGCTTGCTGCCAGACTCATGGGACTTGGCAACTTCTATAACATCAATATTACTTTGAATGCTATAGCTAAAATAAATGTAGTTCTAAAATATTACCTCTGTTTTGCACTTAAGAGCAATTCGGTTTTTTCCAATCATTTCTCCGTAACTTTCGTTTGAGGTTTCATGACACCTTCCTCAATATTTTAATTATTACAGTGTTTTATAATCAAAAGCATTTGCTCTCATCAATAATAGTATCAGGACACAAAAACATTTTCTAGATGAAAAGTTTGAGAGATTATAAATATTACTTTAAGTTTGTCAAAATGTTGGCCTAAAAAGGATAAAAATTAGACATAAATGAATACATGGACGTAACACAAACTTATGTTTTTGTTCAAAAACTGCTCGGCAGACTTCTCGATAAAATGATGTCAAGTTCTCAGGCTTCTGACAGAGCCAGTGGAGAAAGGCTGTGTGCAGTACAACCCTGTCCTGATCACAATACAATGTGAAAAATAGTCAAAGCTCTCCAGTCTCCTCCAAAAACATTATCTATAGCAGCAAGCATACAAGAAAAAGGGGCACACACTCATGAATAAATGTTTTATATCAAAAGAAGAGAGTGGAGAAATTGTGATTCCCTCTGTCATTGCCACTCAGAGAAGTGAGTGGAAACTATCAACAATAGCCTGCAAATGTCATCGACACCTCCTGATTTTAAATGGCACAGCGAACAGGGTGAGCGGCACTCCTGCCTACACTGAGGAAATCCCTGGAGGGGAGTTTCACCTGCTCCCAGGCACTCTCGGAGGCCGCATGGAACCAAGAATCAGCACCCGATGAGCAAGGTCTCCCTCTCCTCTCCCCCCACACCTGTCCACACACATCGCAGAAGAGAAGCAGGCCATCCACAGAGGCTGCTTGGAGTCTTGAGGAGCCACCTCCACACCGTCACCCTCCTCACCCCCAACGCCCCTGCAGTCGACGTTGAGTAAAGATCAAGGCTACAAAAATACCTTGGAGAAGAATTTATCCACATCAAAGCAAACAGTAATACCGGACAGTTCATAACCAAGAGGAAAAGTAATAACAGAGCAATTAGGATAACAAAAATGCATCCGTAAATGGAACACCACATGCAAAAACCAAATCTAGACACCAGTGCAAAAGAAAACCACCCCACCCAGATCTGTCCGCTCTATAGAAAATCCATTGCAAAAGAAAACCACCCCCACCCGGATCTGTCCGCTCTAGAGAAAATCCAGTGCAAAACAAAACCACCCCACCCGGATCTGTCTGCTCTAGAGAAAATCCGGTGCAAAAGAAAACCACCCCAACCCAGATCTTTCCGCTCTAGAGAAAATCCAGTGCGAAAGAAAACCACCTCCACCCGGATCTGTCCGCTCTAGAGAACATCAAGTGCAAAAGAAAACCACCCCCACCCGGATCTGTCCGCTCTAGAGAAAATCCAGTGCAAAAGAAAACCACCCCCACCTGGATCTGTCCGCTCTAGAGAAAATCCAGTGCAAAAGAAAACCACCTCCACCCGGATCTGTCTGCTCTAGAGAAAATCCAGTGCAAAAGAAAACCACGTCCACCCGGATCTGTCTGCTCTAGAGAAAATCCAGTGCAAAAGAAAACCACCTCCACCCGGATCTCTCTGCTCTAGAGAAAATCCAGTGCAAAAGAAAACCACCTCCACCCGGATCTGTCTGCTCTAGAGAAAATCCAGTGCAAAAGAAAACCACCTCCACCCGGATCTGTCTGCTCTAGAGAAAATCCAGTGCAAAAGAAAACCACCTCCACCCGGATCTGTCTGCTCTAGAGAAAATCCTTAGCAAGCACATTAATTCAACAGGGCAAGAACTTGAAAATGAGATAATAAAAGAGATGAAAAAAGAAATTGCACAGGAAAGGAACTCAACTGAGTATTAAAACCACACCACCAGCCGGGTGCAGTGACTCACGCCTATAATCCCAGCACTTCGGAAGGCCCAGGCAGGTGGATCACGAGGTCAAGAGATTGAGACCATCCTGGCAAACATGGTGAAACCCCATTTCTACTAAAAATACAAAAAAATGAGCCAGGCATGATGGCAGGCGCCTGTAATCCCAGCTACTCAGGAGGCTGAGGCAGGAGAATCACTTGAGCCTACAAGGTGGAGTTTGCAGTGAGCCGAGATTGCACCACTGCACTCCAGCCTGACTGGCAGACCGACACTCCATCGGGAAAAAAAAAAAAAAAGAAAAACCACCACCACAAGACCAAGAGGTAAATCAGGACAGCAACTATCAAAACAAAATACAAAGCACAGGAAAATTCTTGACATAGAAGATTCAAAATAATCACCTTAAATTCAACAAGGGAAAGAAGATGAGAAAAGTGAGAGAAGAGGTAACAGGAGATGGAAAGGGGAATACACAGGAAGGGTCACAGGCACAGCCAGAGAAGCAGCAGCAAAGGACAACACCAAATGAAAACAAGCAGGAGACAAAACAGCTCCACCGACACGGGAGGAGAAAGTATCTCTGGCGTGAGGAGGGGACTGGACAGGTGCACTAACTGTACTCTCAACTTTGTGCAGAATAACAAATATCAGAAAATGTCCTAACTAGGTTAAGCTTTAAATACATATTTTTAAGAACATGATCAATCACATAGGCACAGCATGGAGGAAGAAGCTAACCTGGTATGGTTCATCTGGAGGCAGCAATGTTCATCTCAGGATTCTACAGGTAACATGACCCAAGCATGCTACAACCAGCCCACGTATCCTTCAGGATAACAGCAGCTGTGGCTTCACACATGAACAATGCAGGAAACAGAAACCCAGGCCCCTGCACTGGAGACAGGGATGCCACAACACATTCCAGTTCCCCCAAAATATACACAGTATAAAGACTGCTGTTATGAGGACAGTGAAACAGTATATTCAAGCTCCAAGGAAAGAAAGGGTATGAGCCAAACATTTAAAAGAACCCAAGTTTTCCTCAGATTATAAGAGCAAAGGGCAGGCATTCTCACCTAGGAAGAAATCGTGAAGCAAACCCTCATGACCCATGCAGAAAAGAACAACTCAATAATAAAACTGACCAGCAAAGAGATCAAAGTAAAAAAGATGAGGTCAGGCATGGTGGCTGGCATCTGTAATCCCAGCACTTTGAGAGGCTGAGGTGGGAGGACTGCTTAAGCGCAGGAATTCAAGATCAACCTGGGTGACACAGTGAGATCCTATCTCTAGAAAAAAAAAAAAAAAATTAGCTGGGCATAGTGGCTCACACCTGTAGTCCCAGCCATGAAGGAGGCAGAGGTGGGAGGATAGCTTGAGCCCAGGAGTTCAAGGCGGCAGTGAGCTAGGACCACGCCACTGCACTCCAGCCTGGGTGACAGAGCAAGACCCTGTCTATCTGTCTAGATAAACTGACTAAAAGTAAAGATGAGCCTCTGTAGGAGCTGAGGAGTTGTATGACATGACACAGATGGAGCAGTGCCAACCCGTGTGTGCATGCATGCATGTGTATGTGTGTATTTATGTGTGCATGCACATTTGTGTGTATACATGTGTGTATGTGTGTTGTGTATGCACATGTGTATGCATGTTTGTGTTCATACACGTGTGTATGTTTCTGTGCAGACACGGGTGTGTGCACATGCATGTGTATATGTTTCTGTGTATGACTGTATGCACATGTTTATGCATGTTTGTGTGCATGTCTATGCATGTTTGTGTGCACGTGTTTGTGCATGTACATGCATGCGTGTATGCATGTGTGATGTGTTTGTCTGTATGCATGGGTGTGTGTGCATGTTTGTATGCATGCATGTGCATGGGTGTTTATGCATGTGTGTATGTGTGTTTGTGTGTATGTGTGTATGTATGCACACGTGTATGCGTGTTTGTATGTATGCATAGGTATAAGCAAATTTAACTTTTTGTGGTAGAGGAGAAAATGCACGAGAAAACGCAGGAATAGTACTTTCATTTTTCAAAAATTATATTGTTTTAAATTTTCTCTTTCTTTATTCTTAGGCTTTTAAAGAATTATGTTTACTGGGATGAACAAACGTTTGTGTGAAGCATAGGAATGAGTTCCATTTTTCAAGTCAATTTATTAGTTTTATTAAAATCAAATAGTTACATTTTATGCTTTATTTTAAAATACCACAGAGTATCATCCCGTTTAATGAAGTGCTTCTACATTTTATACTGTGTGTGTTTGGTAGTGAATGATGGTTACTCCTGAGGAGTAGAAGGCTTTGTGATCAGTTGTTGTCTTCTCTGTAGTTTTCTATATTGGTTCAATGTCTTATAACATGTGTATCTTTTCATTTAAAAAAAGATAATCTAAAAAGGACAGGGGAAAAGTATCAAGTAAAATGATCCGGGCTCCCCAGATATTTAAATAGCATTTTTGAATGTAATATTTTGTAATTTTCATGAATTAATTTCAATATTTTAATTCATTTCCCATGTAAATCAGTAGGGGTTAATATTTCAGTCTGAAAATTTAAGTTCCCAAAGCATGCTGTTGCTAAGTGAATTCTACTCAGAAACTGAGGATCATGAGATAGTTTACAAAATTAGGATCATGCTATTCTATAACTTGTTTTTTTCTCAATTTTCATACAATGAACAAAACAGTCCGTCACATGCATGTATATTATACTTTCTCTATTCTCCTACTGCTGAAAAACACAGCAATCAATGCCTTCCATCATACATTGTTGTCCACATGAGATAAGATTAATGTACCTCCAGATAGATTCCTGGTCTATGAAGGGTTCCAAAGCGAAATTCTAAAAATGGTGAGTCACAGTGTGACTTGTGGGAAGGTGGCAGCTTTAAAATCTATGTGTAAGTTCTTGGGGGCTTTCTCAGAAGAAACCAGCTCTACTACTGTTTAGATAGATGTCTGCCACGCATATTAACTCACACTTATGATTCTCCTCACTTCCTCTTCAACTAGGCCAGCAATCAACACAGGCTGGAGAACTGAGTATTAAACAGTGAATGATGACGATTAACTTGAGGGGGTTTCATTCCATGGAATATTTTAAAGGCTGAAAACTACTGAACAGACAAAACCTTCTGCAAAGATCCTTTTATATTCATAAGGTTGATAACGAAACTTGTCTCTCCATCATGAGAGAACTGAGAACAAACAGCCTCACTCACGGAAGGACTTTCATTAATGTAGCCACATCCCATCGACAGGCACAAACCTGAGCCTCCGGCCACTCCACCCTAACACAATGTTCCTTCAGCACGGGAGCCAGCAGCCTCCAGAACGGCCTTTGCTTTGCTCAAAGCACACACGCTGAGGACACGGGATCCACACCCTGCTCAGACGCCATTTCTTCCCTGTTCCCATGGTGACACTGGGGCCCTCGGAGAAGAGCTCTGTAGTCTCTAAACGACAGGAATGACCCCCCCAGAAAGAAACCTGAGTGATTCTGGGGAAGTAACTCACAGCCTCCATCTCACAATCAAAGAAAAGTTACTATAAGTAAAGAAGGCTTTGGTCTAGCCAGAGAGTTCCTGCCTTCTGTGAGTCCTCTCTCAGCTCTGGAGTGGAGAGGAACAGAGGGGAGTGGTCCCTGGAGCCAGAAGAACACAGCATACTGGTCTGAGGAACTACTTTAAACGGTGTTGTGGTTGGATTTCTCCTGAGTCTAATTCCAGATAAGTAACTGACAATGGCCTTGCCTTTGCTGACTTCAGAACCACATGGAAAAGGGAGGGATGTTCAGGTGCCAGGAGCCTATTTGGTTCCTGCCTGCACTACAGCCAAAGAAAACAAAAATCCCATCTTTTCTTTAGTCTCCTGCTTCCCCCAGCCCACCTGTGAAGCCATAAGCTTAACCCTCCATGGAGAGACACGTCTCACTTCCCCAAGTCTCTATGCTGTTAGCACCCCAGCATCACCAAACAGGGGGAACCTAATTTATGGCAACCACTTCTACTTTTCATAAATAAGATTCAAACTATTTTAGTATTTTTCTAACTGAAACAGTTGCTGCTTGTAAACAACCCATGCTGAGTCACTTCTGTTTCTGGTGTGTTAGCCATCTTAGATCTTGAATAGAAATATGTGCATGCCACTTCCTAAGGGGGACAGGGGAGATTCTTCCTATAACTAAGCACAGCATGGCTGACATTTGTGGTACAAATTCTATTTGGAAGGGCTATGGTTATGCATATATGTAATGGAAATACTAAAATCCAGCAATGCAAACTATAAGACGAAAACTATTAAATCATAATGAGACTTGGTTTTTGATTGTGTGGAATATAAATCACTGTTAATTAGAAACATCTTTCAAGAAATAAAATGTTTAATTACAAAGTTACTATAATATTTCATTGACATCAAAAGATGTTTCTATCAACTGCAGTTGGATTTTAACTTCTTAAAAATCAAAAAACTGATGTCACAGAAACCAGAGTGCTTATTCTAAGTGCAACACACTTCCAACCTCACCCACTTCCTCCCACAAAACAGTTGTTTTATACGGTAATGTGAAAAAATTATACTGCTTTATACAGTATAATGTGAAAAAATGTGATTTTTTCAATATTACCCAATTAAAAGACTGTCTGAGGCAATAAAAACAATTTTATGTATTCCTTTTCATTTGCTCAATAATTTACAGACATGTTTATGGACTCTGAGACTGTTAACCTGAACAGAACAGCATTAGAATCTATTCCAGAACCTTGAAAGGTAAGTTGAAGAATACCTATTTCAGGTACTAAATATGTGCCCTGCCCCCGTGATGCCAACTGTACCACCGTTGTCCGATTTTCCTTAGACATTCTATTTCCTAGGTCATTAAAGCAAAATGCACTCAAGTGTAAAATACCCCAGCAGTCCGTAAACTGGAGCTGAATGACTCTTCGTCTGCTGTGATATGGAACTTGAATCACACTTTGGGGACTTGCTTCATTGCCAGCAAGGGAGCAGGTCTGACCTGTAACTATTCAGGCTCTCTCCAATGCCCAGCAGTCATATGATGATGGATCACGCCATCTCCTACAGAGCTGAGTTCCAGCCCCTGTGTGTAAATGCATCTTAAAAGGCAAGGATGCATCCATCCCAAGCCCTCCCACCTACCGTGTTCTAGGAAGCAGCACAGGTGCAGAATTAGACAAGTTAAGAGCACTGTTCTTGAGGATCTGGAGCCTTGGAAAACTCCCAGAGACAACCGTTATTAAAAAACACCAGGCTGGGTGCAGTGGCTCATGCCTGTAATCCCAGCACTTTGGGAGGCTGAGGCAGACGGATCACCTGAGGTCGGGAGTTCGAGACCAGCCTGACCAACATGGAGAAAACCCGTCTCTACTAAAAATACAAAATTAGCCAGGCATGGTGGCCCATGCCTGTAATCCCAGCTACTCGGGAGGCTAAGGCAGGAGAATCGCTTGAATCTGGGAGGTGGAGGTTGCAGTGAGCCGAGATCGCGCCACTGCACTCCAGCCTGGGCAACAAGAGTGAAACTCCAACTCAAAAAATAAAACAAAACAAAACACCATAAGGATGTTTAGGTCAAAATAATTTCTATCTACTTCGCAAAACTCCCCAATAATAATCACTAATGACATTGTAGTGCAGTGGCGATTTCTAATACGAAAACACCAGTCTCATCCAAAAACCACCATAGTACTGTCTACGCAACGCCTGCTGGGTTTAAGTGCACTGCTAGAGTGTAAATACAAAAGTATACTAATAAACAGCACTTTCATTCTCTATACTAAGTCTACTCCACAATTACAAACCAAAAAGGGAAAATTACCAGCCGGGATCTGCTATTAGAGTCAAGCCTCTAAGTAGCTGAAACGACACAGCTAACTGGTGTATTATCAAAGGCCCTAGAAAGGCCCTCAACAGAAAGCAAAAATACAAACACACACCAAAAAAAAAAAAAAAAAAAAAAAAGCCAATCAGTTTGCTTGCATGGTGTCTTAAAGTCTGCATCTAGAGAACTGCTCCTCTGGCCACTATGTTGAAATATAAATATCCCTGAGAGGCACGAGTGTACTGACGTCCTCTCAGGCTAAATGGCAGAATCGCCCATGAAGGAGACGCTTGATACAGGAGAAAGGATACACACCAGGCATCAGCAATAGGAGAACACGAGCTGAGATGACCAGCAGAAACAAACGCCCCTGGAAGTTCCTGGAGATGGGAGAGAAGAACAGGAACTCCGAGTATGGGGGTGCAGGGGGTCCAGGCAAGGAGGGAGAGAAGAACAGGAACTCCGAGTATGGGGGTGCAGGGGGTCTGGGCAAGGTGGGAGAGAAGAACAGGAACTCCGAGTATGGGGGTGCAGGGGGTCTGGGCAAGGTGGGAGAGAAGAACAGGAACTCCGAGTATGGGGGTGCAGGGGGTCCGGGTAAGGTGGGAGAGAAGAACAGGAACTCCGAGTATGGGGGTGCAGGGGGTCTGGGCAAGGTGGGAGAGAAGAACAGGAACTCCGAGTATGGGGGTGCAGGGGGTCTGGGCAAGGTGGGAGAGAAGAACAGGAACTCCGAGTATGGGGGTGCAGGGGGTCCGGGCAAGGAGGGAGAGAAGAACAGGAACTCCGAGTATGGGGGTGCAGGGGGTCTGGGCAAGGAGGGAGAGAAGAACAGGAACTCCGAGTATGGGGGTGCAGGGGGTCTGGGCAAGGAGGGAGAGAAGAACAGGAACTCCGAGTATGGGGGTGCAGGGGGTCTGGGCAAGGTGGGAGAGAAGAACAGGAACTCCGAGTATGGGGGTGCAGGGGGTCTGGGCAAGGAGGGAGAGAAGAACAGGAACTCCGAGTATGGGGGTGCAGGGGGTCTGGGCAAGGTGGGAGAGAAGAACAGGAACTCCGAGTATGGGGGTGCAGGGGGTCTGGGCAAGGAGGGAGAGAAGAACAGGAACTCCGAGTATGGGGGTGCAGGGGGTCTGGGCAAGGTGGGAGAGAAGAACAGGAACTCCGAGTATGGGGGTGCAGGGGGTCCAGGCAAGGAGGGAGAGAAGAACAGGAACTCCGAGTATGGGGGTGCAGGGGGTCCGGGCAAGGTGGGAGAGAAGAACAGGAACTCCGAGTATGGGGGTGCAGGGGGTCCGGGTAAGGTGGGAGAGAAGAACAGGAACTCCGAGTATGGGGGTGCAGGGGGTCTGGGCAAGGTGGGAGAGAAGAACAGGAACTCCGAGTATGGGGGTGCAGGGGGTCTGGGCAAGGTGGGAGAGAAGAACAGGAACTCCGAGTATGGGGGTGCAGGGGGTCCGGGCAAGGTGGGAGAGAAGAACAGGAACTCCGAGTATGGGGGTGCAGGGGGTCCGGGCAAGGTGGGAGAGAAGAACAGGAACTCCGAGTATGGGGGTGCAGGGGGTCTGGGCAAGGTGGGAGAGAAGAACAGGAACTCCGAGTATGGGGGTGCAGGGGGTCCGGGTAAGGTGGGAGAGAAGAACAGGAACTCCGAGTATGGGGGTGCAGGGGGTCTGGGCAAGGAGGGAGAGAAGAACAGGAACTCCGAGTATGGGGGTGCAGGGGGTCTGGGCAAGGTGGGAGAGAAGAACAGGAACTCCGAGTATGGGGGTGCAGGGGGTCTGGGCAAGGTGGGAGAGAAGAACAGGAACTCCGAGTATGGGGGTGCAGGGGGTCCGGGTAAGGTGGGAGAGAAGAACAGGAACTCCGAGTATGGGGGTGCAGGGGGTCTGGGCAAGGGGGGAGAGAAGAACAGGAACTCCGAGTATGGGGGTGCAGGGGGTCCGGGTAAGGTGGGAGAGAAGAACAGGAACTCCGAGTATGGGGGTGCAGGGGGTCTGGGCAAGGAGGGAGAGAAGAACAGGAACTCCGAGTATGGGGGTGCAGGGGGTCTGGGCAAGGGGGGAGAGAAGAACAGGAACTCCGAGTATGGGGGTGCAGGGGGTCCGGGTAAGGTGGGAGAGAAGAACAGGAACTCCGAGTATGGGGGTGCAGGGGGTCCGGGCAAGGAGGGAGAGAAGAACAGGAACTCCGAGTATGGGGGTGCAGGGGGTCTGGGCAAGGAGGGAGAGAAGAACAGGAACTCCGAGTATGGGGGTGCAGGGGGTCCGGGCAAGGTGGGAGAGAAGAACAGGAACTCCGAGTATGGGGGTGCAGGGGGTCCGGGCAAGGTGGGAGAGAAGAACAGGAACTCCGAGTATGGGGGTGCAGGGGGTCCGGGCAAGGTGGGAGAGAAGAACAGGAACTCCGAGTATGGGGGTGCAGGGGGTCTGGGCAAGGTGGGAGAGAAGAACAGGAACTCCGAGTATGGGGGTGCAGGGGGTCCGGGTAAGGTGGGAGAGAAGAACAGGAACTCCGAGTATGGGGGTGCAGGGGGTCTGGGCAAGGTGGGAGAGAAGAACAGGAACTCCGAGTATGGGGGTGCAGGGGGTCTGGGCAAGGTGGGAGAGAAGAACAGGAACTCCGAGTATGGGGGTGCAGGGGGTCCGGGTAAGGTGGGAGAGAAGAACAGGAACTCCGAGTATGGGGGTGCAGGGGGTCTGGGCAAGGGGGGAGAGAAGAACAGGAACTCCGAGTATGGGGGTGCAGGGGGTCCGGGCAAGGTGGGAGAGAAGAACAGGAACTCCGAGTATGGGGGTGCAGGGGGTCCGGGTAAGGTGGGAGAGAAGAACAGGAACTCCGAGTATGGGGGTGCAGGGGGTCTGGGCAAGGTGGGAGAGAAGAACAGGAACTCCGAGTATGGGGGTGCAGGGGGTCTGGGCAAGGTGGGAGAGAAGAACAGGAACTCCGAGTATGGGGGTGCAGGGGGTCTGGGCAAGGTGGGAGAGAAGAACAGGAACTCCGAGTATGGGGGTGCAGGGGGTCTGGGCAAGGTGGGAGAGAAGAACAGGAACTCCGAGTATGGGGGTGCAGGGGGTCTGGGCAAGGTGGGAGAGAAGAACAGGAACTCCGAGTATGGGGGTGCAGGGGGTCTGGGCAAGGTGGGAGAGAAGAACAGGAACTCCGAGTATGGGGGTGCAGGGGGTCTGGGCAAGGTGGGAGAGAAGAACAGGAACTCCGAGTATGGGGGTGCAGGGGGTCTGGGCAAGGTGGGAGAGAAGAACAGGAACTCCGAGTATGGGGGTGCAGGGGGTCTGGGCAAGGTGGGAGAGAAGAACAGGAACTCCGAGTATGGGGGTGCAGGGGGTCTGGGCAAGGTGGGAGAGAAGAACAGGAACTCCGAGTATGGGGGTGCAGGGGGTCCGGGTAAGGTGGGAGAGAAGAACAGGAACTCCGAGTATGGGGGTGCAGGGGGTCCGGGCAAGGTGGGAGAGAAGAACAGGAACTCCGAGTATGGGGGTGCAGGGGGTCTGGGCAAGGGGGGAGAGAAGAACAGGAACTCCGAGTATGGGGGTGCAGGGGGTCCGGGCAAGGAGGGAGAGAAGAACAGGAACTCCGAGTATGGGGGTGCAGGGGGTCTGGGCCACTTTCATAGAAAACTTCAGAAGGTCGATTCCCATGCAGCGCAGGACTTGGGCACCCACATGGCAACATCACGACACAAATATAACAGGTGAAAAGTTGGGAATACTCTCACCAACAAAAAGAATGGACCACTAATACAAACAACACCATGGATGGAGCTCAAATCATCAGGCTGATAGAAAGGAGGTAACACAGCACTGAAGTCGTAGATGACCCCTTTCATGAAATTCTACAGTGGGAAGCAGTGATCTGTAATGAAGCCATCATGCTGGCACAGTGGTCCAGGAGGTTGGCTGGGAGCGGCAAGAGAGGCTTTCTGAGGAATACGTTCCTCAGAGCTCATCGAACCCAACACCCAACAGCGACATTTCACTGCATGCAAATTACAATTCAGTTATTTTTAAAAGACTTAGAAAAATCATATAATTTTTTAAGTGACAAGAGCAGCTGGTGTCATGAGAGACTTCCTCCAAAGCCACATAGCCAGTCATTAGCAGGGACCCTGGGGAAGCCTCAATTTCTGAATCTCAAAATACAAAAACAATATTATGTATTTCATAAGATTAAGCCAATTTCAAAATTTTAAACTAATTGCAGTTTCAGACTCTTAGCAATTATGTCAATCATTCACTTTTCTCAGGTTCCAGATGGAGCAGAATCATACATATCAGCCTTCAAGGAATGTCTACCTTTCAACACAGTTAAGAGCCTGACCCCAGGGCAGGAAGAGCTCGTCCTGCTGGGTCACAATCACACATGACATGTGAGAAAGTTGGTACCAAAGCCTTTGCATCCTGGTATTTCCGTCGACTGCAGCTGGAACCCCAGATGTAGAGGACAGAGGAAGTGAAGCCGCCCAGGACACAGGAGAGGCCAAAAACACAAGTGCGGCCGATTCAGGTGCAAGCAAGGTTTGGACGTCTACTATGGATAAGGTGTCAGGCATAAAAAACCCGAAGACAGCCCCTCCCTCAGGCCCTGGGAGAGCAGCCGTCCACTGATGGAGAGGAGGTTAGGATGTGGGTGAGTGAAGTGGGGAGGGGTGCTCCTTCCTGGGAACCCAGAGGGACTCCGGGGGAGCACTGCTGGGCCCTGATGTGGCATGCGGGAGAGCCCCCCAAGTGCTCTGATCAAAGGCCAGTGTGGAACACGGCAAGGTGGTGCCGCGCAGGGCTGAAGGCTGGGACTGCACTGCGGTCGTCACAATGGAGGCTGACTAGACGGGATCTGTGCTTTAAAACAGTCTCCTGGCCAACCTGGAGAGCCCTCGACAGCAGAGACAAGGTCCAGGGAGCCGCGAGCGGAGGCAGTGCAGGCAGCGACGGAGAGGAGGTGACCTGAGAAGAAAAGAGGTAAAAATCCACAGCATGTGGAGAGGCACCTGCATTGTCAGAGGACAGAGAAGCATCTGAGAAACTCCAGGGGCTCTCATGCAGGTGACTGTGGGACAGCAGTGCCACCAGTGGAGCTTGGAAATGATGCAGAAAAAGCAGGATTGGTCAGGAGAGCCATGCACTCACCAGGTCCCCGGGGGACAGGCCCTGGGTCTAGGGAGGGTGGAGATGGAGGCCAGGAACCAGAGGGCAGGTGGACAGGGCAGGCAGGGAACACATCAGATGGAAGGTCAGAGCCACGGCAAATCACGGCCAGGAGGCAGGAGCCCAGGAGAGAAGGTCCACGTGGGGTGGGACATCAGACCCTGGAAGGGAGGAGGCTGAGGCCAGACACCCCCAGGGACAAGCCAGATCAAGGCTGAACAGAGGCCGAGCCGGGAGGGTTTTCTTCAAGGCCTGTTGTTGCCAAACAAACTGCAAATTAAAAAGAAGACGCCACATCCCTGTCCTTCATGTGAAATGAATACCAAAGGAAATGACTTTGGGCAGGTAATAAGAGAATTTAAGGCTGAGTGTTACCTGCAGCTTCGGAGAGAAGAATAAAGAATGACACTTTGCCAAGAGACTTACAGGGCTTCAGTTTCACTTCTAGATTCCACAGTGACCCTGAAGCTAAAATCTATTTGCTTTTTAAAATGCACACTTATAAAATTCTGTTTTGCATCTGAAGGTGATTTGGGACCTATTTCTCTATCTGAATACTAAAGGGTACTAAATACATACTCTTTAGAAAATACATTCCACATAAAAATCATGCGATTAGCTACCAACCTATAAGAACGTGAAAACCATAGAAAATAACGCAACTCCCATCAGGGCCTATGAGAATAGAACCATGCTAGGCCCCTTTAGACAGTTTCCTCCCCAGTCAGGTGCACATGGAGGAAAATTCAATGGTGCTAGAAGCTACATCGAGAACCAGACTTGTTTTGATGGATATCACTGAAGCCACAGAGAAGCACTGATCTCCTTAATACATACGGAGAATATTGCTGACCACATATGTAAAACATGTAATAGAATCCTAGGTGAGTTGGAAATTAACAGCTGAAAGAGAGGATCCTTTTTATCTGTCATATGTTGGGGGAAACTGGGGAAGAAGCCAGCACACAGGAAGCACCCGGTGTGAGTAAAAGTGAGAAGCGCTTAAATAGCAACTGCCTTGGTGAAAGGAGTGGGCTTGTCGTCGGCTTGGACTAATTACCCACCTCCAGGCAGAAAAGCTGAGGTTACTATTCAAGGGGAAGACAGCAGGATTCCCACGAGCTGCAGTAAGACCAGGAAGCTAAAGATCTTGACAAATAAGCAGTTTGTCTATTTTGTTTGCTGGCTGAGTTTCCAGGGCAACCACAAAACCAGTAGTTCAACAACAGAGGCTGGAAAATGGACAAGGGAAGGTCGTGGGGGCGTCCGGCAGAACTGTGCTGGGCCTGTCTCTTCCTCCTGTGGTCTCTGGAGACCTGATCTTCAAAACAGGATGGGCTGCAGCCAAGGGAGGTGATGATGCCTCCTTCCACACGATTTCTACAGGTGTGCAAGCCAGGCCAAAGGCAATTCCCAGCCCAGCCCCACTGAGACCTGCAGAATCCCAGCAGGACCCGTGGACACGTCCTAAACCTGCAGCTGAGCTCACCATCTCAGACATGGTGACTGACCATCTCTGCCCAGGCTTCCTGATCTCAGGCGACCCCGGCCAGGGCACCTGGCACTCCTGCAAAGACACCATCACAAACCAACCTCCGGTGGCACCACTGAATAGGAAGGAGAGCAGAGAGAATTCAGGAAGAACCGAAATGCCCAAAGAAGTATAGGAAAAAAGACGGGAGTTTGGTGAAGCAGAAAAAAATCAAATTCGAACCTGATTTCACCAGGGATTTGCTCCATGATTTTTACTTCCTCCTTGTGGATTACTGTATACATTAAATGATACCACATTACTAAAAATCAAGGGGCCAGGTGCGGTGGCTCATGCCTGTAATCCTAGTACTCTGGAAGGTCGAGACGGGTGGATCACTGGAGGTCAGGAGTTTGAGACCAGCCTGGCCAACATGGCAAAACCCCATCTCTACCAAAAATACAAAAATTAGCCAGGCATGGTGGCAGGTGCCTATAATCCTGGCTACTTGGGAAGCTTAGGCAGGAGAATCACTTGAACCTGGGAGAAGCAGGTTTCAGTGAGCCAAGATTGCATCATTGCACTCCAGCCTAGGCAACAGAGTGAGACTCTGTCTCAAAAAAAAAAAAAAATCAAATACAGTGTTTGACATGCAGTGGGTGCCCAGTAAATACATTATTAGTCTCCTTTTCTCCTCCAGTCCTTCCTTCCACTTGCCTCAGAACACAGCCCCTTTCTCTCTCTCAGTAATTGGAAGAAACTTTGTTTTAGCTGTAATTTTTAACTCTAAGTAAGAAATTATACTTATGCAACACTTAACACTAGATAATAATTAGGAACCACATAAAGTAAGATACTAAAATGTCTAGAGAAAAGTTTAATTTGCAACCACCCTGGCACATGAATACCTATGTAATAAACCTGCACGTTCTGCACATATATCCCAGAACTTAAAGTGAAATTTTTTAAAAAAAGAAAAGTTTAATTCACATTGCCATTAGCATAAAGGAAACCCGGCACAGAAGCCATGCAGCTCAACAGGCTGACACAGCTCTCCCTACCCCTGCTGTGCTAAACATCCTAAGCTCTTTGGGATCCCAAGAGCTTCCGGAAGCCTCTTCCCAACCAGTCACACTCCCTACTAATAAGTGAGCTATGAAGAGCTTCCAGAAACTTCTTCCCAACCAGCCATACTCCCCCCTAATAACGTGGATATCAAGAGTTTCCAGAAACTTCTTCCCAACCAGCCATACTCCCCCCTAATAATGGGGATATCAAGAGTTTCCAGAAACTTCTTCCTAACCAGTCATACTCCCCTCTAATGAGCATCTTCTTCAGGAAGTTTTTATTCCACCAAGAGCATCTTCAGGGAGGGAGGCCCAGGAAGAGGGTTTCATCGAGGAGCTGAAACAGGGGGTTTGTCAGGTGATCGACTGAGCAAATGGGCAGCTCCTGTGCCTGTGGTCCTTGCTGCTAATGAACCACACATCCCTCACTCTCACATCTGGGGAAACACTGGGATCAAAAGGCCAAAGATAAGCGTTACCTTGAAATAATCTTTCTCATGACAAATTCTCAATATTTTAGGGAAATTAACAAAGGCAAAATATTCTGCCATTACCAGATGTTCTGCTCTCAGATAATACAGATTGTACTTACTAGAATTTCATGTTATAAAACATTATAAACCTCCTACATGATTTGATTGGTCAACTCTCCTTCACAGCATAATAAATTCTCTTTGTAAAATTTTACCTGCATTAATCACATATACTTGCTAAGCAACTGGTGAAAGACCAGGGAAATTAACATCTTTGAGACTACGGATGTGCTGGCACATGGATGATCTCATTTAATCCTGACAACACCATGAGGTGGTTGTCATGGCCCTTGTTTTGTCAGTATGGAAATCACAGTTCTGAGGAATTAAGCAACTTGCCTACACAGCATTAGATCTGACTCTGAAGCTTATGTACCCACCATGCCAACAGTGAGCATTCTACATGAGACCGTGCTGAAGGACACACATCTACGGACAGTGGGTGTGGAGAGCTGAGCCAGGCCTTCGGACCTTGTATCTTGACTCATTTCCACTGATTTCTCTTTCCTCTGGATCAGGCTGTAACCTGCACACAACCATGCTCAGCCAGGGACCTTGGAAATACCCGAAGATCTCTGGCATGATCACTGTCAAGATATGACTACGTGGAAACATTATGCAAACTCTGAGGCTCTTTATAAATATTTGCTTTACTTTCCCCTCAAGATTTATTTGGAAGTATGCCTGAGACATTTCACATCTGTTCTGTTTAAGCTTAGCATTTAGATAAATACACACAGGAAGCAATTATTTTGAGGTGAGGTTAGGAGCCTAGCTATCGTTCCCATTATGATGATCAATAGTAACAGACACAGACAAAGAAAAATTCAGGTCACCCTCATTTTATGACCAGTGAAGAATCAGGTGCATTTGTTTATGCCACTTGCATTCATTGTCCTAACCAATCACTTATGAGGGACTCAGCAACCCAAATTCTAAATAATTAAAAATGTAAAAACAGATGCAATAAGGGTAGCTGTACATCTAAACACATCTCAGCTAATCACGTCCTGTCTTTAAGTGAGGTCGGCGTATTGACTGGGAGGCCGTGCTCTTTACACCGCTGTTCTTGGAGAGTGGCAGATGTGTCAAGAGCTGTTCTTACTACTGCGCCAGGCCTGCTCTACACAATCTTTGCAGGGAAGATGCCAGGCACGGCCGTGGTTTGGTCTGTGGCCAGGAGCGTGGGCCAAGCTGACCATCCCCACAACCAAGATAAACCTAGGCCCAACCCCTTAGAAACAGGGCCCTCTGAGAGCTACCAGCTCCTGGATTGGAGGCAGGGGCTTTGAGCCCTGTAAGGGCACAATTAAAAGCTTTTAGTGAAGTTTTTTTATGGACTGAGCAAAAATGAAAGGCATGCACTGGGATTTCACAGAGGCAGAGAATATTATCCTTGAGAGAGATTTTGACCAGCTCAGACAGCTCACCTCGCATAGAAGAAAACAGGCTGACAAAGCTGTGCTGTGCCCAAGGTCAGGTGTCGGCAAAACTGGGCTAGAATCCAGGACGTTTAAGTCTCAATTCAAGATTCTTTCCATATGATTTTTAAAATACTTACTTTTGGGAATCCCAATAAACAGTTTCCTGCTACGAGGTAGGGACAGGTGCCCAAAAGCTACACATGAGACACCGGGAGGAGTGACCGCCCGCACACCCAAGGACCATTTCTCTGACTTCTGTGTGCTCGGCACACTCTTCCTCAGGAATCCTGGAATAGCAAGGCACCACACCGGGCATTAGCAATGTTACCTCAGTCAGGCACAGTGGCTCACATCTGCACTCCCAGCACTTTGGGAGCCCAAGGCAAGAGGATCACTTGAGCCTAGGAGTTCAAGACCAGCCTGGGCAACAAAGCGAGACCTGGTCTCTACAAAAAAAATTAGCCAGGCATGTGACATACACCTATATATAGTCCCAGCTACTCGGGAGGCTGCGGTGAAAGGATTGCTTGAGCCTGGGAGGTGGAAGCCACAGTGAGCCACGATCACACCACTGCAGTCCAGCCTGGGCAACAGAGCAAGGTCCTATCCCAAAAACTTCTTTTAATTAAAAAAAATTAAAATAAATGCTACCTCTTTTTATCTTCAGAGTCACCCAATTAACAAATGAGTAAACTGAGTCTCAGGGAAGTTACGTGACATATCCAGGGTATGTACGATGAAGGTGGAATTTGAACAGAAGAACATCTCAAGGACCTGTACTTTCCACCAACACGTGGATTCTAAGGGATAGAAGAACATCTTGACGACCTGTACCTTCCACCAACACGTGGATTCTAAGGGACAGAAGAACATCTCGACGACCTGTACCTTCCACCAACACGTGGATTCTAAGGGACACAAGAACATCTCGACGACCTGTACCTTCCACCAACACGTGGATTCTAAGGGACAGAAGAACATCTCGACGACCTGTACCTTCCACCAACACGTGGATTCTAAGGGACACAAGAACATCTCGAGGACCTGTACCTTCCACCAACACGTGGATTCTAAGGGCATATTTAAAGGTCCATCAGTGTCCGATTTTCAAGAGAACATTATCTAAATGGGAAACTTGTGCTGTGTGGACCAAGGCCGGCTAGTCCGTCAGGTCCATCGGGTAAGTTCACCCTGCCCTGATCCTATCCCGCAGGAAAAGTGAATAGTAGCTCTTATTTTTCAAACAGCTCCCTATCTAAAGGGAGGCTCTATATAGAAATAGGAAACTAAAGCAGATATACGCATTTGGCAAATCTTTCTTAAGGAGCTTTTTGTGCAAAAACCCACGAAGGGATCAGAAATGTAAAAAAAAAAAAAAAAAAAAAAATCCTACCTTTAAAATTCCTAGAGTGTATTAAAGCAGATAAAAAATGAACACAAATACTAAACTACCAGGCAGTATAAACGGACCAACTGTGGACTAGAAAGCTCCATACGAAAGGTAGCCCAGCTGCTTTAGGTCCGAGCACAGTGCAGAGACTTATTGGTTAGGTCAGCAGCATTCACAAAAGTCTTGAGACCACAAATCCAAGAATTTGCTCATATCCATATTGCATTTATTTTTCTTGCAAGAATTTTATTTTATAGCAAAGAATCCTCATCTTCCTAAGCCTCTTCACCTTCGCTTCCCTCCATAGCAAGTTGGCCTTCTTTATAAGGCTCTATTTTTCCTTGACAAAGAAAAAATATCTATCACTTCATAAAAATCTTTCTAAACTCTTTCTAGAGAAAAGCCCTTTGTGGGTCTAGGCACAGAGAAGTCACTCAAACCATCGACTGATTGCTAAACAGCTCCACTTAGCAGAGGTAAAAGAATGAGATAAGAGTAAAGAAGCCACAAAAATATCAACAGCTCTTGAGTCTAGTTGAAAATAAAAATTATTACAGTAAAAACTGTCGCACATGCTGAGTGCCTGCTGAGGCATGGTTCCAAGGGTTCATGTGCATTCATCCATTAACGGGTCTTGCACGGTCACCCGTGGGTTAGGTACTGTTATTATCTCTGCTCCGTAGATGAAGAAATGCAGAAACTGAGACACAGTGGAGTTATACAACCTGTCCACACTCGCTCCACTGGAAGGCACCAGAGCCAGGCCCCTTGGGAGGCTGAAGAGCATTCCTAACTAACCTGTCCCATGCTGTGCAGAGGAGACATGGTTAGCCAGGAGCAAAGCAAGTTTAAAGGTGGAGGAGCAAAAGGACAGCACTGCCCAGAGATGACTTCCAAGGCCAGGGATGTGGTATCCAGTTTACCTGTGAACAGCAGAAAACAAGGAAGACCCGCAGGCACGGAGATGCACTGGATTCCCATTCAACGTTAAAGTTCAAACTCTTTGTGGAAAGAGGATTCATAGAACAAGAGCAAATAGTTTCAAACAAAACATCTGAGAAGAGATTAATATCCACAATATATAAAGAACTTCTACAAGTCAACAACACATTAGCAAACCAATTAGAAAATAAGCAAAGGATTTGGATCAGTATTTCTCCAAAGATGAACAAATGGATAATAAATACATGAAAGGTGCTCAACGTCACTAATTGTCAGGGAAATGCAAATATAAAACACAGTGAGATACCACCTCACACTCACTAGTACAGCTACTATCAAACAACAAAAAATACCATATCGGAGAGGATGCAGAGAAACTGGAACCCTCGTACGCTGCTGGTAAAATGTAAAACGGCGCAGCTGCTGTGCAAACAGTTTGACTATTCCTTAAAAGGTTAAACAGATTTACCAAATGACCTAGCGCTTCCACTCCTAGATACAAAGCCAAAGAATCACAAGCAGAGACTCAAGTGGACACTGGGACACCAGTGTCGTTGTTGCCTTATTCACAATAGCACAATAGACAAAAGGTGGGACACAGCCAAAGTCCCCATCAGCAGGTACATGGATCAACAGAATATGGTCTATGCCTACAAGGAGGGGCAACTCAGCCCCAGAAAGCAACGGTATTCTGATGCATGCCACAACCCAGATGAGCCTTGGAAACACTATGCTAAGTGAAATAAGCCAGGCACCAAAGGACAAATGCCGTATGATCTCACTTACATGAAATATCTAGCATAGGGGAATTCCGAGAGACAGACAGTAGGTTACAGGTGCAGGGTCTGGGGCAGGGGACAGGAAGCCAGTCTTCACCAGGGATAGAGTTTCTATGTGGCCTAAGGAAAATTTTCCGGAAATAGATGGTAATGTTGGTCACATAACATTATAGATATAATTAATACCATTGAACTGTGAACCCAGATGATTAAAATGGTAAATTTTATGTTATGTACATTTTGCCACTATCACACGAATGTCTCAGCTCCTCAGTCTAGAATTCCAGGCGTTCCTGTGTGTTCCCTAACTGCTGCCCGTTGTCCACTCCTATCCCTCCCTCTCCCATTGGCCCCAGGTCATCCAAACGCTCAGCTGCCACCTGTCGAGCCCCCATTCCCTATCCTGCATCTCTGTCTCCTCAGCTGAGCCAGCGTGTCCTCCCGGAACCCAGCTTCCTTCCTTCCTGCTGGAGTCTCTCCTTCCTCAGCACGGCTGCTTTAACTGACTCCTCCTCTTACCTGCCCACCTGGATTCACCTCTGTGTCAACAGAGTTCAGCGCCATGGACAGCACACAGCACGTGTTTCACAACCTTGAGCGAATGAATTGGCGAAGAGAGAACAGAAATAAGCACCCAAGGTCACAGTTCCCAATCCCTGCTCCAAGGCACTCTCAGGTACAAGGATGACACAGGAAATGGAAACTTGGCTCAATTGTGGCTGATTACATGCAGTTTAACTGCAATAGTTGACTTTGTGTTTTTAGAAGGTCTATCCCTACGCACTGCTGAGCTTTTGCAATCTGGACCCTACAGCCATCAATAGCCCAAAGCATGTCTTTCCCAGGTCATTAACCAAAATGTAGGATTCCACCATTCCACACGGTGGGCCCTGCACCTTCTATGGATATTTCCTCCCATCCCGTTTCTTTGGCTACAATGTCCACGCAGATGATTTTCAAATCACAAAGTCTGGCCTGAATCCCTCCAAGTTATAGATTTGTCTCCTGAGAGGTCTCCTCTTCAGTCACTCCTGACTCCCGGAATCCCAGCTCTGAGTCTGGCCTTGGTGTCCCATGCACGAATGGCACTATCGTTTTCCCAGTCACTGAAGCCAAAACTTCCACAAATCCACCTTTGAACAGTTGCCAAGTCCTAGAGGTTGCAGACAGACATCTCCCCTTAGCAGCTCCATGGTTCTGCGTGCCTCACTCCCAGCCCCTCTCTCACTCCTCTTTCTTACCACAGCTGTGATGTGGAACACAGAATGGCAAACCCAAGGAAACCGCAAACTTCCTCCCAAAGGACTGAGTGTCCAAGACTGCAAATGTTTCCCTTCTTTCACTTAGGCAGGCCATGTGACAAAACTGTTACATCTCAAAATATCCTAATCCTTCCTTAAAACTGCATGCAAGAGAAAGGACTGGCACATGTGCCTGAAAACAATGGGTCATTTTGGGTGGATAGCCATGCTTCACACCTAGTTTCCACCAATCCAACCCCTTCCTGACGCTCAGAGGGCAGTTCTCATTTCAAAGTAGGATCACCCTTTACCTGATAATGAGAAATTACTCCATCATTACAGGCAGGTGCAAAACCTGCCCACACAGTGATAATCAGCAAGCACTTTTTTCTCAAATTTCACAAGTTGATTACAATACCATGTCTCCTGTCTCTCCAGTTACAGGTCAGGGATGTGAGGCTGGGAACAAGATCACTGTGTCACTTTGGTGGCAGCACATTTTTAGAAAAAGGATAAAATCACAGACTATTATGTCTGCTGTTAGGTTCAACTACTCAATTTCTCCCTTGTGGGGTGGATATCCACTGAGATTCCCATCAGTCTTAGCATCTATTTTCCCACTCCTTCGGATGTCAGTATATTTAAAGCTGTAATCTCCATTTGCTTACTGTTTTTATTAGTTTGTCATTATAATCCCATCAGAAGAGATGTTAGGTGCCATTATGTTCCTTTGTGAAGTCAGTGTGATTGCTTTTGAAGAATCTTAACAATGTTGAGCTCACCTGGATTCAAGAACTGCACTCGCCATCCCCCACCCCCAATTTAGAATTCTTAATGACAAGGGCTAGCATTCGGACTGCATGCTCCTGAACACTCCTGCGGAGAATGAAGTGTGGGAACAAGCTGGGGAGTGACCCAAGCTTCCTAACAGGGTCTCTCACCAATCTTGCTGATCTACCAGCAAACCCTAAACTCGTTGCCAGCAGAGAAAGATTACGGAGTTATTTTTGCAATAATATGTCATACATTTTTGGCTATGAGTATTTGGGATCAGCATTATTTTTAACTGGGAATGTGTAAAGAAACCTGGTTTTGTCAAGCTTATCAAAAGGTAAGCTGTTTGAAAAGTCTTCATTCACTTCTGGGGAAAATCCCACCATTGAAATGCCTTACCAGATGATATACACATGCCCGCGTGGCAAAGACCAGAACTCAGCCCCTCAGTGAATCCCCGACGCCCTCCCCACAACACCAAAGACCAGAACCCACCCTCTCACTGCATCCCCGACGCCCTCCCCACGTCACCAAAGACCAGAACCCAGCCCCTCACTGCATCCCCGACGCCCTCCCCACAACACCAAAGACCAGAACCCACCCTCTCACTGCATCCCCGACGCCCTCCCCACGTCACCAAAGACCAGAACCCAGCACCTCACTGCATCCCCGACGCCCTCCCCACGTCACCAAAGACCAGAACGCAGCACCTCACTGCATCCCCGACGCCCTCCCCACGTCACCAAAGACCGGAACGCAGCACCTCACTGCATCCCCGACGCCCTCCCCACAACACCAAAGACCGGAACCCAGCACCTCACTGCATCCCCGACGCCCTCCCCACAACACCAAAGACCAGAACCCAGCCCCTCACTGCATCCCCGACGCCCTCCCCACAACACCAAAGACCAGAACCCAGCCCCTCACTGCATCCCCGACGCCCTCCCCACAACACCAAAGACCAGAACCCACCCTCTCACTGCATCCCCGACGCCCTCCCCACAACACCAAAGACCAGAACCCAGCACCTCACTGCATCCCCGACGCCCTCCCCACAACACCAAAGACCAGAACCCAGCCCCTCACTGCATCCCCGACGCCCTCCCCACAACACCAAAGACCAGAACCCAGCCCCTCACTGCATCCCCGACGCCCTCCCCACAACACCAAAGACCAGAACCCAGCTCCTCACTGCATCCCCGACGCCCTCCCCACGTCACCAAAGACCAGAACGCAGCCCCTCACTGCATCCCCGACGCCCTCCCCACAACACCAAAGACCAGAACGCAGCCCCTCACTGCATCCCCGACGCCCTCCCCACAACACCAAAGACCAGAACCCAGCACCTCACTGCATCCCCGACGCCCTCCCCACAACACCAAAGACCAGAACCCAGCCCCTCACTGCATCCCCGACGCCCTCCCCACATTACTAAAATTCTATGAACTCTCTTAAAAAACAGTCTATAACAGGGAAAATGTTCTAATTATATTTCACAAAGAAGGACAGTTTTATAGAGTTTACTAAGTATAAATTAAAATATGGATCCTGTTAAAACTCATTGAAAAAGTTCGCAAGGAGGCATGAGTTCAAAAATAAGTACCCAAAACTAACTGGCAATAATTTGAAGCAGCAGCTTTGAATATACCTTACTGGAGAAAGATATTTTGCTATATCAGAAAGTGTCACACATCACAGGGGTCAGAAACCTAGTTTTGACCTCACATTGCCATGTGCCCTCCATGGAAACTAATCCACTCATTTGCACATAAAATTGTTTACCTGCCTGACCAAAGGCATGTGTCCACCTCAGCTGTCAGAAGAACATGGGAGGTGCTCTTCAGGGAGACAGACTTCAAGAGAAGGAATGATTTCATTTTCTCATTGCCTTTAGACCAACCAGGTACAGACAGAGGCAAGGAGTGGGTCTCTGCCCACTGTAGGGCTGGTCTACAGAAACATTTGCAACATTTCAGGAGGGGAGGCAAGAGGAGGAAAGTGAGAGAGGTGAAGAAATGCAAGAAGCTGACCTCTTATCTTGGCTGAGTACCATTTTTGGATAAGCAGACAAGTCATAAATCCTGGCTACCAATCCATGTATTTTATTAGGTAAGTGTTTTGTAAATATTTTCTCCCAGTCTGTAGCTTGTCATTTCATTCTCTGAACATGGTCTTCACAAAGAAGTTTTTAACTTTAATGCAAGTTCAACTTATCAATTATTTCTTTCATGAACAGTGCTTTTGGTACTATATCTAAAATGTCATCACTAAATCTACAGTTACCTAGGTATTTTATGCTATCTTCTATAAGTTTTACAGTTTTGCATTTTATATATAGGTCTAAAATCTATTTTCAGTTATGTTTTTTATAAGTCAAAGGTTTACGTCTACATCCATTTTTTCTTGCATGTAGATGTCCAGTTGTTCCAGCACCGTTTTTGAAAAAGCCATCTTTTCTACACTGAATTGCTCCTTTGTCAAAGATTGGTTGGCCCTATTTGCACTGAGTCTATTTTCTGTTTTTTGTTTTTTTGAGACAGAGTCTTGCTCTGTCGCCCAGGCTGGAGAGCAGTGGCGCAATCTCGCCTCACTGCAAGCTCCACCTCCCGGGTTCACGCCATTCGCCTGCCTCAGCCTCCCAAGTAGCTGGGACTACAGGCACCTGCCACCACGCCCAGCTAATTTTTTTGTATTTTTAGTAGACATGGGGTTTTACCATGTTGGCCAGGATGGTCTCGATCTCCTGACCTTGTGATCCGCCCGCCTCGATCTCCCAAAGTGCTAGGATTACACGCTTGAACCATCACGCCCGGCCTGCACTGAGTCTATTTTCTGGGCTTTCCATTGTGTTCTATTGGCCGATTTTTTGACCAATACAACACTGTCTTCATTACAGTACCTTTCTAATAAGTCTCGAAGTCATCCCTCCAACTTTGTACTTATTATCGTGAAAATGTTATGTCTTTTATAAGAGTTTTGTAGCTTTCTTCATACAGATCTTATGCATGCTTTCTTGGATTTATACCTAAGTATTTCTTTATTTTTGGTGTTAATTTTATCTTGTGTCTTCCATTTCGAATTCCAATTTTTTATTGCTGGTGTATAGGAAAATAACTGACTTCTGTATAATAACCTTGTATCTTGCAACCTTGCTATAATTGTTTATTGGTTTCAGGGTAATTTTTGTTGATTCTTTGGATTTTTTCCACAGACAACGTCATCTGTGAAATAGGTTTATTTCTCCCGTCTTGGTCTGTACAGCTTTTATTTCCTTTTCCTGTCTCATTGCATTTGCTCAAACTTCCAACATGGTAAGAGTGTTTTGCTTCTGATATGAGGGGAAATTGTCCAGTTTCTCACCATGAAGTATGAGTTTAGCTACAGGGTTTTTTGTAAATATTCCTTATCAAGTTGAGGAAGTTCCCCCTGTATTCTTATTTTGTAGAGAGTTTTATTATGAATGGGTGCTGGGTTTTGGCAAATGCTTTTGCTGTACTATAGACATGATGTAATTTTTTCTTCCTTAGCCTGTGAATGATTACAATTTTCAGATGTTGAGCCAGCCTTGCATACCTGGATAAATCCAGCTTGGTCATGGTGTAAAATTATTTTTATACGTTGTTAGATTTGATTCCCTCATACTTTGCTGAGGATCTCCACATCTATGTTTATGAGAAATACTGGTCTGCAGTGATCCTTTCTTTAAATGTCTTTTTCTGGTTTTGATTTGAGGGGAATGCTAAATAATTTTATAGAATTATTTAGCATTTATTCCCTCTATTTCTGTCTTCTGGAATAGGTTGTGGAGTACTGAAATAATTATCTTCCTTAAATATTTGATAGAATTCACCAATGAACCCATGCGGGCTTGGTGCTTACTGTTTTGGAAAGTTATTAGTTATTTGTTAAATTTCTTTAATAGATATAGGCCTGTTCAGATTGTCTATTCCTTCTTGTGTGAGTTTTGACAGGTTTGTTTTTCAAACAACTTGTCCATTTCATGCAGGTTATCAAATTCTTGGACACAGAGTTATTCATAGTATTCTTTTATTATCTTTTTAATGTTCCTGGAATCAGGACTGATGGCCCTTCTTTCATTTCTGATTTCGGTAATTTGGATCTTCTCTCCCTTTTTTCTTCATTAGCCTGGTCAGAGGTTCGTCAAGTGTTTTGATCTTTTCAAAGAACAAGCTCTTGGCTTAAGTTTCTATACCAATATCTTATTTTCAGTTTCATTGATTTCTTTTCTCATTCATAGTATTTCTTTTCTTCTGCTTATTTTGGATTTAATTTGCTCTTCTCTAGTTTTTTAAAGAAGAAGTTTAGATGATTGATTTTGGATCTTACTCCATTTCTAAATATGTATTCAATGGTAAATACATTTCCTTTTAATCTGGCCTTTTTGGTATCTCAAAAATTTTGATAAGTTGAATTTTCATTTTTACTTAGTTTGAAATATTTTAAAATTTATCTTGAGACTTCTTCTTTGACGAATGTGTTATTTAGAAGTATGTTGTTTAGTATCTATATATTTTGGAAACTTCTGGCTATCTTTCTGTTACTAATTTCTAGTTTAATTCCACTATGGTCTAAGAGCAGACTTTGTGTTACTTCTAGTCTTTTAAATTTTTAAGGTGTGTTTTATAGCCCAGAATATATTCTATCTTGATGAATATTCCATATAAGCTTGAGAGGAATGTGTTTCTGCTGTTTTGGATGAAGTCATCTATAGACAGAATTCTGGGTTGGTGTTTTACTTATTTCTTTCAACACTTTAAATATTTGAATCAACTTTTTTCCTGCTTGCATGGTTTACAAAGAGTAGACTTAAGTAATTCTTATCCTTACCCCTCTGTACGTGAGCCATTTTATTTCTGTAGCTTCTTTCAAGATTTCATTTTCATCTTTGATTTTCTATAGTTTGAATATGAAATGCTTAGTTGTGGATTTTTAATATATATCTTGCTGGTTCTTTTAGCTTCCTGGATATGGTTTGGTGTCTTACCATTAGTTCCGAAAAATTCTCATCAACTTTTACTACAAATATTTCTTCTTTTCTTTTCTTTCTTTCTTCTCTTTCTGGTATTACCATTCCACATATGTTACTTCTTTTGTATTTCTCCTACAGTTCTTCAATATTCTGTTCCATTTTTAAAAAAATCTTTTCTGGCGACCGAGTGGCCCGGTCTGCGCGCGCAGCTTGCGCCCAGCGCTCTCCAGCCGGGGTGGCGGCGGTGGCGGTGGCGGCGGTGGCGGAGGAGGGGAAGAGGCCTGGCCCGTGGTCGCAGCCGCCACCGCCCGCCCCGACCTCCCGGACCGCCGCGGGGCCACGGGCCCGAGCCCCGGATTCGCGCTCCGGATTCGCCTCCGCTCAGCCGCGCGTATATTTGCCTTCCCTCCATGATCTCCAACACTATCCGATAAAGTAGAAGCAACTGAGGTACCGTGAAAGAGAAAGGAGCTGGAACTGAGAAAAAGCAGAGGCTGGAGTGCAGTGGCGTGATCTCGGCTCACTACAACCTCCACCTCCCAGCCGCCTGCCTTGGCCTCCCAAAGTGCCGAGATTGCAGCCTCTGCCCAGCTGCCACCCCATCTGGAAAGAAGTGAGGAGCATCTCTGCCCGGCCGCCCATCGTCTGAGATGTGGGGTGCGCCTCCTGCCCCACCACCCCGTCTGGGATGTGAGGAGCGCCTCTGCCCGGCCGTGACCCCGTCTGGGAGGTGAGGAGCGTCTCTGCCCGGCCGCCCCGTCTGAGAAGTGAGGAGCCCCTCCGCCCGGCAGCCACCCCGTCTGGGAAGTGAGGAGCGTCTCCGCCCGGCAGCCGCCCTGTCTGGGAGGTGGGGGGACAGCCCCCGCCCGGCCAGCTGCCCCGTCCGGGAGGGAGGTGGGGGGACAGCCTCCGCCCGGCCAGCCGCCCCGTCTGGGAGGGAGGTGGGGGTCGCCTCTGCCCGGCCGCCCCTTCTGGGAAGTGAGGAGCCCCTCTGCCCTGCCGCCACCCCATCTGGGAGGTGTACCCAACAGCTCATTGAGAACGGGCCATGATGACGATGGCGGTTTTGTCGAATAGAAAAGGGGGAAATGTGGTGAAAAGATAGAGAAATCAGATTGATGCTGTGTCTGTGTAGAAAGAAGTAGACATAGGGGACTCCATTTTGTTCTGTACTAAGAAAAATTCTTCTGCCTTGGAATGCTGTTATCTATGACCTTACCCCCAACACGGTGGTCTCTGAAACATCTGCTGTGTCCACTCAGGGTTAAATGGATTAAGGGCGGTGCAAGATGTGCTTTGTTAAACAGATGCTTGAAGGCAGCATGCTCGTTAAGAGTCATCACCACTCCCTAATCTCAAGTACCCAGGGACACAAACACCGCGGAAGGCCGCAGGGTCCTCTGCCTAGGAAAACCAGAGATCTTTGTTCACTTGTTTATCTGCTGATCTTTCCTCCACTATTGTCCTATGACCCTGCCAAATCCCCCTCTGCGAGAAACACACAAGAATGATAAATAAATAAATAAATAAATAAATAAGAAAAAAATACAAAAAAAAATATTTTCTACCTTTGCTTTTCAGTTTGGAAGTTCCTTAAGCTCACTGATTTTTACCTGGCCTATGCCCAGTCTAATGATTAGACCATCAAAAGCATTTGTCATTTCTGTCACAGTGTTTTTTATGCCCAGCTATGTTTTTTATCTTTGATTTTCTTAGAGTTTCCATCTCTTTGCTTATATCACTCATCTGTTCTTGTCAGTGTCCACTTTTTTTCCATTAGAACCCTTAGCACTATCTGTTGATAATTTCAGTCTCTGCTATATCTAGGTCTTATTTTGGTGCTTGCTTTGTGTCTTCAGATTATCTTTCATTTCTTCCTTTCCGCATGCCTTGTAGGTTTTTCGTTGCATGATGGATATAGTGAAGCAGGTAAAAGTGCACTAAGATAAATGAAACTTTAGGGTGAGATTTATGTCTGTCCATCTAGGAGTCAGGCTGTGTTTATGTCTGCTATAGATGTAGGTTTAAGAGGTTAAAATGTCCTGTGTTGTCCTTGTTTTTGTCTCTCCTGTTACAACTTTTGGTTTCCCCAAGATGACTTCTTAAATAGGACCTGAATCTAGCAATGACCCCTTTCAGCTCTAGTTCCATGTTATTATACAGGAGCCCTACTGATGTGGTGGAAAGGTGTTGAAGGAAAAGAGCCACCGAACAATGCTATGATTGGGTCTCAGTTCTATAATAAGCCTGTACCCCTGGGCTGCAACCATCACAAGTGCTTCTTAGCTTTCTTCCCCCTGTGTAAGGAAGGAAGACAATGGGGCTGGAATTGAGAATTCCCCTTCACTCTCATTGCTTAGGATCCCATAAAACCCAAGTCTGTGAGGCTTGAAAAACAGATTTCTATTGAGGGCAGGCCTTGCTCAGAATACAATCCTCTGAGAGTACTCCATGATGATGACTTTTCCCTATTCCTGGCAGAAGTATGCGGGTATTTTTCTATGATCTTCACCTGAGCAACCTGGTGTGGCTCCTAGAAATAAAACTCACACAAGTAGAATGGGCTCTCCAGAGTCTTCTCTCTCAAGCAAGTCCATGCTTAGAATCCAGCACTTTGACAATGTGGTTTCAGTGCTCCCAGTGGGTGCTGACTCCAGCTGGGGCTGCTTCTCCCAGTGGTGGTAACAAGCTGTGATTCCTGCATCCATCTGCTGGTTGCTCCAATTTTGGGGAGGAACACGTGCCCTGTGACCTCAATTTACCCAGGGATCTAAGAAAAGTTGTCAATTTTCAGCGAGTTCAGCACTTCTCTTGTGAGGAGGATAACAGTGGTGACTTCCAATGCCCTTATGTGTCAGAGCAGAAACCCTCTGTCCACTTTTCAGTTGGGTTATTAGTCATTTTATTGTTAAGTTACAAGAGTTCTTTATGAATTCTGGATACATACAGGTATTTGATATGAAAATACTTTCTCCCATCCTCTACGTTGGCTGTTCAGTTTCCGGATGGTGTCCTCGAAACCACAAAAATTACTCATTTTGATAAAGTCCAATTATCTAAATAAGTCCTGAATTTTCATTCATACTCCCAGGTTTTCAAGTTACCATTTAAGATCCTGATCTGAACAGGAGAGCCACACTACTGATGGGCAGACTCTAAGGTTTACGGTTAAACATGGAGGTAAAATTTATTTTCTTCACTTGCATTCTAGCAGAAAATAATGCACATTACTTAAACATTGAAATTTTATATTTTCTTAGAAGTATATAATCGTTAACAAGGTTAAGATAGTCTGGGGTCTGACAATGGAAATTTCATTGCATCTCTTTGGTGTGTTATTAAGGCTAAAATCAAGGTCATAGAATATACTAGAAGCTTTGTGCAGCTCAAGTCTCTATCACCCATTTAGTTGATTAAGGCATTTTTTCCTACACTAAATTTTAAGAGCCATTTGTTAAAATAATTACATGTCTCTAAGGACACAGAACACACATGTTCCCATTTCTCAGACAGTTTAGAAGAAAAAAGCCTTGGTTTGTAAAAACAAACAATATAGTGTTATTCTCAAAATAAGTATTCTTACAAAATCTAATCCCTCATGTTTACATTAGTCCAAAAAACAGGCCTGTTCTATTCCTATTACAGAAGAAATGTATCCAAGTACAGATGGCAAGGGAAAGTCATGATAAGAATTCTGCCATTTGTCCTTAAGCACTGGTGGGCTGATAAACGTTGATCAGCCACCTCTCTGGAGAAAAATGTGTATATGTGTCTTTGTAGGTTTGCTATGTAAAAAATGAGTTGCACACAATTTTTTAAAAATAAAATATATAACATCCTTACTATAAAGTCAACACACCTATAATTTCTTTGTGACTTGGTATTTCTTGCAAACCCACCATCAATTTTTATAACTCTATCAGTAACAATATTGTCACCAAATAAGATGATGAAGAAAAGCTTGATCACTATCTGACTCAGCAAAGAAGCTGCTGGTGTCATTGACAAATGACTGCAGCTCCAAAATGAATGCCGGTGGACATTTTTCTTTAGGTTAATGAGCAGGATAAAAATGAAAAAAATGAAGATATATGTCAGAATTTCACTCATTTGTCAATGGTGTGAACAATTTTTTGCTGAACCATGTCAGAATTTCACTCATTTGTCAATGGTGTGAACAATTTTTTGCTGAATCAGATAATAGTTTTGAATATTAAAAGAACATAACCTCAAATGTTTATGCTATTGACAATATAATGGCCACAGATGTAATACACTTCTAGGTTTAATCTGTACTAATAACATATTCCCCATCACTTTAAGTCTACACGATCACCAAAACAATAAATCAGAGTCTGATGCAAAATATCTGCTGATTCCCACTGTGTAAATTCTCCCACCAGGCTCCCTCCAAGCCACCCTTATGACATCACTGAACAGGGAGCTGAGGGGAGGTTTGCAGCAGCATAGCATGAACTGCACCTCCCTGCAGACAAGAGAGAAATAAGGAACTTTTAGAGCACCCACAAAGTACCTAGGACACAACAGGTTTTGAATATGTATTATCTTTGTTGGTAATATAATTATTTAAGTTTATATCTTTTTTTTTTTTCTAACTGGCACACAAGATTCCTAAAAACTTAACAGTTGGTTCTTGCAAGCCAGTACGAGCTGCTCCAGCACACTGGGTTTGCTGGGCTACAAACCTGCACTGGTTTGTGTATTCGTCAGGAGTCTCCAGAGAAACTAATAGGCTGTGCACGTGTAGAGAGAAGGAGATTTCAAGGGATTGGCTCACTCGCGCATGGAGGGTGACGAGTCCCAAGATCTGCAGAGTGTGTCGGCCAGCGGGAGGCCCAGGGAGCCAACTGTGAAGTTCCAGTCTGAAGCCTGCAGGCTGGAGACCCAGGAAGAGCTGACATCGGAGGCCATGAAGCAGGAATTCTCTCAGACTTGGTGGAAGGTGTCCTTCATTCTAGTCAGGTCTTTGAGGGGATTGCGTGAGCCCATCCCCCCTGGGGAGAGGTCTGCTTCACTGAGGCAAAAAATTATCATGAGACTCTCATCCAGAAATGCCTCCAGGCATCCCCAGAAGAACATCTGACTGATGCCTGGGAACCCCATGGCCCACACGAGCTGAGCCACAGATGAACCCACACACTATGCAGCAAGTCCTCAATGTCCTTGATTGGTTCGCGGGAACTGTGACTTTAGGTGAAACAACTTACAGCAAATCCCACCATAATGTCTTTTAGTTCAACTTTGATTCCTTACAAGGTGGATGAGGAAAAAACATCGGTTTCATTATACGTGGATCCATTATACGTGGATCCACTGCGACTCATTATACGTGGAGTCGCAGCTTCCAGGAACCCTACTGAAGACGTGAGGTGAGGACATACCATGCTGCTGAAAGCCTGTCACTCGCTGACACAGGTGCTGCCCAGTGCATGTATAAGGGCTTTCTTTCTTTCGTCCCTGTATGTTACAAAAACTTAAACAGAGTGGAAATAAAGGTGGTCAAGTCTGCCCAGCCCTCCCAACTGAGGATGCACTCATGGCGCTGGCTTGGGGCTTGGCCGCCACCAGGGGAGGCTAGTATGGAACAGGAGCCCCACAGGGATCCCAGGGAGCCCCGTCTTCTAGTAGAAGTGCACGAGTGAATGCAAGGACCTGGAGGAATGTGGGCAGGGAGCAGGAGGCACAGGCTCTGGAGTTCCTCCCTGTGGACTTCCTGTGAACACCTCCACACTGATGGAGCCCCCATAAGTCACTTCAGCTCACAGGGGCCATGCTTCCCATTCCTACTGACCATCTGACCATGAAAGGTTCTCAGAGAATTAGGTGGGTCGGTAGCTGAAAGGAATCAGCAAAGCACCAGCTGGGGGGTTGGGGGCAGGGGCCCCACGGGCATAGCTGTCATAATCATCTTCCTTTTACTGCCCACATGTGGCTTGTATTCAGTAAAAGTCAGATATTCCCAAGTTACAACATAAACAGAAGTCACAAATCAGACTCTGCCTGAAGTCACCAAATTAAAATTCAAAACTGAGGGAACACAAAAGGAAAGAAAAATTGGGAAGACAGGTGAATAACAATGTGTGTGCATCTGTGTCAGCATGAGGGCAAATGAGCACGTGTGTGAGTGCATTTGTGTATCAGGAGAGAAGCTACAGACTAAATACAGTGAAGATACTGACGTAAAGAAAAACAACATCATAGTCATCATGAAGAAAACACCTGTTTGTTATACTTTCAGTTCTAGGGAGTTTAAAGTATTTATATATATATATATATATATATATATATATATATATATATATATATATATATATATAGTGGTGTTCAACAAAGAGGTGTATATATATATATATACATATATATATATACACCTCTTTGTTGAACACCACTTTTGGGATCCTTTAAGATTTTATACAGTAGTAAAACAAACCTCTTTCAGCAATAAATGTACATAGGTATTTGTACATTTCTCAGAAATCCACAACCCATCCAAGAAAAAAATCCACAATTTAAGTCAAATTGTGCATTGAAATGTTGAAATAGCCATGCATGTCAAAATTTTGAACTTTTCCTCTTGCTCTGAATTGAATTCTAGGTTTCACATCCTTATCTTTCCATACAACTATTGAACACGAATAAATCTGAAATTCATGAAGGCATCCAAACAATTAAGGGCATCTTAAGCCTCAGCAACAGCTACTTTTTCTTAGAATCAAATGAGTAAGAATAATCTACTCACTCTCAAAACCACAGGCACCCAAAGCCTAAGCGGCACAGAATTCTCAAGTTCATGCCTTATCTGAACCTTCATGTTCGAAAGGGATATGCGCTTAAGCTGGGCTCATTCCCATTTTCTTCAAACTAGAACAAACTTTAGGAAAAACTAACATGGGGAAAGAATCTCACTGTCCATCAGTAAGGAAGTGTTTAAACGTGTACAGTGTATGAGCACATGACACAGGCAGTGAAAGCACGAATGTCAGCGATGGCCCAGCCACCTCTCCAAGGAGCCTGTGCTGGAAAGACATCTGTATAATCAAGAAAGGTAAATACACAAAGAAGTTTATTTCAGCATTCATTTAAAAGAAAAGTAACCCAAATGTCCACATGACACATGTGATGGAGCATCCATATTTGCAATGTCACGCAGCCACTCAAATGCAAGAGACACATCAATGGCCAGTAGATTTATCTGATGTATGTCAAGTGACAAAAGGCACAGTGAAGCACAAAATAAGCTCAGGATCAATTTGTGAGAAAAAGAAGTATATTTTACAT